>NC_000008.11:41678284-41981314 GCF_000001405.40 Homo sapiens
TGCACCAGCATGCCTGGCTAACTTTTGTAATTTTTTTAGTGGAGACAGGGTTTCACTATGTTGGCCAGGCTGGTCTCGAACTTCTGACCTCAAGTGATCCGCCCACCTGGGCCTCCAAAAGTGCTGGGGTTACAGACATAAGCCACTGTGCCCAGCCCCAAATTTCTTACAATACTTTTTCTTCCTTCTTTTCTGTTGGGAACTGTAATTTCACATATTAGGTCACTTGAAATTGCCCCATAGCTCACTTTGTGTTTCTCCAAAACAGAAAGAAAAGAAAAATGTTTGGAGTTTCTCTTGCTGTATTGTCAAGTTCACTAATCTTTTCTTCTGCAGTGTCTAATGTCTAATCCCATCCAGTGTATTGATCCTACACATTCATCTCTAGAAGATTGGCTTGGGCCTTTAAAAAATATCTTCCATGTCTCTACTTAGCTTTTTTGAATACCTGAAATACAGTTACAATCACCGTTTTAGTATCTTTGCTAATTCTTTTTTTGTTTGTTTGTTTGTTTTGAGACAGAGTCTCGCTTTTGTTGCCTAGGCTGGAATGCAATGACACTATCTCGGCTCACTGCCACCTCCGCCTCCTGAGTTCAAGTGATTGTCCTGCCTCAGCCTCCTGAGTAGCTGGGATTATAGGCGCCTGCCACCTCACCCAGCTAATTTTTTTGTATTTTTAGTAGAGACAGGGTTTCACCATGTTGGCCAGGCTGGTCTCAAACTCCTGACCTCAGGTGATCCGCCCACCTCGGCCTCCCAAAATGCTGGGATTACAGGCATGAGCCACCATGCCCAGTCCTTTGTCTGCTAATTCTAACATCTTTGTCAACTCTGGGTCAGTTTCAATGGATCGATTTTTCTCCGCATTATGGATCCTGTTTTCCTGCCTCTTTGTGTGTCTGATTACTTTTAATTGGATGCTGGACATTGCGAATTTTACCTTGTGGAGTGCTGGATGTTTTTGTATCCGTGTATGCTTGAGCTTTGTTCTGTTACGCAGTTAAGTTACTTGGAAGTAGTTTGATCCTTTTGCATTTTGCTTTCAAATTTTATCAGGGAGGACTGGAGCTTTGGGGGTTAATTTTTCCCTATTTGTGAGATGAGATCCTTCTTTGTCCCCTGAACAAAGGCCGTGAGAGATCAATTGGGAATAGCTGGCTAATACTCATCTGAAACTTGTGGGGGACTCCAGAGTGTTCTATCTGTGCAACTGTCTCCTCTCTGGTGCTCTGTCTTGAGAACTCCAGCTGTCTTGGTCTTCCTGGACTTTCTTTTTTTTTTTTTTTTTTTTTTGAGACAGAGTCTCACTCTGTGGCCCAGGCGGGAGTGCAGTGGCGCAATCTCGGCTCACTGCAAGCTCCGCCTCCCGGGTTCACGCCATTCTCCTGCCTCAGCCTCCCGAGTAGCTGGGACTACAGGCGCCCACCATCACGCCAGGCTAATTTTTTTTGTATTTTTAGTAGAGACGGGGTTTCACCGTGTTAGCCAGGATGGTCTCGATCTCCTGACCTCGTGATCCGCCCACCTCGGCCTCCCAAAGTGCTGGGATTACAAGCGTGAGCCACCGCGCCCGGCCTTCCTGGACTTTCAAAATGGTAAACTAGACAGCTGTAGGGCTCACTTCATTTATTTCCCATGCTTTGTGGATCAGTGTCCTTTGTTATTTGATATCCAATGTCTTGAAAACTGTTGTCTCATATAGTGTGTCCATTTTTTGGTCTGCAGTAGTTTCAAGCAGGAGGGTATATTCAGTCCCTGTTATCCTGTCTTGGCCAGAAGTGGCACACATCGCACCTGACACAGCTCCTTGGATTTGGCTGGATGAACATTCCATCACTCCTTGGAATTGCGATGAGACTTGAGAACTGGGAGAGGGCAGCTTTGCGCCACAGAACACTTGAGGCTCATTCATGGATTCCTTTTGTGAGTTTCCCACCTTGAGACTTCCACGGCATTTGCTTTAGTGGAATTTCACCCAAATAAAGATGTAAGGGGCCGGGCACAGTGGCTCATGCCTATAATCCCAGCACTTAGGGAGGCTGAGGCAGGTGGATCACCTGAGGTCAGGAGTTTGAGACCAGCCTGGCCAACATGGTGAGATCCCCGTCTCTACTAAAATATAAAAATTATCTGGGTATGGTGGCGGGCACCTGTAGTCCCAGCTACTCGAGAGGCTGAGGCAGGAGAATCACTTGAACCCGGGAGGCAGAGAGGTTGCAGTGAGCTGAGATCGCACCATTGCACTCCAGCCAGGGCAACAAGGGTGAAACTCTATCTCAAAAAAAAAAAAAAAAAAAGTATGGATACAGAGAGCACATGTACCACCTCTGCAGGAAGTCCCTACTTGTCTTCACTCTGGGAGTCCTTCCCTGGTAACAGCATTTAGGGTACATGCCCAGCTGCTCCCTCTCCCAGCCATGCTGGCTGAGATCCAAGGCCACAGGTAGCTAGCTGTATTGCTGGTGCTGGTGGGAGTCACTATGAAGCTGCAGCAATACTTGCAGAAGCACAAGTGCATCCTCATGAGGAACATCTCACAGGTCTGGGGTGGACCAGACCATAGGCAGATCCACTGGATCCCCCAGGGTGAGTTCCAGAATGTCTGTCTCTCTGGTAGTCTCATGCAGCCCCACCACACCTGGGTCACCAGCCCCTCCCTCAGTCTAGAGGCCTCCTCTTGGGGCTACATGTTGGAGAAGTCAGGTAAAAGGCAGCCACACATATTGGTTTGGGGCAGCATACAGTCAAGTGGTCCCTGCTCATTCCAGGTCACTGCCCTGGTTCTGTGCTGACCCAGAGGTAATAATCGTCCTGCTAGCTTAACGTCAGCAGCAAATGGGCAACAGGGGTCATCAGACAGCCTCACCCTAGACAAGGCCACACTTCACTAGCCACAGTTGTGAAGAATTGAGGGAAATAAAACAAGTTTTATTTCCAAGTAGACATTAGTTTGTGTCTGATTTATCAGGTCAAATGGAACTCACACGGGTGTGAGATGATCATTTCTCCTCTCATAAGGGAAGTCTGTTTTATTTTCAGAAACATGCTATTTTATTTTGGATCTATAGGCCATGCTTTCTTCATGTTTATTCCCAGGGCCTGGGCCGTCCTCTCCTATGTGGGAGAAGCACGCTGGCCTTTTGGCCTGAGCCCCTCTGCTCTGGCCAATTAAGGCACTGGTGGTGAGCAGAGCTATGAAGGGAGAGACAGCCTCAGGCTTCTAATTCCTGGACACCACCCACTTATGTCGTGCTCACAGAGCTGCCTATCACTACCCAGAGTCCCAGGGCCTCAGAAGGAGGCTCAGACATGCAGAGGGACCAGGAAAAGCACAGAGGAGCCAAGGTCCGACTGTGGGCATCAGTGCATTGGGCTGGTTGGGCACCAGGTCAGGCCATCACGAGCCCTGCCCAGGGAAGAGCAGAGAAGCTGCAGAGCCTGTAGTGCCCCCCCACCCCCCTTAGACCTCTGACTGTCCTGCCACCTTCTCTCCAGAACACAAGGGCACCCAGATGAGGGCCAGACTTTCTGGGGCAAGGAAGAAGGCAGGAAAAATATAAAGAAGCTGATTCTGGACAAAGCAGGGCATCGGTGCATGAGTCTGCTGGGGCACAGAGCTGGGTCTACCGGGGACCTGCCAGAGAGGGTGTCAGGGACTGCTGAGGCTGCACAGAGCAGCCAGGAAGCACAGAACATTCGACTGTGACCATCTGAAATCAACTACTCGGGAGAGGGCTCCCTCAAAGACTTAAGGGCAATCATGCCACTCTTTGGCCAGAACCCTCTGATGGCTTTCCAGCTTACTCCAAGTCAAACCCAATGTCCTCATGACAGTCTATGGGTGGGCTCCGTGTCACCCCTCCAGCCCCCACACCTGCCCTCTCTCCCACTGTCCCTTTGCCCCCGCCTCCAGCCCCGTCCTGTGAACGCATCAGGAAAGCCCCCTTCACACTCCCTGCTCTGAAATCTTCCACCTCAGTGCCGACGCATGGCTCCCACCTCATCTCTGGCAAGTCCTCGAGTGCCACCCGCTTCCCTTGCACCATGAGTCCCCCTGGCCCCGACTCCGGTCTGTTTCTCCTGCACCATGCACGTTAACTGCTGGTGTGTGATACAATTCCCCGCGTGGCTCTCCTCACAGGAGGGAAAAGCTCCACAAAGGCAGAGTTTTGTTTTGTTTTGTCTGGTTGAGAACAGGTATCTCTCTCCTGCCTAGCACAGTGCCTGGCATGTGGTTGATACTTGAAAAATATTTGCCAAATGGGCTGACCCCCTGAAGCAGAGCCCTTTCAGCAGACATGGAGTGCACAGGCCCAGTCCCACACAGGAATTGAGAACCACTCGGGCAAGAATGCCTCAAGGCCTGGTGGGAGCTAGGGGTCTGTGGCCCGGGGAGATGCTCACAGATGCCCAGGTCTGTAACTGTGAATATTCACACTCATGTGGCTCTGGTGGCCCATTGTCCTGTAGGTGCTTAATCAGGGCACAGGAAATCAAAAGCGTGCCCCTCTGACTTGACCAAAAGTATGCGCTGGGTGTCAAAGAAGTCTCGACACATGGGAAGGGAGAGGAGCTTTGTCACTAGAATTTCCCCAGGTTTGTGGCTTCCCTCAACCGCCCTCAGCCCACTGAGCTCCTGTAAAGCTCTGGCCAGGTCCCCTGAGGGGAGGCTGGAATCCCCAAGGGGGTGGACCTGGGGAGTGGGCCGGGCACACGCAGCAGGCAGCACCACACAGCAACACCCACGGACACACACACACATGTATGCACACGCACACACATGAACACGTGCACACACACACACATGCACGCACACATGCACACACATACGCACACACACAAGTACACCCAGGACATGGCCATGAGATGCGTGGGGAGACAGGGCTGGGGGCCATGACATGCATGTGGACGTGGCCGGCTCTGCGCCTGCCGAAATGGGGACAGTGGAGACAGTGGAGACAGGCAGCACGATAGCGTGAGTGCACAGAGGTCAAGATGAGGTCAGAGGCAGAAGAGAGGCAATGGGACGTGATCAGCAGATGGGCCCTGCTCCCAGGATGCAAGATGGCACACTTCAGGAGACACAGGATGCAGAGCAGGGGACAGGGAGGGCTCAGCGAGCAGGGTCCCCTGGTAGGGGCTCCGTGCCCAGGCCCACCTGGGACTCGCCCTCAGCCGCGCCCCCAAACTGTGTACCCAGTCACAGGTGCCCACCCTCAGCCTGGGCGTGGCGGGGATGGCCCCTAAGACAAGGAGCTTGAGGAGCATACACATCACCATGCAGGCATCCAGGGTGACGCGTCAGCCACCTGAGGAAGCCACGTCACAGACATGGAAATTTTGTTTCAAGGTCTGTAAGGAATTTTAGGGATCCAATCCAACTTGCTGATTTTACAGAAGGGGAGAGGGCTCAGTCATGCAGGGAGTTGGCAGGAAGGAAGGGCCTAGAACCCAGACCTCCTGGCCGGAGAGTGGGGCCTCGCTGTTTATGTGCCCGCTGGCCAGAGAGGGGGCGGGCGAGGAAGGTGTTGCGAGGGGGCCTGGCCCAGGAGTGGCAGGGGCTTGGGGGCAGAGGTCACAGCCTCCTGTACATCCTCTCCTTGGGCTGGATCTCACGGGGGATCCCTGCCATGCTGAGTCACATCAACAAAGAATGAGGGGAAGGAGATGAGATGATAGAAAAGGGGGAGAGGAAAAAGCAGAGAGACCCGGCTCCAGGAAGAGCAAACTGCTCAGTCCCTAGAAGTGGCCACAGCAGGATTTGTAAAACACCGTCCAGTTAAACTGCACTAGACCTTGGGCCAGGAATCTCCATGCCCTCTGCTTCCCAACCACTGACTGTTTTACAGATGGGGACACTGACACCCCAAAGAGGGCCCACGCCTTGCAAAGAGCTACCGGAAAGTCTGCAGCTGTGTAGGGGCAGTCTCTAGCTAGAGGCCTCTGACTCAGCTTTTTCTCATACACCACGCCCTGTGGGGACGCAGTTGCTGATGGCAAGGGCCTGGGGGCCATTCTGCAGGGCTGCAAAGGCTAAGGCGGAGGCGATGCCCACCTGCACAGGAGCAGCCATCTCTCTCTCCTTCGCCTCTGCTTCCCCGGAAAGGAGGAACTTGTTGCTGACAAACCAGACCTCCCACCAATGGGAGGCAGAGCGGGCTTTGAGGGATGACGTATTGTGGGAAGGGGTTATTGGTGCTGATGCCTGTAGGGCAGGGCTCCGGCTCAGTCCCCATCTGGTCCAGGTGACACTCACCATTCATCTGGGAGGGTGACAGCGAGTAGTCGCGGTCGGTGTGCCGCCTGTCTGGCTTCAAGTTGCGGCTCTGTCGGCCGGAACCCTCCAGCATGTTCACGATCTCGCCACGGTCAATGCTCTGCAGGGCTGTGTACAGATTCTCCACTGTGGGCGCAGAAGAGAGATGCACGTTACTCCAGGCCGGTGAGCGAGGATCACATGGGCTCAGAAAATGGGGCCAGGATGAAGATGGAGAAAGGAGATAATTTTTTTCAGAAGGTGGAGGCACCCTCTTTTATTAGAGTCAAAACAAACTTCCTCTGGGGAGAATACTTTTTACACTTCAGCAGATCTTTTCCAAATGCTAACAGTGCGCAGTTATTTTATTTATTGGTCTCTGTTACCAAAAAAAAAATAAATTATTTTATTTATTGGTCTCACTCTGTCACCCAGGCTGGAGTGCAATGGGGCAATCTCGGCTCACTGTCCACCTCCCAGGCTCAAGCAATTCTCGTTCCTCAGCCTCCCGAGTAGCTGGGATTACAGGTGCATGCCACCACGCCCTGCTAATTTTTGTACTTTTAGTAGAGACAAGGTTTTGCCATGTTGGCCAGGCTGGTCTCGAACTCCTGACTTCAAGTGATCTACCTGCCTTGGCCTCCCAAAGTGCTGGGATT
Source organism: Homo sapiens (assembly GCF_000001405.40). Lineage (NCBI taxonomy): Eukaryota > Metazoa > Chordata > Mammalia > Primates > Hominidae > Homo > Homo sapiens. Next base: position 41,685,203 of record NC_000008.11, read on the forward strand.
ATAGGCATGAGCCACCGTGCCCACCACAGTGGCCAATTTAAAAGTCTAGAAAGACTGTTTTTTTATTATTATTTTGTAAGCTAAGAGGAGCACTACAAGAAAATAAGGATGAGAATGATTAGATTCTGTCCTTTTGAAATTCTTGGTCCTTGCCAGATGATTTGAGATGCAAATGTAAACACTCAATTTCCACTTAGTGTTTTTGAGTCTGGGAAACTGGTTGAGGAGGAGCTGAAAAGAGAATGAGGCAAAGCTCCCTCCAGGTTGGAGGAAGCTCCTGGGAGAATGAGAACTGGTTCAGACTGGGGTCCAGCTCACCCAGACTGTGTCCTGAGAGGACAATACTCATTTGCTTGGGAAATTCAACAGGAAGACCTCAAAGATGAGTCATACACCCTGCACAGATGTTGTCATCTAGGAGTCCTGATGCAATTTTTATGTTATTTTTTTTAGAGTCAGGATTTTGCTTGTTGCCCAGGCTGGAGTGCAGCAGTGCAACTGTAGCTCACTCAGCCTTGACCTCCCAGGCTCAAGTGATCCTCCTGCCTCAGCCTCCAGAGTAGTTGGGACTACAGGTGTGTGCCACCACACCTGGCTAATTTTGAAAGGACTATGTTACACAGTCTGTTCTCGAACTCCTAGGCTCAAGCCACCCTCCCACCTTGGCCTCCCAAAGTGTGGGGACTACAGGCATGAGCCACTGTGCCAGGCCTTGCAATTTTTATCTTATTCCAAGGATGTGAGAAAGGCTGAGGCCAAGCTTCTCTGGTCATGCCTTCTGGCAGGACTGCCTGGAAGACCTCCTGATGCGAGTGGTGCGTGAGTGTGTGTGAGAGAGACAGAGACAGACTGACTCCAGAGGCCAGTGTCATGAATGGAATTTGAAGGAAGAACTAGTTTGGTGGGGAGGAGGTCCTAGGACAGGCTTCCTCAGTGGGACGGTACTGACTGTTTGCGTTTTGGCCTTCACGGATGACCCAGAGGTTCAGCAAGGCCACACTCTGCTCCAACAGGGAGTTGGGATTTTCCACTCGGATCCTGTTGATGTCTTCCACACTGAACTGCAGCTCCCGGGCCAACTCTGCAAGCAAAGAACCAACAGCAGATGTGAGCCTCCAGCTCACCAACAGCAGGGGGCCTCCAGCACACAGGCTGGGTGGGCACTGGGGCGTGGGGGGACCCAGTGGGGAGCACAGGGAGCTCTGAGGCAGCCTCCCTGTGGGTTTGGTCTTCCTTCTTATCAAGAAATTCCTTATGAAATGCCAGCACCTATACCTTTATGTCCCCAGAAAATGGAAGAATGGGAGGGGTGTTTGTTAAATAGGTCCTGAATGAATGAATGATCAAATGTCCTTTCTTCCTTTCGTAACTTCCAATATGAGATGACATGAACTCTCAGCAAGGTCAGCAACTTCTGCAAGGTCACAGAGCCAGCAAGTCCCTGAGCCAGGAGGCAGCCGTACCTGCCGATTCTCACCCCAGCACTGCCTGGGCCACGCCATGCCCTACTGCCAAGAACCAATGAGAACAGAAATGGACTCCTGAGCTTATGCGTCTTCAGGGAGAGGCTTTATTTACATTTAAAATGAAAATACAAGTTCCCATCTAAATGCAAGGCAATAATGCAGACTGTTAGCCAAAATCCCCCATTATTTTTATTGTTATTGCTTTAGAAGGAAAATAGCATTAGAGTCTAATTTCAAGGATGAAGAAGACTGGGGAGAAAGTGATGGTGAGAATCAGAACACGCACATACAACACAAACGTGCACACACTCACAACACATACACGTGCATACACACATGCACACACACGCCCCCTGAGCAGCCAGCAGTCATGATTAAAAGAAGGAGCCGTGACTGAACTTCTGAGTTTGTCACACGGCCTTTCCACAAGTCATTGCCAAAAGGTTTCTGAGTGTGTCTAAAGTGTTCTCCAGGGGAAGTGAATGAAGGGAGTCCACTCATATAAAAGCTAACAAAAAATAAGGAGGGGAAGGGGAAGCCATCTCAGTGTCAACAAGAATTGAGCACCGGGCTCTGGACAGAAATACGGTTATAATTAAGCATTCACCAAGCTGCGCTTGGGTCCTCTTCTTTGTTGCTCAAAGCCACACAGTGCTGGATACTGACCACTCGCACCCCCATTGTTCCTAAAGACAGGGTTTCTGACATTAGGCTTCTGTTTAAGGATCCCTTAAGATGGTTTTCAGATTCCCAATTCCAGCAACCACTTTGAAGGCAGGGATCAGCACGAGAACGTAGCTTCTTGCTCTCCCTGTCCATGACTCCACCCTGCACTCTCCAACCAATCAACCACCTACACACTCCAGCCACTCCAAAGCCCTTAACAGCCCGAGCCCTGAACTCCTCCTTGGGGAGACGGATTTGAGGTTTCCTCCTCCCTCCTTGTTTGGTGGTCCTGGGATTAAGCCTCTTTCACCGCTGCAACCCCGTGTCTCCGTGTGTCTTGACTTGCCACTCACATTGGGCAATGGACCTGCTGTGGTTACACAGGGAGAATCCAGTTCTAGGGTCTGTGGTTGGGCACAGCACATTCTGAGCCTTCACTTTATTTGCCCACCTGTCTCCCTTAAAATAAGATCTACCCTGATGGTTGGCAGGACTTCTGTGAGATCCAGCCACAGCCACAGACCATAGCGAAATATGTTGAGACTTGCCCTTTCCTTCCCTCCTTTTCAAGGTCTCCTGTAAACTCAAAAGCTGAGTCTTTCTTAGAAAGGAAAGTCAGACAGAGATGGAGGCAGGGGGCTCCCCCTTCATGGGCAGCCAATGGTGTGGCTTGGGCAGCAGACCCAGCTCAGACAATCACAAATCAGATAACCCACGGGTGATAAAAGGAGGGTTAGAAATGCCTCATTCATTGCTCATTACAGGGGAAGAGGGTAGGTGAGATGGACAAAGTGCTTTTCTGCCCCCAATTCCCCACTCACCTGCCCAGCTGAGACCGAGGTGCTCTGAGATAACAGCCATCTTCATCTCTGCCTGCTCTGTCCCACTGAGAGAACCTGGGGAGAAGCATTAGATTTCATTTAGTAGCCAGGGCAGGACACAGTTGACAGGCCTGAGGACACGGCCTGTGATGGATGTGGCTTCCGTGTGCACTGGGGTGATTGTCTAGACTCTCTGCAAGATCAGGGGAAGACCCGAGTCAGCTCTGCAGCTGCTTTTGGAACTGGCTGAGCGAGCGGCACCTCAGCAGAACCCTCACAGGGCTGCGGGGAGATGAGCTCACGCCCACCCTTCTTGGGAAGGGAGCAAGCATGCATCATCACACAGAGGCCGTACCTGGTGTGGACTCACTGAGAATGCTGTATCGCAGGGCCAGGGGCGTCGGGGTCCTTCTCCTATCTTCGGCTCCACTTCCCTGCAGAAGAAGAAAGGGTGCTTTGGGTTTTGGACTCTCCCCACCTTCCCAGAGAAAGTGATCTGAGCTCCTATGCTGCAGGGGTGTGGAAGGCTGACCCCAGTCCTGGTAAACAATCAGTCCGTTTCTTCAGGGACTTAACACAAAGAGTAACACATGGGAGGAGTGGGAGTGAAGGGAAGCTGAAGAAGCGCACATGCGTTATTAATCACAGTCGTAATAACGGCAAGCCCACGTCACCCCATCACCTGTGAGGCCCTATTTAATGTTCACGGCAACCTAAGAGGTGGGTGCTGTATTACTCCCATTTCATCAATACGTAAACTGAGGCATAGAGAGACAAAGTTCCTTGCCCAAGATCACCCAGTTAATATGCAATGGAGCTGGGGTTGAACTTAAAATGATTGTTTTTCTTTTTGGATTTCTTTCTGCTTGAAAGACCCGTTTCTGTACTGCCTTAAGGCCTTAACATCACAGCCCTGTGGAAAAGCATCCGAACATTTGCCCAAGGCTGCAGAAAAATATTCTCTCTCTCTTTTTTTTTAAGAGCCAGGGTCTCACTCTGTCTCTGAAGCTGGAGTGCAGTGCGATGGCACGATCATGGCTCCACTGCAGCCTCAAACTCCCGGCCTCAAGTGATCCTTCTGCCTCAGCCTCTCGAGTGCCAGGACTACAGGTGCATGCCACCATGCCCAGCTAATTTTTCATTTTTTTTTTTTTGTACAGACAGGATCTCACTATGTTGCCCAGGCTAGTCTTGAACTCCTGGGCTCAAGCAATCCCTTGCCCCAGCCTCCCAAAGCACTGGGGTTACAGGCATGAGCCTCTGCGCCCAGCCTGAAAATCCTCTTTTGAAAAAGAAGTTGGTTCACCCTCATCTCATGCCCAAAAAGAAAAGAGAGATTGAGCCATGGACTTATGAATGTAACCTTGCTTCTTTCCTAGTTTAGCATGGAAGGCTAATGATTAAAACAACAACAGCAGCAAAACAACAGCAACGAAAACCACAGAGACGGTCTGGAGACGTATGATCCCTCCAAAGTCCCCAGCAGAGGTGGTGACTGGGATACTCTTACAGGTATCGACAAATGAACATACGTGGCCAAGACTCCTTTGCTGAGCTCAAAACCCTGGGTGTTTGCAGTGGCTGAGGACACCAGGCTTCCCTTCTGTGAGGGCCTAGCACCCTGGGAAGATAAGCAGGTAGATGAAAAAGCGGCCTGAGAGAAGCCGTGCAGGGGCTGGGAGACCTTAGCAGCTCTCCTTGGTGTGAACCTCAGAGGCCTCGGGCCAGGGACACCGAGGCAGATGCCCTTAGGGCCCCTTGTCACTTTCACACCTAGGGAGCCCAGGGTCCACAGCGTGAATGTGCCCATCACCATCTGATACCAACATTTGTTCTTCCTGTCCCATGACCAGCACTGCACTGCAAATTGCAGAGAGGGCCAGGGCATGGTCTCCCCGCCAGGCCACAACATGAGCATGTGGAGGAGAGCTCAGCACCTTTGCATGCCTCGGGGGACTCTAAGCTTCCACCAGGAAGAAGCCCCTTGGAAGTGCTGGACCTGGGGTCTGTTTGGGGACCTCCTACAGGGAAGCCGTCTCGGGCCAAGGCTCCTCGGCAGGTGCCAGCTCACCTTGGCGCAGGGGGGCATGGTGATGTTCAGGTGGCAGAGAATGTGCTGGGTGTCCTCGTACTTCATCGCCTTGCGCAGAAACGACAGGGACCCTCCCGGCTCTCGACTGCTGTCCCTCACCTAAACTCAATCACACAAAGGAGAATTCAGGGGCCCTTTTCTAGGCCACCCGGCTGTCTGGTTTAGGGAATTCTGCCTCCCCAACTTTCTAGACCCAGAGGAGAACTCAGCCAGAGGGTGCCGGCACCTTTACAGGCATGGCCAGACGGTTCTCCCGAAATGACTGGAAGTGGAAGCTCCGCTGCTGGGCAGCTTTCTTCACAGGCACCAGGTTCCCAGAGAGTTCTGCAAACAGGGACATTCCTTCCAACACCTGCAGGAGAGGAAAAGCAGATACAGCTTGTCAGGGAGAGAAGGGCCCAGATGTCCCTCCTTCCACCTTCGGTCCTTCCCTCTCCAAGACACACCCTGCCTCAGCAAGAGGCATGCGGGTGTGTGCTGAGAAATCCACTGTTTGTTTTGGGAAAGGCTTTATTTCCAAAATTGTGATCAATGAGGCATGCTTCCCGACTTCAACAGATTTTGTAATATGTAGGGATCTTCAAATATCCCTGAGATGTTGATGGGAATTGCTATCAAGTATTCCAAAACTTCACTTGAATATCATAACATAGCTTCTGAAAACAACAACAACAACAACAAACCCTGGTTCTGGGCTGGGCATGGTGGCTCACGCCTGTAATCCCTCCACTTTAGAAGGCCAAAGTGGGAAGATTGCTTAAGTTCAGGAGTTTGAGACCAGCCTGGGCAACATAGGAGATCCTCATCTTTACAAATTTTTTTAAAAAAACTAGCCAGGTGTGGTGGCATGTGCCTGTAGTCCCAGCTACTTGGGATGCTGAGGCAGGAGGATCACTGGAGGCCAGGAGTTTAAGGCTGCAGTGGGCTATGATGTCACAACTGCACTCCAGCCTGGGCAACAGACTGAGATCCTGTTTCTAAAAATAAAACCAAGGTTCTGTTTTTATGTCTGTCCAAAGATGCTTTGTTCATGACAAGAGCTGGAAAGCACTTGCTCTGTTTTAATCTCACTCATTGTTATGGGTGAGCTTTCAACTGAGAAGTTATCACTAACTCATTTGACAGTTGAAAAAATTGAGGCTGAAAGAGAAAAACCGGTTTGCCTCGTTAGTGCCTAAGACAGGATTAGAACCAAGGTTATAGTCCTGCACTTGTTCTCTGGGGCCCTCAGCCTTCCCCAGGAAAACTCAGTGCAGATTCTGAGGATTAGATCACTGCTGGCTTACTACACATCTTAACCCAAGTGGGTCTCTTAGGATCGGTAACTGGTTCAGACCTAGCCCCCATGCCTTCACTCTTCACATTATCTGTCGAGCCCTTTCCTCTGCCTCCTCACCTGGGTGCTACTGAAACCCTAGCACAGCAGGTTATAATGTAGACTCTGGGGCCAGAGATGACCTGGATAAATCCCATCTCCACCACTCACTTAGCTGTGTGACCATTGGCAAGTTACTTAACCTCTCAGCCTCAGTTTCTTAATACACAAATAAGGGATAATAAAGGTACCCATAAATATGAGAATTAAATGAGAATATGCAAGAAAAGCACTTTTAGTTATTTATTTAATAGAGATGGTGTCTCACTACGTTGTCCAGACTGGTCTCAAACTCCTGGGCTCAAAGCGATCCTCCTGCCTCAGCCTTCCAAAGTGTTGGGATTATAGGCGTGAGCCTCTGAGCCTGGCCAGCACTTTTATTTGTTTGTTTTTTGTTTTGTTTCCTGCCCCCACCACCATACTCAGCTGGCTAGCACTTTTTTTTTTTTTTTTAAACAGAGTCTTGCTCTGTCACCCAGGCTGGAGGGCAACAGTGCGATCTCGGCTCACTGCAACCTCTGCCTCCCGGGTTCAAGTGATTCTCCTATCTCAGCCACCCGAGTAGCTGGGATTACAGGCACGTGCCATCATGCCCGGCTAATTTTTGTATTTTTAGTAGAGACAGGGTTTCACCATGTTGGCCAGGCTGGTCTCGAACTCCTGACCTCAGGTGATCTGCCCGCCTTGGCCTTTCAAAGTGTTGAGATGAAAGGCGTGAGCCACTGCGCCCGGCATGGCCAGCACTTTTAATAGTCCCTGGTGCACAAGACCTTCGGCAAATGCCAACTCTTTTCATAGATCACTGGACCAAAAGCCTGCAGCCTCCTCTGAGATGTGCATGGTGGCATCTCTCTCCTTTCCTGAAGCTTCTCTAAGATGCTTCTCAAGAGGGGTCTCAAAGACAGACAGCTGTGGAGCCCCTCGTCTACAGAGGGAGGACTGCCTGCCTGCACCTGGTAATGGTGTTCTGGAGAAAACGGCAGGACGGTTTGTCCCAGAGGCGGTGCAGGGCCCAGCCCTGTTACCTCTATGTCCCTGCTCCGGGCCACCTCCACGAAGTTCTCATGCTGCTCCAGGGTCTTGTCCACTTTATCATCTGTCATGCAGTAGCAGCGCAGGCGCCCCTCTCGGGGGTCATTCATCTTGGCAAAGATGACGAATTTGGCCATGTAGGGCACTGCAGTGAGCTCTTTGTACAGCAGGGTGGCAAAGTTCACAGCCTCAGCAGTCCGAGGACAGTCCGACAGCCAAAACCTAAAAAGTAGGGCGAGTTATGTGTTCCCAAGTGCCCAACAGAGAGCATCCTTTCCATCCAGACGGGAGCAGCCCGTGAGCCATACCATGGCTACTATTGCCACACCTGTGGTCACGGAGGCTTCCACATGGAGGGGACAGTGAGGGAGCCTCAGCCTCAGGCCTGGACGGCAGCATAGAGCCTGAGGACGGCCCACACAATACTGGGCTGGGCTGGCCTCGTCTCACCTGGCAGAGACATTGGTGGTGAAGTTGGCGCACTCGTTGGCATATACAAGTTTGGTGGTTCCTGTTATGTCTTCCCACTGGGCTTGGTCTGTTCCTCCTGTAACAGCGGCAGAAATGGGGCTGGGGACAGTCTTCAGGATGTAAGCATGGAGCTTACTAAAATGCTAAGGCCGTGGTGTGCAAGGTGAGACTGGGTGAAGCTCACTTTGTCTGCAGCCCTGGGCACCCTACCCTCACCCCGCTGCTCTTCCTCCTAGCAACCTGCATGCCCCTCCTCCTAGGGCTTGGAGAGTTCTTCCCCAGGGGCATGGACTTTTTTTTTTTTTTTTTTTTTTTTTTTTTTTTTTTTTGAGATGGCGTTTCATGCTTGTTGCCCAGGCTGCAGTGTAGTGGAATGATCTCGGCTCACTGCAACCTCCACCTCCCAGGTTCAAGCAATTCTCCTGCCTCAGCCTCTGGAGTAGCTGGGCTTACAGGTGCATGCCACCATGCCTGGCTAAGTTTTGTATTTTTAGTAGAGACGGGGTTTCTCCATGTCTCGAACTCTTGACCTCAGGCGATCCACCCGCCTTGGCATCCCAAAGTGCTGGGATTACAGGCGTGAGTCACCACATGGGCATGGACTTTTATGCAGATACATCATCCTTCCATCTCTTGGAAGAGCACCTCACTCCCGGGGAAGTCAACAAAAACTAAGGGGATTGCTGGCCTCGCCTTCTCGAGTCACCCCCCTACTGTGTTCCAGACGCACTGCAGCAGCCGAGAACAGAAGCGAGGCAGGGGCCCCTCTCACCAATGACGCTGCAAAGCAGGCGCAGGCTGGTGGTGTCTCCCTCCCCGCTGTCCCTCGGGTTGTCGGTCCAGGAAGGAGGTAGTGGGATCCGAAGCCCAATGGGGCGGTGGAACTTCCGGCGCCGGGGCTCCACGGTGACAATGGGGCTGAATGTGGCCTGGTTGCCCAGGAGCTTAGTGACAAGCTCATCCGGGACAGGCTGGGCCTGTGAAATGACAGAGGCAGGACACTCAGGCCCAAGCAGGAGAGGGGCTAATCAGACGGGAGGCAGCTCCATGCCTGGTGAGAGTGGCCGTCAGTGCACGGGGTCCCGCCCTGCTGTTGGACCACAGAACCGACACGGTGGAGCTTGCCTTCCTGAGCCCTTTCTCCCCTTCTCCTCTGCTTCTTACTCCCAGGGCTGGTGCATCTTTGCTAGCACCACAGTCAACTCCCGGAGGTCATGCGGTTCCTGCATGCTGCACAGACTGGGCCGTGCAGCTTGATGGGTTACCAGGGGTTCTGCAACTTATCAGGGAGCTTCCACCTCACCCCTTCCCACTTAACTCTCCTTTGAGCTTTAAACTCAGATCTCCACTGTGGCATTTCAAAGCACCAGACAAAAGTGTGGGGATGTCCTGGGGAAGAGGGTGGCCTTCCCGGAGGCCTGGAGTTCAGTCCACCCCCAGGACCTGGCGGGGAGGAGGGCTGTCACCTGCAGAGCCAGCTTCACTCTCTTGGTGACGGCATTCTCCGGGAACGTTGCCTGTACCAGGGGCACCAGCTTGCTCTTCAGGGAGCCCCCTTCGGGACCGATGGTGTCGTAGTCCTGGCAGAGCCGTGACATGATCACGAAGTACAGCGGGAAGTCGGTGGTGATGATTCGGCACACCCTCTTCTTCTCTAGCTCCTCCAGGCTCCCCAGCTCTGGAATCACACACACAGGCCACCACCCCGGTCACATCAGGCACAGGTTCAGGACTTCCAGGGGCCCCAGAGTCTCCTTGTCCCCAAGACCCAGTGCACACACCCTCCCCAGGTGCCGGGCGGCATAGTGGCCAGAAGAAGTGGCCAGAAGAAGTGCCCAGGCCCAGAGGCCCAGCAGAGCAGATGCGGCTGCAGGCAGCCGCTGAGCATCCTCTCACACATCCTGGGGACCCAGGGCTTGTCCACACCAGGCCATTCTCAGCCTCTTGGGGCTTCCCAAACTTCAGGTGGCCCTCAAAGACCACCTTTAAGGTGCAACTCAAACCCCTCTTCCGCAAGGAGGGGACCCAGCCCTGGGATCCCCCGCCCCTACCTTCGTCCATCCCGTTGAGGATCTGATCCAGGTAGCTCTCTCCATAGCGGCTCCTGTGCTCCTTCCACACGGAGCCGTTTTCGCTCCTCAGAACCACGAGCTCGCGGTCTCCACGGCCATGGGAGGCAAAGTGCGGGATCTCCACGATTACAGGGCTGAGGCAAGGACACAGTGGTGGTGGGGAGGTGCTCATACAAGGCAGGCAGGGCACAGGGAGGGATGGGGCTGCCGGCTCCCACCCAGATGGATAAGGCACTTCCGCAGCCACGTGGAGGCCCCACCTGCAGGCAGGTCTCTAAGTGGACCAGACCCATGGGGAGGTTCCCCAGGGCTTCCCATGGCCCCGCTTGCTCCCCGCCAGGCCTGCAGTGACAGTGAGGGCAGGACCAGTCTCATTTCATGCGGGCTCTGCTCCTACGACCTAAAGATCCTGTCCTTGCACCTGATTCCAAAAATCCACCTGACATCCCTAGACGGGTGACCTCATCTATCAACTGGCCATAATGACATTTCCTTCAGAGGGACACTTTGAGGACAAAGAAACGTCAACGAGAAAACTTGCTGCTTTGCAAATGGTGGTGACCGCTCTGAGGGGCCAGGAGGGCGGACAGAGGTAGAAGGCAGGGCCTCCTGGTCAGGCCTGTCCCCACAACACACCCATGGTGCCTGAGGGGCAGCAAAGCTCCAGGAGGAGCCCAGGCTGCTTCAAGGGAGTGGAGCACAGGCCTCTGGAGCCGGGTACTTCCCTCGTCCTCAGGGGAAACGGCCAGGGAGGCCGTCTTACTGGGAACTCTCAGTGCATAAAAGGTCAGACCCTCAGGCTTCAGAGTGGCCTTGTCTCTAGTGTCACACAATATTTAAGAGTTGTTTTTTTGGTTTTGCTTTTTATTTTTTACAACGACGGGGTCTTGCTATGTTTTCCAGGCTGGTCTCGAACTCCTGGCCTCAAGCGATGCTCTCACCTCAGCCTCCCAAAGCACTGAGATTACAGGCGTGAGCTATCGTGCCCGACCTGAGATCTGAGAGTTGTAAGCCCTCTCAGGGCTATGGACACCTTCGTGTGTCAGGAAAAGTCAGGGAAAGGGGAGGGGCACCCAGTTCTGTTTCCCCATCAGGACAGATGGAAATGGCGTGGCCTCCGTGGCACAGGGACAGGGGAGAACACGGGCTGCCCGCGCAAGCTCACCTCAGGAACTGTGCCCCCGTGGGCCCCAGTGCTATGATCCTGCTGGCCAGGCCCTCCTCCTCGGCCAGTGGGGGCGGCGTGCTGAGCTTCTGGGGCTTGACCAGGCGGCAGGTGATGCGGGTGGGCGCTGCGCACGTCCGTGGCGGGATCACCACTCGCAGGCCGTTGTGGCGACTTCCTCTCATGGAACCACCCCGGGCGTCAACCATGAAGCTCACCAGAAACCTAGGAGTGGGGCAGATGCACGTTGGGCTTCTGCATCCCCTCTCGGAGATGGAGACAGGAGTCCCCGAGCCCTGCGCCCGCCACTCACCCTGTATGCACCGGGCTGGCCACCGGGCTGATGTTGTCTGAGGTCTCGGTGGCCGGGCTGCTGGGGATGAGGGAGTCCTCATCATACTCTTTAGATGCCTGAGGAGAGAGAAAGGGTCCTCCTGTCCCACCTCCTCCCGGGCCAGCTGGATGCCGTGCCAGGGCGTGGAGGCTTGGAAGAACCTTGCCGCTAGAAACCAGGTGCCACGTGGAGAAAGTGCTCCCACGGGACCCCACCGCCCTGTCAGACAAGGCCGTCCTGAGGTCTAAAAGGAAGCACGAGCTTCCTCCCACCTCCATGCCTCTCCTTGGCTCAAGACCCTGGGACAGAGCCTTGGAATGGGTGGAGCCAGTCCTCACTGTTCAGTCTGGCTCCAGGCCCCAGGCCCGCTGCACCTGCTGCAGACCCGCCCCCCTTCTCTCCAGCTCTGCCCATGGGGAGCCCTGCCCTCAGCAGGCCAACTTCCTCTAGGGTGGGCACTGCATCCCAGCACCGTGACCGCCTCGCCAGTTAGCTGTGGGCGGACTACCTGCCCTGTGGACATTTGGAGCCCATGAGGTGAACACAACAGACTCCTGCCCTTGTGGGGCTTCCTGCCTCCTCACCTGTGCAACGGGAACTTGCCTTAGGGTAACGCTGCAACTACAGGGATGCCAGGCTGCCCTGGCACAGCCAGCAGCACCTGAACCTAGCCTTGCTGCTCTCTAGATCTTCACATTTGCTTTTCCCCCGGTCCAGAACGTCCTTGTCCATCGCCCTTGTTGATCTAATCCTCTCCACTCCCCACATCTCACCTCCTCCACAGATGCTCCCAGCCACCTTGGGGCTGGTTAGGGCCTCCCTGCTCTGCACTCTGTGAGCACTCACACCACACAGTGGAGCACTCCCCCGCTCTCCCTCCTGGTTCTGTGCTAACTGGGTTCATGCGTCCGAGTCCACTCTTTCTGGTTGGGCCCCGGCTCCCAGGAGGCAGGTGTCCAGCCCTCCTGCCTGAGCCTGTCCGGGGTGCACAGCAGGAATCCAGTAAACATCTGCTGGCTGGAGTTCCTACCCTAGGCCAAGAGTTGAAGACAGTGGGCTGGTCAAGGACCCACTGGTTTCTCACTGCTGCTGTCCTGGGCTGCATCCAAGGACTGCGCCACCACAGGAAAGGGCCCCATCTGACCATCTCTTCCAGACGCCGCCCACCCAGCGCCACCAATGTTGCACCATTATGAGGCGTCCAAGCGTGGAATGCCAGTTGGACAGTGAGTGGCATGTGAGCTATTAGTGCCTATTGTGCTACGTACAGGCCACCCCTCAACAATCACTGTCCCAGGGTTTTCATGCCCTCCATGTGGGGAAACCACAGAGAAGGAGCTTCTCACCTGCTCCTGCTCTTCTGACCTGATCACCACTGTCTCAGGCATGGCACAGGGAATCCTGGGGATGGCTGGAGATTCCACCCTGCGTGCCAAGAACACCAGAACATCACAGGGCTGATCCACATGTGCACACAGCTCCTCTTCCTCTTGCCTCCAAGCCTCTCCCTCCGGCTTTCCACTCCAGAGCCTGACTGCGCTTCACAACCTGGTGGAAGGACCGCCTCCTCCTCCATGAAGTCCTCCCCAATGACTCCAACCTGCACTTGTCGCCCCTTTCTCTACCTTTAGAACCTGTTGACAGAATCCTCGCTCTGGCTAACAATATATCTTTCTGTGTTGCTACATGACCACTTGGTGTGCATTTCGATCCCACCAAATGAGTCCGTAAGTTGCTTACGGTCAGGGTTACAGCTCTGTATTTCTTTCTAACAGATGTCCAGCAAATTCAAATGGAGTAAATGGCCCAGTGGTTTCACTCCCTGCTTGTTCATGGGACACTTCCATCTTTTCAGAAAACACCTAGGGCTCAGTGTTTCTACAAAGTCGTTGATATTAGATTGCTTTGCAAAATGTCCCTGTGTACACTGTGCCCCACAGTGAGATAACTCACAGCAGTCACAGGGGGAAATGAGAAATGTGGTCCAGGCAGGCAGACCCGGATCTCCCCTGGCTTGTACCTAACATACCTCAGGGGCAGAGGTATACAGTCAAGAGTTCGAGCTTAGCCTGGCAATAGTTTCTAATGTGAATCTTCCTCAACAATTTTTTTTTTTTGAGATGGAGTTTCGCTCTTGTTGCCCAGGCTGGAGTGCAGTGGCGCGATCTTGGCTCACTACAACCTCCGCCTCCCGGGTTCAAGCAATTCTCCTGCCTCAGCCTCCCGAGTAGCTGGGACTACAGATGCGTGCTGCCACGCTCAGCTATTTTTTTTGTATTTTTAGTAGGGACAGGGTTTCACCATGTTGGTCAGGCTGGTCACGAACTCCTGACCTCAGGTGATCCTCCTGCCTCAGTCTCCCAAAGTACTGGGATTACAGGTGTGAGCCACCGCACCCGGCCATCTTCTTCAACTTTTGGATGAGAAGTTGAGTGTGGATAAGAGGGAGAGGGGGTGTGGATATAAGGCTGTGAATGAGGGGAGCCTGGGAGAGGATGGGAGCCTGGGTGGGAGAGGAGGGGAGCCTGGAAGAGGAGCAGAGAGGCGTCCAGGCAGCACGGTGTGAGGGAGGCCTCCGCCTGCCCTAGTGGCTAGGGTGCAGAGCTAGCTCATCCTAAGGTGCAAACCGTCTCTCTCTGCGGGCAGCGAGCCCAGCGCCTGGCCTGCTGTGTCCTTCCTCCCTCTGGAATCCCTGCTCTGAGCCACAGGGTTGCATCTCGGCACCCCCGGGGACCCTCCCGGGAGCACTGCTCACACTTGGTCTAGCTTCGGCACAAAATCCAGCAGCTCCTTCTCTTCATCAACATCCCTGGAATCCCGCCTCTCAGCCTTGAAGCTGATGAGTTCTTCCCCTGAAACAGCAAGAGCTCAAGTGAGCGACGGGGTAGAGGAAGAAGAGTCCCTCTTTTTTTAAAAAAGCTCTGTTCCCGCTCCGCCTCTGGGGGCTTGCTCCTGAGGAGTGGGGAAGGTCTTGATGCTGCAAGGAGACTGGGAGCAATGTCTTTGCCCAGTCCTGGTCCTCCAGCTCTGGGATAGAGAGCAGGGCAGCCAGCTCCTGACATCTTAGATGCCTGAGGCTTTGCAGGAGGCCAAAGACACAGCCAGAAAGAACTTTGTTCGCTTAGTTCCAATTCAAAACAGCCCTTTTAGCTGTGCAATGGCACCAAAGAAGGAACTGCTACTGCTCTTTTCCACTCCACACCAACAGAAGAATAAATTACAGTGGAACTGGACCCACTCATTTCAAAGGGCTGGAGAATTTTTTGTAACAATGGCAGCCAAAACCTCATTACTTCCAAAGCCTATCACAAAGAGTTTCAAACTACGGGTCAATCGGCTGCCTACACCTCTGACTGCCTCTTTGTTTCTCTCTCCTAGCTTCAACTGGAGCTGGAGCCCCGGCCCTCGACCTTGAGGGGTCATTCATTGCCACCCAGGAGTGAGCACCATGGCTTGTGATCTGGAGCTGATGGAATGGAAGAACAACAGCTCATGCGGTTATGATCATAAACACGGTGGCATGGGCACAGACACAAAGATGGACAGGCAGGAGGTGCCCGCCAGGCATGGGTCTCATGGGTGTGAATTCCCTGGTTTAGCTGAGCTCCTGGCTCCAGCTTATTAGCTGTCAGAGGAAGATGGAAAGCAGGAATGGATTAGTGAGCATCAGGGTTGCTTAGGGTGAAATGCACTCTAGTGAGAAAAGACCACAGTAAACAGAAAGCATTTCATACCCATTATAGTTATATGAGCAGTTCCTGGAAAGCAAAGGAGAGCAGAATTGAAAGAAGGACCACATTGAAGGCAGTTAAAGCGAGAGGCATATATTATCCAAAGGAGCACCAGAAGCTCTGCTTCTCTAGTTGACAAAGTTATACAACCATGAAATTATCCAGATGGAAGGGACCACTGAGCTGATCCAGCCCACCCCACTATTCAACATCCTCAGAGTTGAGGATCCTACTACTCAACATCCCCATCTAATTAGTGATGAAATAAGGTTTGCTGGGGGTAGGAAAAATACTAGAAGCATTCTGTAGTTCATACAAGCTGATACTATAGTAATTTCTTTCTTTTTCTTTTAGAGACAGGGTCTTGCTCTGTCACCCTGGCTGGAGTGCAGTGGGGTGATTACAGCTCACTGCAGCCTCAAGCTCCTGGACTCAAGCAATCCTCCCACCTCAGCCTCTGGAGTAGCTGGGACTACAGATGTGCACCACCACACCCTGCTAATTTTTAGTTCTAATTTTTTGGAGAGACGGGGGTCTCCCTATATTGCCCAGGCTGGTCTTGAACTCCTAGCCTCAAGCAATCCTCCAACCTCGGCTGCCCAAAGTTCTGGGATTACAGGCATGAACCCAGGCACCCAGCCAGACTATAGTAATTTCATAATCACAGAAATAACCCAAAACCTATTGACCCACTATGTGGTCAGAAGTGCAGCTTAAAAGGCATGCTCACAGATTTTGAATAATCCACTTAGTATTCGTTCAAAGCACAAAGAAAGAACCAGGCAGAATTTTATTACAGTTCCTCATGGTGCGGAGACTTGATCTCAGTAGAACCACGCTCCGATTTCATACACATCCATAATCTATGCAAACATACATGTGTTTTTGAAACTTCATGGGATTTTAAATTTAGTCAATGTTCCCTCACCTAAGTATTAATAGAGCAGTATTTTTGATAGTAGACAACAGTTATAAAAACCAGGTCTCCCCAGTTTCAGTGTCCATCTATAGTGCTTGGGCGTGTTGTAAGGGGACAAAGCCGGCAGGTGGCAGGAAGCCCCCTTGGAGGGTGCCCGGAGCCCCTCTGTCCCCACCAGCCTGAGCTCTTTACCCCAACGTTACCTTCATCTTCCGAGACATCCAGGATCTCATCAACTGTCTCAGGGAAACTCATTCGATGCTTATCACTGACTAACTAAAACGAGAAAAAGCAGATAATTCAACCCAAACTAGAGCCGCACACATTTTTTACCAGCCCAGCGGTTCCCTGGTCATGCCTGTGGGGTTTCCCACAAATGAAGAAAAACAGACGGAGGAGGCGCTCAGCCTGGAAGCTGCCGGGCAGGAACCACGGGGACGGGACCCGGGAAAACTGGCTTCCCATCTCCCCAAACCCCATCCACTCCACTGCTGCCCGGAAAGCTGGTCCCGCCCCTAGTCCTCGGGCCGCTAGGTGGCAGCACAGCCCCGCTGGAAGGAGGACAAGCTCCCACCCGTCGGGCGCGGCGCCTCCGACCCGCGTCCCGGAGCCCCAGAACGCACCCCACTTCCAGAGTAACCCCAGGCACGCCTGTGCGCCAGGCTGAGTGTGTCTGGGGTGGGTGCGGGGGAGAGGCAGACATACCACGAAACTGGTTTCATCCGTGACGACCTTGAGCACGTCGGTGACAGAAATGTAGCCCAAGCGCTTGGCTATGGCCAGAGGTGTGGTTCCATCCTGGGGAAAGAGCAGCCCGGGTGCAGTCAGACAGGGGATGGAGTCTAGGAGGCGGGGCTGGCTCCCTAGACACAGATCGAGTTCACCTTCTAGTTGTTCAGGAGGACCTGAGTGGACAGACGTCACCGTGGGGCCCAGAAAGAGATCCCTGCACGTGTGTGTGCCTAGATGTGTGTTAGCAGCAGCACCCACAGAGACGGGTGTGGGAGGAGGGAGGGCAGCGGTGCTTTCGATCTGCAGCGTCAAGTGTGGGGCCTTGCAACCCAGCAGAGGAAATCTCCCAAGGAGAAGTCAGGCTCTGCTAAGTGGGAACCCACTGGGAAGGAGGTCAGGAAGTTGCCAGATGCAATTTTAGGAAGATGAGGACAGAGGAAGGCTGCTTGCTGCTCCCAAAGTCTGTTCTTGGGTGTCAGTGATGGGGTATTAAAATAGTTGAATTAATCCATATACTTCAATGAACTCTAATCAGAATACTCGGAAATCACAAATCACCAGAAATACAGCAAGGGCATATTTTCTACTTTGATTCAAAGAGGAAGAGCTACGTGATCATAAATGGATACTGAGGCTTGATTTTTCTTTTGACTTCTCTACTTCTAGGATGTGCCTTGGGCTCCGTTCAGATTCAAGCCCAGCTGCAGTTGCAATTTCTGCAACCCCATCTACAATCGAGTCCACTTTTGTGTGTGTGTGTGAGACAGAGTTCACTCTGTCACCCAAGCTGGAGTGCAGTGGCGTGATCTAGGCTCACTGTAACCTCTGCCTCCTGGAGTCAAGTGGTTCTTGTGCCTCAGCCTCCCGAGTAGCTGGGACTACAGGTGCCTGTCACCTCACTCAGCTAATTTTTTTTTTTGTATTTTTAGTAGAGACAGGGTTTTGCCCTGGAGTGTTGGCCAGGCTGGTCTCGAACTCCTGACCTCAAGTGATCCACCTGCCTTGGCTTCCCAAGGTGCTGGGATTACAGGCATGAGCCACTGCACCCAGCCAAGGGTCCACATTATTTCAGAGATAGAAGCAGACACGGAGATAATTTCACAGAACTTCCACATGGTCAGATGAAGAAGCTCACACCGAACGATGATTGCTGATGTCACTAAAGATAACCTTGAGCCCTGAAAGATCAGGAACCACCCAGGACATTTAATTATGTTCAGTTGTACCATACTGAAAACAGTTTCACATATTTTAGAATGGGTTTCAACAAGTATTTATATATGTGGTATGTATGTGTGTGTGTGCATATATATATATGTATATGTGTGTGTGTGTGTGTGTGTGTATATATATATATATATATATATATATATTTTTTTTTTTTTTTTAAGACACAAGGTCTTGCTCTGTCTTCCAGGCTGGATGTCAAGTGGGCAACTGGAAAATGGACACTGAACTGCAGTGGCGCAATCACAGCTCACTGCAGCCTTGACCTCCCGGACTCAGGCTATCCTCCCACTTCAGCCTCCCAATTAGCTGGGACTACAGCTAATACGTATCACCACACCCACATAATTAAAAAAATTTTTTTTTGTAGATTCAGGCACTCACTATGTTGCCCACGCTGGTCTTGAACTCCTGCCCTCAAGCAATCCTCCCACCTTAGCCTCCCAAAGTGCTGTGATTACAGGTGTAAGCCACTGCACTCACACTTAAGAATGTTTTAATAAACATAAAAGAGGAGGGTAAATGGTGCTTAAAAGGAAAACGATCAATTCACCAGAAAGAGGAACTGATCACAGCACCCCATCCCCAGGGTACCCAAGGTAGCTGTGGCTTTAGGGTGCTGCGGCCCCGTCCAGGCCCTAGACACGTGCATTAACCTCTACGGTTAGGGGAGTTCACACAGGGCTGCTGCCATGGGGAGCAGTTTTCTAAACTCAGGAGAGAGAGTGTACTCACCGAGCTGACCTCGTTTGGGGAAGCACCGTTTTTCAGAAGCAGAGTCACGATGTCTGTGTGTCCCTGCTGGGCTGCCTGGTGCAGGGGGCTGTATCCTAGCTGCAAAGTGAGCAGACATTTAGGCAGGGTTAGCCAGCCACTAGACAGAGACCTGCCTACACATGATAGTGCCTGCCCATCTTCGAAGTGGGACATTAATGAAATGCATTTTCCCCCTTTCTTCCTTCAGGGTCCATGGTCAAAACCCTAGTGCTCCCAGAGCAGCTCTGGCTTTACCCTGATGTGGCATGGAGAAGGGTCAGTGCAGGAGTCGGGGCTGGGGCACCCCTGTACCTTGGTCTTGGCATTGACATCTGCCTGGTGCTGCAGCAGAAACTTCACCAGCTTGATGTTTCCATAGTGACTGGCCACATGGAGGGGAGTGTAGCCCATCTGAAAAGCAGATGAGAAGGAGTGACCGGAGCTGTCCTGAGCTGGGCATCACATGAAATCCTTCCCAAAGCAGCTGATTCAAAGAGAGAACGGACAGGGAGCCCCTTGAAGGCTGACATTGACAAGCTGAATGGCTGCTGCTGGGCAGAGACCACCAGGCTGAGATGCTTGTGGGAGACCCAAGGGGAGACGTCAAGCGGGCAACTGGAAAATGGACACTGAACCGCGAGAAGAGGGCTATGCTGGGGTCGTCAGTGCATGGGAGATCTGAGAGCTTTGGAGGTGAGTGAGGTCCCCCAGAATAAAGTGGAGGGTGAAAAGTGGGGCCGAAGGAGTGAGGCAGAGGCAGAAAAGAGGAGGGAAACCTTGAGAGACCAGCATCACAGAATCCCAGGGGAGCTATTTCAAGAAGGAAGAAACAGCCTTCAGGCCTGGGAAGGGTGCTGAGATGAGGGCAGATGGGGATGTGGAGTCATGGTCACTCCAATGACAACAGGTTTTTTCCATTAGAAAGCTGAAATCCCATTGAAAAACCCCCAAAAGGCTGTCCAAGTGACTGTGGTGTAATGGAATTTATGAGAACTGGTCATTGCTTATTGAAATGCAAGGGCTTGGGACATTCGCTCATGTGAGTCTGGGCTGTTCAAGGAGTCTGTCCTGCTGAATTTTGTGGTAATGCCTTCCTGAATTTTGGGCCGACAGGCCAAGGCCCTCTGAGCTCCTTGGTCCCAAGTGTCCCGGGAAGCTGGTGCCAGATTCCAGAGACCACCCAAGCACAGATCCTCCCCATAATGGGATGGCTTTTGGATCCTCAAGGCCATTCTAACCCACAGGACAGGGTCTCTCTGTGCAGGACCCCAAAAGACTAAACGGGGCCCGCAAGTGAAGCCTCAAAGATCCAGAACATTCGTGGATTTTAAGCAGATTGCTGTGGAAGCTGCAGGCAGTTGGAGACAAAACACAATTTCCAGACTTTTCTCAGGGTGACTTCAGCATAACATTGTTGCCGGCATTTCTGTGCTACTCTGGAGGGGGCGGGAGCTCCTGGTACTGTCACTGTCCCTTCCTTTTAATATGGTTCCCTTGTGGGGAAAAGAAACAAAATGTGGCTTCTTCCATGAAGCCCACCTCCTCGCACCAACTGAAAACACCCTCTCTGCACTCTGTGCTCCCAGCTCCTCTCTTAAGAGTAAATATCAAATTATGCTCTTCCTTCCTGTCCCTAGCAATCACCTCCACACCAAACTGCAGACACCTCGACGGCAGATTCCATTCACATAGCTCCTTGCACACACCAGAAGTTCAAAGAAAGTTGAACTGGATTTAACCAAGTGCTGGAAGAAAAGGAGCTAAGCTTTTGTGTGGATCTGGGGAAACTTGACATTTTGACATGCTAACTACTCATGTTAGACAGGTCTTAGAGTCATGATTAAACATTCGCCCCACTTTCTCACTGCAGAGGCTCAAAGGTCTAGCAAACTTTAAAAAAATCCCCAATGGGAAAGTCAGGTAATTAGGAGTAGTGTTTTCAAACTCCACTGCCAGCCCTAGGAAGTGGCAGAGAAGAATGTCCCACTGGGTCTTTGGGGTTTCAAAGCTCTGTGGAAGATTCAATTCTGAAGTGTGAGCAAGGAGTCCACACAGACTGAAGTTCCGGCTGCCTGCCTTACCCGGGTGGTGGCGTCCACCATGACGCCGTGTTTGATCAGCACATCTGCCACTGGAACGTGGCCTTCTTGTGCTACCAGATGGAGGGGAGTGAGTCCGCTCTGCAAAGAAAAAGACGTTCATCACCTTCTATCAAGTAAAGAATTCCAGGCCACAAGTAAAGAGCTCTGAGGTCTGGGAGCTGAAGCTAACTTTGCAGTCACCAACTAGTTATTTGGCTCCAGGCAAAGCTCTTCCTGTTCTGGGCCCCAATGTCCTTATCTAAAAAGTAAGGTGGTTACACTAGACCAGGGGTTGGCAACTTTTGCTGTTAAGGGCCAGATCATCAATATTTTTGGCCATGTCTCTATATGACTAACATTTAAATGAATGGGCATGGCTGTGTTTCAATAAAACTTTATTTACACAAACAAGTGGTGGACCAGATTTGGCCCACGGGCCCATAGTTTGCTGACTTCTGATCTAGATGAACTTTATGGCACTTTCCCATCGTTGGTGCTTTATGGACTTCCCAGTAAAGAATGCCCCATTTCCATGGTGAATTTCAGAGCCCTGTAGCCTTGGTTTCCTAATCTAGACAATAGGGGTTATCATGGATCCATCTCAGGGGCAAGGTGAGGAGCGCTGGAGAAAGCACAGGTGAAGCACATTGAGAGGCACACAGTGCTGTTTAAATGGCTGGGCGCGGCGGCTCATGCCTGTCATCCCAGCACTTTGGAAGGCCGAGGCAGGTGGATCACCTGAGGTCAGGAGTTCGAGACCAGCCTGGCCAACATGGTGAGACCTCCATCTTTACTAAAAATACAAAAATAAGCAGGGCGTGGTGGCTCATGCCTGTAATCCCAGCTACTTGGGTGGCTGAGGCAGGAGAATCACTTGAACCTGGGAGGCAGAGGTTGCAGTGAGCCAAGATTGCACTACTGCACTTCAGCCTAGGTGACAGAGCAAGACTCCATCTTAAATAAATAAATAAATAATGTACCATACTGTTATCACTGCACAGCCAGTGCTGGCACGGTCAAGAGGGCAGAGCATCCCGCCAGGATTGAACGGACCATATTCTTGCAGGTGGCATCACAGCTTCGTCAGGAAGGCAGTAAGGTATCAGAGATGTTGTTTGATATGTGGGCACCCACATGAAAATGTCAGAAAAGTCTTCTCTCCCCTGGACTTTGCCTCAATACACTTTGCTAGCGTGGGACCAACAAAACGGATTTCTCTGCAGGCACAGACCGTGTCCCCTCTACAGGACTCCACTTGCCCTCCTCTGCCTTCTGCACACCCCGCAGGCTGCCCAGAGGCTTGTGGGCAGTCATGATGCCCCACCACACACTGCTGCAGCCAAAGCAGGTGGGCCCCTCCTGCAGGCAGGCGGGGGTGGCTCCAATGAGAACAGCCCTCGGTTGAGGAGTGACTGTGTCAGCCTCTCAGGCGGGCGCTCTGCCTCATTCTTGAGCTAACACCAATAATCTGCCTCGTGAGGGCGGCGTGCGGATGACAGAGTGGGTTTCCAGTCACCTTACGGTCTCCTTGCAAAGCTCACATTAAGTGGGGCAGTGAAGGAACCCAGAATGCCATGAGATATAATGAATATAATGGTCCTACCAGAATGGTTCGCTCATTGGGGGTCAATTGTTCAAATTTGTAAAAAATGTGCCAGATTTTGTACAAAATGTGCCAGATTTTGTACAAAATCTATAGGTTTTTAAGAAATCTTAAGTTGCCCTGAAAATGCTTGCCTTTCTGAATGTGTGCTATGTGAATTTATCATCAAAGAAGTGGTTCTTCACATTGCATGGTTCCACGTATATGAAATGTCCAGAACAGGCAAATTCCTAGAGACTGAAAGATTTGCAGTTGTGAGGGACCGGGGGCTCTGGGGGAAATGAGAAGTGACTGCTAACGGGTACGAGGTTTCCTTTCGGAGTGATGAAAGTGTTCTAGAGTTAGATCATAGGCTGCTGAATTCTGTAAAAATACTAAAAAACATTGAATTGTAGAGTTTGAAAGGGTGACTTCTAGGTGAATTATATTTCGATAAAACTGTTATTTAAAAAAGAAGTGATTTTTAGTCTTTTTTTTTGGGTCACACATTCCTTTGAGAAGCTGAGAAACATTATGAATGCTTCACCCAGAAAACTGCTCACGCGCGCTTCCTCCCCAGATGTGTGCGCAATTTTAGAAGGCTTTATCCTCACACACCTATTGTTGCTGGAGTGAGAACTCCTAGTGTATAGGTCAGTGTTTTTAAAAATATCTTTCCCCCACGGAACATAGAATATTTAGTCCCAAATGACAGAATGCACTCCTGAAGGTAGGCACCGGCCTATATTTGGGAAAGTTTATTATGGATTTTAATATTGATCTTTCTGCAGATCCTTAGGTCAATCTGTTTAGAAAGATCGGCAAAGGCTTTGGCATCAGAAAGGCTCAGAATCCTGCCACCTTGGGAATAAGCAACCTTTCTGACTCTGTTTATTCATTTATAAAATGAAGGTGAAATGTACGCAGGGCTGTTCCAAGGATTACACACACACACCCCTAACTCAGAACCTGGGCACACATAGATGCTCAATATGAAGACACCACACGTTGTTATCCAGCACTCCAGGGCAGATCCGAAGACACCATGCCTACCTTGTTCCCCAGGTTGCCATTGGCTTGTTTCGAGAGCAGCAGAGCCACCATCTCTGCGTGGCCCTCCTGGGCGGCCAGGTGAAGGGGCGTCACACCTTGCACCGACTCGGCGTTTGCTGAGCCCCCATACTGCAGCAGACTACGGGCCACCTCCACCTGGTTCTGCTTGGCAGCGATGTGCAAAGGGGTGTAGCCATTCTGAAACAGAAGAAGCCGCCCAGAGCCTGGTTACAGGAATGCTGAGCTGACAATATCAACACACAAGCAGGGGCTGAGTCTGGTTCTTGGCCGGCTGGACACCCAGTGAGCAGGGCTGGCATCACCCAGGAGCAATTTAGGTAAACAAACAAACAAACAAAATCCATTTGATTTGGAGACAGCTCCTCAGGCTTGCATAGCCTCTATATGTCCATCTTTTTTCACCATCTGTTTTCTGTTATGCTTTGACAAACTGCTGGACAGGAAGAGAATAACAGGAAGGCTGGGTAAGGAAATGAAAGATTCTCATTTCTTGCTTCCTGCAATAAGAGCCAAAAACCCCAAATATTTCATAAAGAAAAAGAAACATCAGCCCCTTTTCTTTCCCAGTGCAACTGGGCCAAGTGCTGCCCTCTGGGCCTTGCCGGCATTAGGCAGGGTGGTTTAAGGGACATGCACCTGGCAAGGGACTTGAGGATGTGGGACAGTCCTCACTCCACTGTTAACTACCTGTGTGACCCAGGGCAAGATGTTCCATGACCTAGACTTCCTTCTGTATCTTTTAAGTCATGAAAAGTGGATAATAGCATCTATCTTGTTCATTTCTCGAAGTTGTTAGGTGGATCAAACGTGATACTATACGTGAAGGTATGTTCCAAAATTAAGATATAAAAAGTTGGCAGGGCACAGTGTTCATGCCTGTATTCCCAACACTTTGGGAGGCTGAGGTGTGAGGATCACTTGAGGCCAGGAGTTTGAGACCAGCCTGGGCAACATAGCTAGACCCTATCTCTACAAAAAAAGTGAAAAATTAACTGGGCATGGTGGTGCATGCTGTAGCTACTCAGGAAGCTGAGGTGGGAAGATGGCTTGAGCTAAGGAGTTGGAGGCTGCAGTGAGCTCTGATCGTACCACTGCACTATGGCCTGGAGCAGAGTAAGACCCTGTCTCTACACATAAAAATTTTAAAAAGTAATGCACCTGTGTGTCATGGTTTTGCAGTGCACTGGTTTGCAAGACATTATAATTGCACAATGAGATGAAGAAGCTTGCCTCAAAAGTAAATCAATGATGTCACTGTGCACTGTTTATTCAGCCAATTTTTGTTTTTATTATTATTATTGATAGCAAGACTGTCTCAGTGAAGGAAGCAGCGCATGGGTTTACATTCTGGAGCACACTCCTTATCTCCCTGCAGGCAAGAGACAGTTCCCAGGTGGGCACCTTTGCTCATCACTGCCGAAAACCACTTTCACCTGCATTTTTTTTGCGCTTCATTAAAACCACATAAGGTCACTAGGGCAGGCATTTTTATTATCCTATTGTGTGGAGAAAGAGGCCAATTCTCTGTAAGGTTAAGCACCTTATCTAATGTCACGTAGTAAGCAGAACAACAGATAACCCAACCTTGAACTTCTGATTGCACAGCCCAGGTAATTCCAGCTAGAACAGTGGTTCTCAAACTCTGATGTGTACACAAATCCCTTGGGACCTTGTTAAAATGCAGTGTCTGATTCAGAGGCGCTAGGGAGGGCCCGAGATTGTGCATTTCTAGCAAGCCCCCAGATGATGCTGACAATGCTAGTCCAGGGATCACACTTTCAGTAGCAAGGCCCTAGGGCACTCAGGGTTAAGGGCAATGCCAGGCTGGAGGACGTCCTGGACATGCGCCCACCCAGGCCCATAGCAGATGGCTGCCCAACGTGGGATCTGTCTCAGGGCACGAGATTTCCCCACCTCGGCCAGCATTCCTCTGGCTGAGGACTGAGTTCTCCCTGCCAGCCACTCTCTTACTGTGGAAACCAACATTTCTGATTCTGCCAGGATCACTGGTCAGGAAGAGGAAAGGGAAAGAAAGGGGCTGGCCAAGGCAGTCAAAGCCCTGGGTACAGGGAAAGCTCAGCAAGGTGGGCCCATAGGTGGCTTTTGTGGTGAAACGAAAAGTTGAGACTTACCCAAGGAATTGAATTAAATTGAAAAATCATTTTCTTTGAAGAATGACATGAGATAATCCTTTCTAGTATTCTTCCTTTTTAATTTGATTATGTTATGAGAAAACATTAAATTGTTCTTCGTAGGTTGTGTTCATGTAACAAGATCGGCATTTGGATTATAATAAGTTTAATTAAACAACATGATTTTTGCACTGTATTAAAAGAGAGCAAAGGAATGGGGTGCGATGCCGCAGATCCAGCCTGAGATGCAGGGTCGGCTCAAAACAGAGCTAAGCCTCCCCACGATTAGACACGGAGCACCAGTCAGCGCTGGCCCAGAGAAGATTTTCACTATGTAAATGAAAAATAAAACCCTAAGCCCCACACAGATCCCATCTAGGCCAAAGAGATCCCAGAAAAACCTTAAAAACTGAATTCCCAGCCACGAAGGAAGGGAGGTTGGACACGCCTTGCTATACCCACTCCCTTTCGGAGTTTAGGCGCAACTGACCGGCATTCATGTTAAAAGAGATCATAAGACTAACCAAAGGGACTCTTTGTGACAAGACACCAAATTATCAACAGGACCCAAGGCCACAGTAGGCAAGGGCTGAGTCACATGCCCCCTGGAGGTCACTCGGCCCAGGACCCTGGTGAACAGACCCTTCTCTCAACTTCATGCTTTTCTGCTGATTCCAAACTTTTAGATAAAGCTTTACTCCTTTAACCAATTGCAAATTAAAGAATCTCGGAATCTGCCTATAACCTCTGGGACTTTCTAGGTATTTTTGTCAATATATACCTTCCATGTATTGATTTACGTCTTTGCCTGTAACTCCTGCCTCTCTAAATATAAAAAACCAAACTGTAAGCCGCCTCAGACACACTTTCTCAGGACCTCTTGATGCTGTGTTGCCCAGGGCCATGGTTATCACGTTGGCTCAGAGTAAACCTCCAAAAGACTTTATGGAGTTTGGTTTTTCCATTAATAACTACATGAGAGCAATGATTATTAGGCCATCTTTTTTTTTTTTAGACAGAGTCTCGCTCTCTTGCCCAGGCTGGAGTGCAGTGGTGAGACCTTGGCTCGCCGCAATCTCTGCCTCCCGGGTTCAAGCGATTCTCCTGCCTCAGCCTCCCAAGTAGCTGGGATTACAGGTGCACGCTGCCATGCCCGGCTAATTTTTGTATTTTTAGTAGAGACGGG
Source organism: Homo sapiens (assembly GCF_000001405.40). Lineage (NCBI taxonomy): Eukaryota > Metazoa > Chordata > Mammalia > Primates > Hominidae > Homo > Homo sapiens. The sequence continues at coordinate 41,712,117 of NC_000008.11, forward strand.
GTTTCACCATGTTGGCCAGGATGGTCTTGAACTCCTGACCTCAAGCAATCTGCCTGTCTCGGCCTCCCAAAGTGCTGGGATTACAGGCTTGAGCCACCGTGCCCGGCCCTATTAGGCCATCTTTTAATGTACAAGGGTCCATCACTTGAGCAATCTGCAGTGTGTTCATGGATGTATCCTCAGGAATCCCAGGCCACCTGGGAAGCAGCGATGTCCACACTGGCAAGGCCAGCCCCCTGTCCTGCCCAAGGGTAGGCCTGCCCTGGACATGGCTCAGGCTACCAGGTAAACCTCTGGTTAAAATTGAGATACAAGTGCCACTGTGACTCTCAGAACACGGACTGCCCCTCTGAGCTTCCCCTAAACCAGAACTAAAATGAACAAATGAACTTCTGCAGGTGACAAGGACAAGGACAACTAGGCTGGAAAGTCACGGAGAGGGGAGGGAGGAATGTGTGCCCGCAAAAGGCTCTTCTTTCCCAAGGAAATGAGCTCATCCTAAGGAATGCACACGGAGGGAGCTCTGCCCAAATGTTCAAACAACATTAGCATCAAAATTAGAAAGGGGAGGGTTTGGTTTGGGTGCAGAGAGATTTGCATGTGAAATTCTACAAAATTGCCAGACTACTTTGGAAACTATTTTTTGCCATGGAAACAAAGCCCATCTGTACAGGGTTTGTGCTTGGATTTAGTTATCTTTAAATATAATGAACCTGGCTCCCGTTCCTTTTATATAAGTAGGGGAGTGAGGAGGAGGGGAGTCCAGGTTTTTATTTTTAGAGGCAGGAGTAAGTCGACATCGCAGCGGGGCCGTGTGCTCCCTCTGCACAGCGACGTGGGACTCACTGCAGCAGGGACAGGAGGAGACAGCTGTCGGGAGCCGGCGTCTGTAGAAGAGCGATGCTGCAAGATGGGGACACGTGTCTGTCCAGGGAGGGAGAACGCGCCGAAGCCCTGCACTGGCACTGACGCTCCCTGCCTGGGCTGCGGAGGCCCTAAGCCAGCAGGTGTTGGCTGGAGTCACATGGGGTCCCACCCCGAGGCTCCTTCTCTGCAGCACTTGGATGCCTGCCACATGACGGATCTCCCATAAATTATCCTGTTTCCCGTGCGCCTGGCTGCCCCATAGAGTGCGGGTACTGCGTGTGGCTTTTGTCTTCCTGGCCCCGCTCCCTCTCCTCTCCCCTTCTCCCCGCTGGCCACCAGTCCCGCGGTGCCTATCCCTACACAGCCTCGCCTTCCCACAGCAGGCAGCCTGTTCCCAAAAATGGTCCTTCCAGCTTTATCCTTGTACTACCCAACCCCGTGGGGTCTTCCAGAAGCAACCCATCTGCTCCCTCCTCTGATTCCCTCAAGGGTCACGGAACCTGCTGCTCTGAGCAGCTCGCCTCCGAAGCTGGTGTGAGGCTGGGCCAATGTGTCTCACATTCAGGTGAGCCTCCCTACAAAAATGCCACTATCTAAAAGTCTGATCTCAGAGACAAATGAATTTGGAGATGATCATTCTCATTTTAAAGAGGTCTCTTGTTTCCAGGTTCCAGCAAGCTCGCCAGCAGCCCTGAGGATTTCTCAAAGTACGGTCGCTGTGGCCCCAGCCTTGGAACCATGCAGAGAGTAGGTTAAAAATGAGGCTTCCAGGCCACACTGCACAGTCCCACGGAGTCAGAATCTAGCAATGCTAGAAACGGGCTCACCACTCCCCAGGGATTTTTATCCACACTGACCTCTGACAGTCAGTTTACAAAACCCAGCTGACGTGCAACTGCTTGGGGACACATTTGTTGTATAAAACAAGTTCCGCCTCTGCGAGGTAACCCCTGGCTGGGAATTGTTACCCACTTCCCATCCCACTCCTGGGCCCTGAATAGCGTGATTACAGGGCAGGTAACATGTGGGAAAGTGAGGCGTGATTTCTGAGGTAAAAATAGCAACAGAACGCAAAACCCTTGGGCTGCTGTGGAAACCCCCCTCCCTGAGGGACTGGAAGGTAGCAGGTGACCTGCTCTCCAGGGGCAGCTGGGGAGAGGGGCGGGCCTTACCCAGGCAGGGCTGTGCGGGGAGCCGCCCCGGGGAAGCAGCAGCTTGACGATGTCCAGGTTGTTGTGATGGACGGCCACGTGCAGGGGGGTCAGGCCATTCTGCAGGGGACAAAGACAAAAGAGGCCGGCTGTCACTCCCACGGACTTTCTCCCAGGACTCCCTTTAGGCATGGGAGCACCTATTTTATACAGTAAAATCCTGTTTAAAATCTTTCCCAGGCCAGTCTTAACTTGGAGTCATGACAGAATGTCATCGGCAGGACCCAGAGCCCTGTGGGAACAGGGGGGAACGTGGGCAGTGAGATCAATACACTTGCCCGGAGAAGGCCATCGGGTCTTTCCAAAAGGATAAGGCCTTTGACAGAAAGGCCAGTCTTTCCAAAGGCCATTCTCTCTCGATGGCTACCCATGGAAATATAAACAGGCCGGGTGCAGTGGCTCACACCTGTAATCCCAGAGCTATGGGAGGCTGAAGAGGGAAGATCACCTGAGCCCAGAGTTCGAGACCAGCCTGGGCAACATAGTGAGACCCTGTCTCTATAATTGTTTTTTTAAGTTAGCCGGGCACGGTGGCAACTGCTTGTAGTCCCAGCTACTCAGGAGACTGACACTCGAGGATGGCTTGAGCCCAGGAGTCAAAATTGTAGTGAGTTGTGATGGCACCACTGCACTCCAGCCTGGGCAACAGAGCGAGACCCTGTCTCAAAGAAAAAAAAGATGAACAACACAGGCAAGAGATGGAATCTGCAAGTGCTGATGTCCATCCTCTGTCCTTGCCTCTAACCTGAGAGCTGCAGGGGAGGGCAGGGTTCAAACTCACTTTTCCGGCAGCATTCGGGTGTGCGTCCCGCTCCAGCAGCAGCTCTGCCACCCGCACCTTCCCGTACTTGGCCGCCACGTGCAGAGGGGTAAATCCTTTCTGAGGAGAAACAGGCTGTCAGGACCTTGGGGCCCCAGGGCTGTCCTCCCTGGAGAAAGGGCCCACAGCAAAGGAGGCTGCACCTCCGCTGGCATGGAGAGGCCAATGAAAGCAAAGGCACAGCCATTTTTGAGCCCTCTGGGAGGCCGAAGACCTCAGGACTTGGCAGGCATCCCTGCACTTACGGTCCACACTCCTCTGGCAAGAGGGTCTCAACCACCTCACAGTGGTAGTTGATTGCTGGCTAGCTGAGGGCAGGGTATGAGTCTTAATCCTTTTCATATCCCCAGAACCTGTTTGTGACTTGCCCAAAGCAGGTTTCGACTAATAATTGTGCCATGATAAATGTATGAAGGCTGGCTGGGTGTGTGAGAAGCTGTGGTTGACTTCCTGTTTTGGGGAAGGATGGAGACACATCGGCTTGCAGGTGGTGGCCAGCCCTGAGTGTGACGACCCTTCCAGCTGCTTGCAGCATCATTGAGGTGACAAAGAGAACCAGGCAGGAATTCCCCTCCGAGCTCCAGGCCTGGCTGAGTGAGCCTGTTGCTTCCTTAGACCACGAGGCGGGAGGCTGTACCTTGGTCATGCAGGCCTGGGATGCTTCCTTTTCCAGAAGGGCCAGGACTGTTTCCACATGGCCCTCACGGGCTGCAATGTGCAGGGGGGTGTGCCCGGCGGTGGTGGCCAGGTTGGGGTTGGCGTTATTTTCCAGCAGGAGCTTCACCATGTTTGTGTGGCCGATGCGAGCTGCACAGTGAAGTGGGGTCTGGTCATCCTGGACCCCGAAGGGAAAACAAAGAAGAAGAAACGCTAATGTTACCAAATCCAACTTTTCATCTTACAGAGAAGCAAGGCAGGGCCCAGAGAGGGCAAGTGACCTTCTCAAGGTCACACAGCTAAGAAGATGAAGAGTCAGGATTCGAATCAAGTCTCTGAGTTACAGGAACCAATATGCTGTATCCTACTGAATCCTTACAACAGTTCTTCAAGTGAGCTGTTATTTCTACCTTATTTCCCAAAGGCCCAGCCCTCCCATCTGTAAAATGGGAATAATAACGTCTACTTGCTAGGGCTCAGCTGGGATCAAGCTGATAATGTACATGGTTTCTGCGTTTGGTGCATAAAAGGCACTCAATGCAGTGTGGCTGCTCATCCGTCTCCCACATCCTTTCTGAGTGGATGCGCTTGTCTTTCTGCTTGAACTCTAGTTTGATTTTCTCTGTGCTGGGGTCAGGGGAGTCTCAACTGCTGACAGAGAATGAGGACTTTTCCACCCACACCCCCCCACTTCCTGTTTCTGAATGCTGCTGTCGGGCTGCCTGGGCCAGGTCTCATGGGGCCCAGCTGGAGGCTTCCCTCGAGGGCCCCAAACACAAATCACAGGCCTGACTCTAAGGAGAACCCATCGTGGCCTGTGGTTAGGAAGCCTGCTGTTGGCCGAGTGAGCAACTGGCAAACTCCACAGCTCTTCTCACTGTCTACTCCTCCAACCCCCGCAAAATGTGTTTACAGCAAGGGGGAACTCTCCAGTTTTAGATCAAGTAATTCTTGCCTGATTTTTGCTGGCAATGCTTTCTTTAAAACGTTGCCCCCCTCCTTACATGGCAACTGTCATCGTTAGCCCAGGACATACTCAGGCCAGCCACGCACCTTGGACTTTCCTTATTTTAAAGAAATGTGGCTCTCATGCAGAAATACCCCTGGTCTTCTCAAACCCCCTGCAAAGCAGAATCTGGGCGCTCAGAGTGACCTGATCAGGATGAAAAGTGATCCCCAGGCCACAGCACTGCAGCCCCGCCTGGAATGAGGATGGGTTCTCTGCACAGTGCTGGAACTGCTCACATCTGAAACCCTTCCCTTCCTGCCTTCACTACTCACCTTGGCCTTGGCATTGACTTTGGCTTTGTTCTGGAGTAAATATTTGGCCACTTCCGTGTGCCCGGCTCTGGCTGCCATGTGTAGCGGGGTCTCCACTTTCTATAAAATAACAAAATTATAGAACTGTTCATACATGCCTGCTGTCCAAAACGGCACACACAGAGCTAGGAAGTGCAGTCTGGAGTGGCTTGGTGGGTTTTTGTCCAAGAGGTGGAGTTGCCCCAGCAGGCAGCTCTTTAGCCTGGTATGTGTGCATGTGTGCATGAGCATGTATGTGTGTATGTGTGTGTGTGCACATACGTGCAGGTGCATGCGTGTATATGAGTTTATGTGTGTGTCTGTGTATTCTAGGTACACTTAAAAGTAAACCCCAGAGCTAATGAATATTCAAAAATGTAAATGTATTCCCAGTGAACACTTACAGACGTTCCAAAATTATTGTCCAAAACAAAGCCTCCAAGGTTTACGGATGTGTGAGAAATTTAATCCAGAAAGCGTCAGTACACAGGGATGTCCTCCCCCAGTCTGAAGCATTGGCTGTTCTGGGAATCGTAGCTCTGTCCCCAGAGAGTAGGACTGGGAGCACTGGTGAAAGCTGCCCTCTGAGCTCTTGGTCTAGGGGAGCAAGCCCCTGCCTGCCTGAGGGCTTACCACGTTGGAGACGTTGGGCGACGCCCCCCGCTGCAGGAGGTTCTTCACGATGGGAAGGTGCCCCATGAAGGAGGCCACGTGGAGAGGTGTCAGGCCAGACTGAAACAGACAAAGGCAGAGTCCGATAAGTGGGAGTCTTTCCGCTCCCCTGAAGAAGAGAGAACCTGACAGTATCTAACGCTTTCACAAATGATTTTCCAAGAAAAGGGAGCTATATGAGGTGGGTTTGCTTCCAAGAAAATGGTTGGAGAAAAAAATTACTGTGGGCAAGTCGTGCCCACTCTTACAACTTGCAAAAATTGTGTCTGATCTTGGAAGGCTCCATGAGACTTGACTCATGTTCCCTTGTCTTAGTCACCCCTGATTCATTCCTTCCAGCAGTCCAGACTTGCAGACACACACACCCCTGCAGCCATACAAAGCTACAAAGAGCGACTCTTGGAGAAGGTGGGTCGGGGGAGACCACAGGCCTGCCCCCAGGCTCCTCTGCAGTCTCTCCTACCTCGGTGACCGCGTCGATCGAGGCTCCCGTCTTCAGCAGCAGCTCCATGACACGGACGTGGTTCTTTTTGCAGGCGATGTGTAAGGGGGTAAAGCCATTCTGCAGCCCACACAAAGGGAGACAGACAAGCAGGAGCTTACACACGGGCCCAAGGAACGCCCAGAAGACCACCTGGCTGCTCTAAAAGGCAGCTGCTGCCCAGGCCACCAGCAGATGCCCATAGACCAATCAACGAATTAATGCCAATTGATTAGTCTTATAATGTCAATTAATGCAAATCATGTAAGAGACAGGTGGCTCTCACTTGATGCACTAGATATGTTCCTGAACATGTTGTTTATAAACCTTTTTTAAAAATTTATTCATATTTTGGATGCACTAAAAGATCCTGCCATTTAAAGCCCCCTAAGGGTAAATTTACAATAAAAGAGTACTTTTGTGAAGCAAATCATGTTCCCTCTTCCCTGAAACCACTGATCATTTTTAGTGAAATGGATTTCTGCTTTAAAGTGTGATATACTCTGAATGTAAACTCTGAAGGGCAGAAATGTGTATTTGTTTTTGTCTGTTTTTTTCAGTGGTTTATCCACTTAAGGCAGTGGTTCTCAAACACGGGAGGTGGTGGTGGGGGGGTATCGTTTGCACCTCACCCCCAAAACATGTGGCAATGTCTGGGGACATTTTTTATTGTCAGCTAGGGAAGGAGAGCTATGAGTGCTTAGTGGGTAGAGGCCAGGGACGCTGCTAAACATCCTACAACACACAAGACCACAAATATCGACCCCAAATGTCAACAGTCCTGAGGCTGGGAAATCCCAACTCCCCTATAACAGTACGTGGCCTGTGGGCACTGCTCAGTGAAAGCTTTTTTGAGCGAGTGAGTGAATGAGTGAATGAATGAGCCATCCTCTGCCATCCCTGGAGGATATCCTGCCCCTCAGTTCTGCTGCCTTGGGAAGAGGCAGAGAGGAGATGTGGTTACAGGCATGCTTAGTGCAAAGCTACAGCCCTGCTGGATCCCCAGACTCCCTGGGAGCCCCTGTCCTGGGAAGGAGGCAGAGGAACCACAGGAGGGATTTGCTCTGGGCCTGAGCTTCCCTTTACACGAGTGCCATGAGAACTACAAGCCCCTCTGTGGACGAAGGATGCTCAGCTCTGGCCATCTCATTCATCCCCAAAGCAGCTCAGAAAGCCACGCAGCCTCTAAGGAATCACTCAGCTCCAGGCCTGGCTCCACTGGAGAGATGCCCCAAGCCCGCATACCTACCATGCAGGATGCTTCCTGAGTCCGGTCTCCTGGGCCCAAACTCATCCCTGACCTCGGCCTGGTCACCGGGGCAGGGGTCGATACCCAGGTGGGTGTGCAGTGGAGGGTGCAGGAGGGGTGCACACCAGGCCCCCACCATCCAGTGCTGTCACACCCCACTGCTCAGGCCTCGAATCTGGGGAGCTCCGGGCACCTGCCGCCCTTCCCACAGGCCCAGCCATGCCTCTCTGCTCCTGCCCCCAGCCTGCCCTGCCACTCTGCACCTTCTCCAGCAGCACCCCCACTCACCAGGGCTCTGGAGTTGGGTTTGGCCCCTTTATCCAGAAGGACCTTAGCCACCCTGTGGTGTCCACAGTGGGCAGCCACGTGGAGTGGGGTCAGGTGGTCCAGGGTGATGTCGTCTATCTCTGCGTCGTATTGCAACAGGAGCCGGACACAGTCGAGGTGGTCTCCCTGAGCCGCCATGTGAATTGGGGACAGGCCGTTCTGGGTAAAGAGGAAAACACAAGCAATCACAAAGTCTTCTGGGGACCGAGCATGGAGATTCAGGACGATTCCAACGTCACTCCCTACTTCTTCCCTACACAATGTTTCCACAAGTCTCTGGAGGGAGCTTGGCTCACCCTGGCCTCCACGCTCCTGCCGGTCTCTGACCACAGACATTCTCCTTTCCACCTGGCCAAACCTTCAAAGCCATGTCCAGCAGACCCACCTCTTCCAGAAAGCCTTCCCTGACCACTCTAGACTCCTGTGGGCTTTCCTTATCTGCACCATGCGCTCAGACCTTATTCTCATATTTGCCCAATTATATCCATAGCTAACTTTTTAGGGGAGTGTATCTCTTCTCTTTATTTATACGCCTCTTAAGATCAGTGACTTAGCCTAATATTTCTCCTTAAATGCCCCACAGTGCCAAATACATGCATGTAACACACATCATGGTCCCTAAATTATGTGATTTTGAATGAATGAATGAATGAATGAATTATGATAAAATAGAACTTGGATCTAAATCCCTCTGTTCCTTGTCCCTATCAAATGCAGTTCAGTTAAAGAAAATTCTGTTAAGGATACTCATTTCTCAAACAGCAATTTGTTTAAAAAACATAAAAGAGAGAGGAGACTCATTCATTCACTTAGACATTAATTCAACACATATCTATCAAGTGATTAATGTGCACCTGGTATGGGTTAAGCTCTGGGGAAACAGAAGAGAACAGACATAACCCCTGACCCAAGGAAGCTTGTAGACAGACATGGTGTTGTCTTTCAGCGCCCTGAAGTGGGATGATCAAAGCACAGAGTTGTGCACAAACAGATGGCGTCCCTGATGAAGGAGGGGCACTGGGAGGGAGGAGGTGAGGCCTGAGCTAGGACTTGAAAGGAGCTGAATGGAAGTTCACCAGGAGGACCAAAGGGGAAGAACATCCTAGGGAGCAGCAAGTGCAACATCACAGAGGCAGCTACCCTAGGGGAACCCAGGGGCCTCCATGCAGTTCGACAGTCCGGGGTGAGGTGATTCCAAGCATGGAGTCAGGCTGGAGAGGAGGCTGGAGCTGCGCCAAGAAAGGCTAGGAGCTCAGGACCTGGGACTTCAGCTTTTAGAAAGTGGAAATGAGAGGATTTTCATCAAGGAAGATGCAAATCAGGTTCCATGACAGCAGATGTTAGTGTTACAGGCTGAATTAGGTCCCACAAAATTCACATGCTGCAGTCTTAACCCCCAGGACCTCAGAATGTGACCTTGTTTGGAAACAGGATCTTCGGGGATATAATAAGCTAAAATGAGGTCATTAGTGTGAGTTCTAATCTATGACTGGCGTCCTTAGAAACAGGGAGATTTGGGCACCTGCACAGCAGGAAAATGTCACATGAAGATGAAGGCAGAGGTCAGCATGATGCCCTATAAGCCAAGGAAACCAAAGATTGTGCCCAAACCACCAGAAGCTCGGGGAGAGACCTGGAAAAGATGTTCCCTCACAGCCTCAGAAGGAATCAACCCTGCCAGGCACTGTAGCTCACCCCTGTAATTCCCGCACTTTGGGAAGCAAAGGTGGGCAGATCACTTGAGGCCAGGAGTTCGAGACCAGCCTGGCTAACATGGTGAATCCCCATCTCTACTAAAAATACAAAAATAGGCCAGGCGTGGTGGCATTTGCCTGCAATCCCAGCTACTCGGGAAGCTGAGGCACGAGAATCGATTGAACCTGTGAGGCGGAGGTTGCAGTGAGTAGAGATCACACTGCTGCACTCCAGCCTGGGTGACTGAGTGAGACTTCATCTCAAAAAAAAAAAAAAAAAAAAAAAAAAAAAGAACCAACCCTGCTGACACCTTGATCTTGACCCTCCAGCTTCTGGAAGTGTGAGACAGTAAGTTTCTGTTGTTTAAGCCACTCAGCATGTGGTTCTTTGTTAAGGTGGACTGAGCTAACTCAGTTAGTTACACTTGCATTTCAGAAAGGTTGTACGATAGTTCCCAATTGAAAAGTCACATATTCTCAGTAAGGAATTTTCATAAGCATTCTTTTCAGCCCCATTCTAATGATCTGGATAATAAAACAAAAAATCTTAACTTCTGGCCATGTATTATGTTTAAATACAGCACTCCTGGAAAAATGTTGGGAATTTTCTAATAATTTAACTGATAGTAGCAATTCTACTTTCATTTAGCTGAGGAGTTTTACTTTTAGATAGCTTTTGAAGACATTATCTCACATGGTCATCCCAATAATCCTAGGAGAGAGGGTGGGGGCTCTCCAGATGAGGAAACTGAAACACAGAGAGGGCAAGACACACGTTCATAGTCACACGGCAAATCAGCCAAGGATGGAGGGCTAAATGAGAAACTGCTTTAGTAGAGGACACCCTCATGCAACAGCACACACAGACACACCCAAGAACCAGTGTGGGGACTATGAATCATGACCCAAATTAACGACAGCTCTACAGAACAGAACATGATAATGTGTCGGGAATAAATCAGCTTTCACTGTATGGTCTAAGCCATCATTTTATGACAGAACTGCTCGTGGGAAACCTCCTGGGTAGCTGTGAGTGGGCCTGGCTTTTGCCTTGCTCTGCTCTGACACAGCTCAATTCACGGGGCAGAGGGCCCAGAGCAGGCACAGGCAGCAGTGTGGCTGACAGCTTTCACCCCTTGAAGACTCGAGTCCTTATGTCAGAGCCACGTAACGGGCCTTTTCTCTGGCCCGTAATGGAACCTGAGAAGAACTGTGTTCTTTTCTTTTTAACTTCGCTTCAGTCTGGCCCAGGCTCTGAAGACTTCTCAGAGTACTTAGTGCCTGTCTTTTCTGGAGCTAGGAAGAGAGACATAGGGATTGATCTAGAGCAGTAGTAGGCGAACTACACAACCTGTGAGTCAAATCTGCCCTGCCACCAGTGTTTGTCAATAACGTTTTATTGGAACACGGGCCCTAGTTTGCATATTGCCTGTGGCTGCTTTTCTGCTACGTTGGCAGTGTTGAATCATTGCAACAGGGACCACGGCCTGCAAAGCCTAAAATTGTCTCATACCTGGTCCTTTAGATAAAAAGTTTGCCGACCCTGATCTAGTTAGGCATTAGAGCTACACTGAGAGTCTCCTACGTGATAGGCCTTGTAATAAATGTCAAAGGTGCTATCTCATCTAGTAGTATTAGCATCTCTGTTTTACAGAAATAGGATTTGATGCCAGGTCTGTTGGACCTGGAGCCCTGTCTAGAAAATGCGCCTGACAGGAAGGAAGTACACACCTTGGTTTTGGCTTGGATTGGTGCCCCGTGGTCCAGCAGGATCTCTGAGATTCGCACGTGCCCATTTCGAGCTGCACAGTGGAGAGGTGTCAATTCGTCCTTTAAAAGACAGAGTCAAAAACAGAAAGCCCAAAAGGCAGCTATCAGAGGCCATTTGGAGAGAAGACTGCCTATGGCATCATCCCAGCCCACGCAAGTGCTGACGTTTCCTCAAGCACCAGCTCGACCTCAGCACAGTTTTACTATTGCCTCCCACTGCACGCGGCACTGCCCAGAATACTGCTGCAGGCGGCTCCGGGAGGCTGGTGGTGCATCCCTAACTAGGTCACCAAGGGCCCGCTGCTCTGGGTGAGGCTTGTGAGGGGGGACCTCCCTCCCCCTGCCTGGCTACAGCACCTGCTGGCACCCACCTTGGTCTTGGTTTCTATCTGGGCTCCCCGATCCAGCAGCAGCCGCACCATGATCACGTTGCCCCTGCGGGAGGCGATGTGCAGTGGCGTGATGCCGTTCTGAAGGGAGGAAGCAGGACGGTCAGGGCGCGTCATCCTTCCCTGGAATGCAGCTGCTGTGCACCCGCTCCCCTTGTCCCCAGCCCCCAGTCCCCAGGCCTGCAACAGCGTTGTCAGGGCATTTCTGGCCTAAGATATTTTATTTTTTTTTATTTTTTATTTTTTTTTTTTTTTGAGACGGAGTCTCGCTCTGTCGCCCAGGCTGGAGTGCAGTGGCGCGATCTCGACTCACTGCAAGCTCCGCCTCCCGGGTTCACGCCATTCTCCTGCCTCAGCCTCCTGTGTAGCTGGGACTACAGGCACGCGCCACCATGCCCGGCTAATTTTTGTATTTTTAGTAGAGACGGGGTTTCACCGTGTTAGCCAGGATGGTCTCGATCTCCTGACCTCGTGATCCGCCCGTCTCGGCCTCCCAAAGTGCTGGGATTACAGGCGTGAGCCACCGCGCCCGGCCTAAGACATTTTAAAACCTGAAAGGACCTGCCAACAGGATGGGTCATCCCACCACACCACCCAAGCCCATGCCTCCCAGAGTCAACATAACAGACTGCAGGAAAGTCAGTTATATGGAAATCACTCTCTGCCCTCCAGGTTTCCCATTTTTAGGATGGGCAAATGGAGTTTAGGGTTTTCTCAAGACAAAGCAGGTGGAAACTGGGGGGTAGATGATCAGAAACCTGCCAGCAAGGAGCCCGACCAGACAGCAGGGCTGTTTAACCCACAGGCACTTCTGCCACTGGGATGAAACCCATGGTGCCGAGGCAGGAGCAACTGCCAGCCCCAAGCCCCCGGACAGTGAGGGCGCACGTGCCCCAGGGTTACCTGTGGTGTGAAATTGACGCTGGCTCCTCTGTTGAGGAGCAACTGGGCCACGTTGAGGTTCTCGTAGTGAGCCGCAATGTGCAGGGGCGTGAATCCCGTCTGGGGCACAACAGAGGGGGAGAAACTTGTTATATGTGATTTACTTCTATCTCAGAATCAGCCCTGGGATGCAGGAAACTCAGGTGGGGCAACAGGACTTTACAGACAAAGGAGATTTTGATGGGTGGGAACATTTGGTGAGGGGGTCAAGAGAGGCTTTATGGCACAGTGTATTCAAAAGCTGGGGGTCTGCCCTGAGCAACCCGAATTATATGTTAACCTCAGACTCTGTGGGCCCGTTCGTCAGAGTGATCACCGACAAAGAGATTTTCATTCATGAATGAAAGTGTAATGGGGCTATGGTCTTTTTTTCCTCCCATTTAGACAGGGTCTCACTGTGTTGCCCAGGCTGGAGTGCAGTGTGATGTGATCACAGCTCACTTCAGCCTCGACCTCCTGGGCTCAAGCAATCTTCCCACCGCAGCCTCCCCAGTAGCTGGGACTACAGGCGAACACCATCATGCCCAGCTAATTTTAAAAAAAATGTTTTAGAGGCAGGGTCTCACTATGTTGTCCAGGCTGGTCTCCAATTCCTGGGCTCAAACCATCCTCCTGCCTCAACCTCCGTCCATTGTCATCATTCTGTTCCAGAGCCTGAAGGCAGGCCTAACCCCACCCAGGTGTTTTCCAGACAAAACCCGGTGGATCTGGGGCCGGTGGAAGAGGGGAGGGGCGGGGTGCAGGAGGGGACTTTGAATAACTCCAGTAAATCCATTTCCACTAAAAGAAAACCAGCAGCCTCAGCCTACAGACAGCAGATCAGCAGTGCCTCCGAACACCGGAGAGCGTGCCCAGGTGCACGCAGGCGTGCAAGGTCCCGGACCCCCTTTCTCCACACCCCAGCCCCTGCACGCCTCCTCCCTCCACTACGGGGCAGCCGGGGAGGAGAGATGAAGGAACATCAGGAAGGCCGCCTCCTGGGGTTCCAGGGTGACCCGCCCTGCCCGCCTGGACACATTTCCAGATGACCTGGAGCAACAGGAACCACCCCCGCTGCTCACCAAGAGCACGTTTCTGGGCATCTGCCAGGGATTTAGAGCGGGGCTGTCCAGGGGCCCCTCTGCGTCCTGGGGTGAGGGCGCTCAGTGCGCACTGCCCGCCCTGCACGCTCGGTTCTCCTGCCTGGGAAGTCGCTGGGCGTGCGCGGTGCCCCCTGAGCCCACGGGCGTCCGCGGCCCAAGGCTCCTCCCTCCTCCTCGCCCTCACCTTGGAAAGCACGTCCGGGTTGGGGTCGTTCTGCAGCAGCACCGCAGCCGTGCGCGTGTCGTCGTTGCGGGCCGCGATGTGCAGGGCCGGGAGGCGCACCTTCCCCTTGGTGCCGTAGTTGATGAGGTGCGCGACGACGTTCTCATGGCCCTGCTGCAGGGCTACCGCCAGAGGCGTGAAGCCGTCCTGGCCAGAGGAGGAAAATGCTTTGCTCTGACTCGTCTGACGCCAGCCGCCCTTCACACGGGACACACCCTTGCCCCTCGGGCTTATGCTCCCAGCAGCCCCAGCCTGAGGGACCTACCTCCACCAAAGCCCTCTTCATCCGCCAAGTTTAGCCTAAATGCCATCTCCTCCCTGAAGCCCTTCCTGCCTCCACTTCCTTTCTCTGCAATCTCACAGAGCCTGCCGAATTTTTCTTTAGCATTAATTTAGTTTTCCTTTATAATTTGCTTCCAGTTTGACTTGTTTTAAGAAACTTTTGACTGCTCAGATTCTTTGCCGGCTCTCTTTCTCACCCCATCTGCTGGTACCAGGATAGTGCCTTGACAAGGCAGAACATTACTAACACCGACCAAAGGCCAGAGTCCACACCAGGCCCTGATAATTCAATTGTGAGCTATTATTATTATTATTATTTTATTTTTGAGACAGGGTCTCACTCTGTCACTCAGGTTGGAGTATGGTGGTGCAATCATGGCTCACTGCAGCCTTAACCTCTTGGGCTCAAGTGATCCTCCCACTTCAGCTTCCCAAGTAGCTAAGAATAAGGCACACACCACCACACCCAGCTAATTTTCTTTTTCTGTAGAGACGGGGTCTTGCTGTGTTGCCCAGGCTGGTCTTGAATTCCTGGCCTCAAGTGATCCTCCCACCTCAGCCTCCCAAAGCGGTTGGATTATAGGCATGAGCCACTGCGCTTGGCCATGAGCTACTATTATTAATTCCCTCAGTTGTGGACATACTAAAGGGCACAGGACCGCAGGAACTGATAAAACGGAATGACAACAAAGTCATGTCATTGAGCCATCCAAAGTTAAGAGTCAAGAGACTCCTTGGCTCTATCTAGTCCAATTTCATCATTTCACCAATGACAAGACTCAGGACCATAGCTAATGAGACTTGTCCAAGGGTGCATGGTGGTTTTGTGGCAAGAGCCTTTCTCATTAAGGCCCAATGCAAACTTGCCAACCATACACATGCATGCTTCGCCTGCCCCCTCCAGTCACAAGTATTGGCCACAGCGGGAAGGACACCCTCAAGTGTGACGTCGTTTCTTTGGTACGTGTCTGGGCCTTCTTCAAGACCCATGACTTTGTCATTAGTCCCTTGCAGAACCTGACAGCACTCTGGATTAGTGCAGCGACCTGAAGGTCATCCATCATGACATGGATGCACCCCAAGCCACATCCCAGGTAGGTGTCACCTGAAGCAAGGTTGTACACCTGGGAGACTTCTGGTGGTGACGACATTTTTCCAAGGTACTTACTTCTGTGGCTACATTCTGGTTAGCTCCATTTTCCAGTAAAAACTTAACCACTTCCAAGTGGTTCTCTTGTGCTGCCATGTACAGGGGTGTAAAACCTTTCTGTAAACCAAGAGAGGACATCATTAGCATCCACCCGCAATTTAAGAAAGGCCTACACCAGCACAACGTCCTCTCACCTGGAGGACAGCGCTCTCTTCATTCCATTTCCTCCCACCTGACCCCTCCTAAGGAAACTCATTGTCATGGTGACTGGCGTCCTGGGATTATTACAAAAGGCCACAGAGGCTGTGCCTCCCCTCGCCACCGTAGGTCAGTCTCTTCAGCTCACATACTCCTCATTGATTTCATCAATGCTGCACTGCACACCTCATTCCCCCAGTCCTCAGTTTCTCTCTCCACCTAGGCTACAACTGGACATACTATTTGGCTTAGGTCCAAAACAATTCAACCCCGTCATGCTTAGGACACGCGGTCTATGCATGCGAAATAATAAAGGACACCTTCACCACTGCTCAGAGACATGCTCCTGAGAAATCTAGGCCCTGCCCCACAGTAGTGTGTGTGTTAACACGGCTGCCAATGGACCCACGAGGGAGCAGCAAAGAGGAACCACCTGTGGAAAGGCAACACCCTCTAGTCCAGACCAGAGAGCCATTACCTGTGACTGGGCGTTGACGTTGGCTCCATAGTTGACAAGCTCCCGGACCACCTCATCCTGCCCGGCTAGAGCAGCGATGTGCAGGGCCGTGTTCCCCTTCTGAAACACATGGGGGAAGGGAACAGAGGCGGTTTCCCACTGGGCCCGCTACGGGACCAGCAAAGGTCTGTGGACAGGTGCTGCTTGAGGGACCCGGGGGCTTTCTTCATGGCCAAAAGGGGTAGAAAGGACACACGTGTGTGCTTGACCCATTGCACATCCTGAAATCATACTGAAAGTACAGGGAGGAAGATCCAGCCTGTTCTCTATGACAAACAATGCTGCAAGAGCCATAAAAAAGAAGGAAATCAGGTCTTCCGTAGCAACTCAGCTGGAACTGGAGGCCAGTAACTTACATGAAGCAACTCAGAAGCAGAAAGTCAAATACTGCATGTTCTCACTCGTAAGTATGAGCTACATAATGTGCACACGTGGACATACAGAGAGTGGAGAGACACTGAAGACTCAGAGGGTGGGAGGTGGGGGCAATGAGAAATTATCCTTTGGATGGGATGCCCACTCTTCGGGTGATGGCCACACTAACAGCCCAGGCTTCACCACTACACAATGTATCCATGGAACAAAGCTGCACTCATACCCCCTCAATCTATAAAAAGAAAAACATTTAAAAAGAAGACCACCAGCACTGGCTGGTGTGATTGGAGTGGCGCAGGAAGGGGGCAGGTGACACTGAGATGTGCGGTTGAAGGAGAGTGCGGCCATGTCAAAGGAACTCCTTTTTTTCTATTATGTATCCATAATAATTAAAAATAAAAAATTTTTATAAAAGAAAAATAATACTGAAAGAAAAAAACACCCCCCGCCAACACACAACTTCTGAACATCTAATCTGCTGTGTGCGTGCAGCGTCCTGTCCCCAGCAGACAGCGCGTTGGCGTCCCTCAGGACACACACTGGAAGGCTTGTCAGCGAGCTGGCCTTCCGCGGACCTGCAGCTCCGCTCAGCCTGCAATTCTGCAAGGCAACAAGCCCTCTGAGAGGCCTGGGAGCGCCAGGAAAGGAGGCCAGCAGGTCCCTCAGGCCCATACCTTTGACGCCATCCCAGGGATACCCACAGACCACAAGCTGCAGTGGAGCGGACAAAGAGATGGGAGGCAGGAGAGTGAGGAAAGCATTATACAGAAAAGGAAAGGGTAAGATCAACTCTATGATGTATGTAGGGAAGAGAAGAAAAATCAGAAAATAAATGGGGGGTAATAAATGGAATACAATCTGGCCAAGAAAAATACAAAGAATATGCAACATACTAGTAAGCAAAATGTAATGAGTAAGGGTTCACCAAATCCAAGAGGAGAGAAAAACTGGAGAGAATAAACACTGGAGGAAAACCAGGCACGTAATTGTTTTAAACTTTGTAAAAGATAAGAACCAATAGCAGAGACTGAGAAATAAGGCAGGTTCTGAGAAAGTGAGTTTTTGTTTTGTTTTATTTTGTTTTTAGAATTGGAGGTCTCGCTCTAACACCCAGGCAGGAGCACAGTGGCACCATCATAACTCACTGCAGCCTCCAACTCCTGGGCTCAAGCGATCCTCCCACCTCAGCCTCCCAAGTAGGTGGGGACTAAGGCGTGTGCCACCGTGCCCAGCCAATTTTTAAATTTTTTTGTAGAGATGGGCTCTCACTTTGTTGTCCAGGCTGGTCTCCTGTCTTAGCCTCTCAGCACTCTGGTATTACAGGCATGGGCCTGAGAACATGAGTTTAACATTCTCCGGTTTTCTTGTCTGGATTCTTTTTTGATATTAAACAACAATTCACAGACAGGACCAGCAGCCTCCATCTGTTCCCGGGATACCCACAGCCTTCCAGCCAGGCTCCTGCCAGCCCCTGGGGGTCCTGGACCACAATGTCAGCACTGCCTCTGGGGGTGGACTCCCCTGGGTGCCCTGCACCTGAGCCCCCATTCAGGGAGTTGAGGGGCAGGGGCGGGCAGCCTCCACTCCATGCTTCTGTCAAATAGGGCGAGTGGAGAAAATAGGTCCATGGTCGGACCCATCTGTCCCTGCACTACTTAAGGAGCAGAGATCTCAAACAACCTCATTTTTAGAGTTTAGACAGTATGTAGTTCTTTTTACTAAACTACATAATCATTAACTAATCCATTTCAAGAAACTTAAGAACTGACAAGCAGGGACTTTGGACTCTGACCTTGCCCAGTGGCTCCTGTCACCTGGAGGAAAAGCTTCCTCACTGAGATGGAAGGGAGCAGCCTGGGGCCTAGCCGTGTGGCCCCCCAGCCGCTGCTGACCCCGCTTCCCCGGGTCAGGGAGGCAGCCCCATGAGGCCGCCCTGGGGGCTGGGAAGCAGCTCAGTTCTGTTTCTTGTACTCTGCCTGGTAATTCAAGCATAAAGCCTGGGGCTGGGTGCAGCAGCTCACATTGGTAATCCTGGCACTTTGGGAGGCCAAGGCGGGAGGATTGCTTGAGTCCAGGAGTTCAAGACCAGCCTGGGAAACAGTGAGACCCAGTCTGTCTGTCTTTTCTTTCTTTTTTTTTTTTTTTTAAAGGCATAAAGCCTGTTTATGTTTTGTTTTGTTTAAAGGCAGGCACTTCCCATCTGTTGCCTCCTGAAGTTGTCTTTTTGATTTCTCCTCAAGTTCTATTTGATGAAGAAAAAGGTTTTTCCTCAGGTATCCATTGGAGAATAAATGCCAGATATGAAAGTCTGGAAGCTCATTAATAATTTTTCATAGAAGTCCAAAGAGCCTCCATTGAGAGGCTTGGCACCTGCTGTACCAAATGGAGCAGCACTGCTGGCACCAGAAACTTTTCTAGACACCAGGACGCTGAGCTCCAAGTGGCATCTTCTGGGCTCCCATGGAAAAGAAGGAGGCATCCTGGGTGCATTCATTCACTGGCCACATGCTTCCTGGGCATAAGCACAGAAGGCCTGGGCCAGCATGGAGGCACAGAGGCCATGGAGACATCAAGAGGCTCACGTCAAAGGTTTCTTTCCAACTGACCCTTCCTGCCTGAAGTCCAATGATATGAGAGCTTTCCTTACCCCACGAGGAGGGGAAGGTCACCCTGTTTTGGGGAGCTCATCAGTGATGGAAACCTGGCTATGGATCTTGGTTCGGGCCAGCTGAGCCAACGGTAGCATAAGTGAGGAATAAGAACACAGGGAAAATTCTGGAAGTGGACCTCCTTTCCCCTATCTACACACACACATTATGAGGCTCAAGAAGGCCCCTGGCCTAAGTTGTGGGAGTCACAGGAAAAGGGATTTGTGAGCCTCTATTTTCTCTGCCCCTCCCTCACCATGAAAGAACATGGCCTCAAAGGAGCAGGAAAAATTACTTAGCTATATTTTGCTCCACAAACACCCAATTTCTCTATTTTCAGGGGCTCACAGAGCTCAGAGCAGGGAGGATGGTTGCATGGGTGCTGATTGAATGCAAGTGGAAGGGGGAGAGGGACCCCAAGTGAGAGAGCAGGCTTTTTTCCAGTGGAGATGAAAGCTGTCCCCATTCATTAACAGCTTAGGTGCTGAGCTCCAGTCTCTAAGAGCTGGAGATAGGAGGATGGGGAGAGAATGCGTTTGTTTTGTGCTTTTAAAATTTCTAAGTACATTTTAGGAATCTAAATTGGTTTTGGCTTTTTACTCTTTTTCTTCTTTTTTTTTTTTCATCTTTCTGCTGCCTGGGAGCCCCATCACAGTCCCCAATCTGTTGTGACTCTTCCCCAGCCCACGGTTTCAGTTCCACCTTTTTTTCCCCCTCTCTCTGGATGGTATTCCAAAGCCACGTTGGCTTAGAAAATTTCTAAAAATAAAAAAGACACACCAAGTGTTCACTTGCAAAATCACAACCTGGGGAGGAGATTCGGAAACAGTCGAAGCGCTGAAGCCTCGTGTTTCCGCAGCCCTTGAAGGCACGCCAGGGCAGGCGCCGCTCCGGCACACGCGGGGCAGGTCAGATGGCACACAGCTCACAGCCAGGTACGTGGGAGTGTGCAGAGAAAATAATCTCACCCTTCATCCACACGAAAAGCAGGGTGGGAACAATTGGAATTTGACATAGAATTTGGGAAAAAAATACCCCGTATCCAGTCAGAAAGAGCAACTCAGTTTATTTTACCCATAAGTGCAATAAGATCTTTTCACATTCAGGAAATGACATGAAAATTACAGAATTTTACCTCAAGAGATGATTCTACCTTCATAATATTTTGGTAGTTCACTTCATAACCATAAATTATATCTGTTCTCTACATATTGTTCTTCTATGTTCTCTGCTTGAGAGGCGGCAAACTGTTTGCTGCATGGAACTGAAATTGAGGTTGTGTGTGAGACCACGTGTAATATATACCAAAAGGAAAATAAGAGGCTAGGGGGAAAGAACTCCAGAAGAAAAACATGGGAAAGGAACAGAGGAGGGAAGAGAAGAGAAAACAGTAACTGGGGAGACAGTACTTGAGTTAGCAAATGGAGATGATTTTTTGTTTCATTTTATTTATTTATTTTTGAGAGGGAGTCTGTCTCTGTCACCCAGGCTGGAGTGCAATGGCGCGATCTCGGCTCACCGCAACCTCCGCCTCCTGGGTTCAAGCGATTCTCCTGCCTCAGCTTCCCGAGTAGCTGGGATTACAGGCCTGTGCCACCACGACTGGCTGATTTTTGTATGTTTAGTAAAGATGGGGTTTCGCCATGTTGGCTGGGCTGGTTTCGAACTCCTAACCGCAGATGATCTCCCCTCCTCGGCCTCCCAAAGTGCTGGGATTAGAGGTATGAGCCACCACGTCCAGCCTTGTTTCGTTTTATTTATTTATTTATTTATTTTTGAGATGGAGTTTCACTCTGTCACCCAGGCTAGAGTGCAGTGGTGCAGTCATGGCTCACTGCAACCTCCACCTCCGCTTGAGGCAGGGTTCAAGCGATTCCCCTGCCTCAGTCTCCTGAGTAGCTGGGATTACAGGCGCCCGCCACCACGCCCGGCTAATTTTTGTATTTTTAGTAGAGACGGGGTTTCACCATGTTGGCCAAGCTGGTCTCAAACTCCTGACCTCAAGTGATCCTCCCGCCTCAGCCTCCCAAAGTGCTGGGATTACAGGCGTGAGCCACCGCGCCCAGTCTGTTTCATTTTATTTTTAATTGCTGGCTGCATCTTGTTTGATAAATAAGATGCATGTCAGGTAAAAAATGAAACTTATTTTGCAATCTATAGATGTATCAATTTCATGACTCTGGGATTTTGAAGTTGAGTCACTGGTATTTATAATCTACTGAAATGGAGTGAAATACGTTACTGTGGATGCCTGGCGTCGCCCCATGCCAAACGCCTCCTCATGAAACAGAATGCTGTTCCAGATCGTTAGCGAGGAGAGGAAATCAGTTTGGGGCTGAACAAGGAAGACTTGCTGGAGAAGGAGAAATGAAAGAAATCTGGATTCTTCTCTACAACCTTCAGTAACAACATGGTCACTAGTATTTATTGATTCCTTACTACAGGAATCAGTAATCAATTAATATATCCAATAATCAATAAATGCATCCAATAAGTAGTAAATGCATCCATCCAATAAATACATCCAGGCATTTGATGTATGCCATCTCACTTACTTTTCATACCAACCCTGCAACTAAGTATTATTATCTCCATTTTACAGACAAAGAAGCTGAGGCTTCACAGTGGCCAAGTAACTCGTCCCAGGTCACAGAGCGTGAAGTATGTCTGCTGGGATTCGACTCCAGGCACCTGATTGGCGCTTCCAGAGCCCTTGGACACTGAGTTCGAGTCAAGGACCCTGAGAAAGTATAAAGCCATCAGGAAAGGGCTCTATTTTTAGATACGTAACCTAGTGATGAGGATAAAGGCCCACTGAATCTTTCTGGAAATGGGGTCTGTTTCAGGCAGCTTCAGGGATTCAGAGAACTAAAAAGTGATTGGAAGGATAAGAGAAATTCAGATGCATGCCTGAGTTCTCTCATGAAGGACTGGTTTCTAAGGAAGGACTCACAAACTTGAATTTTCAATGCAAAGCTCCCCCACTCCCTGTGAGACATACCTTGGTTGTCGTTTCTAGAATGATTTCTTTGTGCAGAAGTTCAACCACCATTTTCACATGGCCTTCCTTAGAAGCCAGATGCAAGCCATTCAACCCATTCTGTAAAGAGCAGAGAGGCGGGAAGGGCATGGTTAGTCAAATGGTGCTTTCTGCACGTCCCAGTGGGGGCCCAGGCCCCTTCCCAGCCCTGAGGTGTTCACAGCACTGGAGAAAAGGAGTGGAGTGTGTCTAGAGGTTGGAAGGGGCACAGGGCAGGGCCACCCAGCCTCCCCTTCACGCCTCAGGTCACAACAGAGCAGAGATGGAAAGGAAGGGCAAGAACTAGCCCGCCACTCCCAGATGTGAATTAGGCAGTAAGCTCTCACAACACCCATGGTGACCTTGAAATTCATGTCGAGGCCAGGCTTTAGGCAGCCCACTTAATTAAAATGATGTAGCTTCAACCCCTGGTTAATTTTCACAACAGTGACCAGGAAAAGCAAAGTGGTAACACCAGTGCATCCTAAATACTTGTAGAAATAGACATATGTTTGGTAAGATGTTAAACTCTGAAGCAAGGTCATATGAGAAATGAATACCACCAACCACCCAGCTGTAAGATTTCCTCAATAGAAAAATCAGTATTAAAATAGCCCCTTTGGCCCAGTACAGTGGCTTACACCTGTAGTCGCAGCGCTTTGGGAGGCTGAAGCAGGCTGGTTGCTTGAGCCCAGGATTTTGAGACCAGCCTGGGCAACATGATGAAACCCTAGCTCTACAAAAGAAAAAAAAAAGCCCACAGAAGTAGACAGGTGTGGTAGTGTGTGCCTATAGTCCCAGCTACTCAGGGGGCTGAGGTGGGAGAATCACCTGAGCCCAGGAGTTTGAGGCTACAGTGAGCTGAGATCCTGCTACTGGGTGACAGGGCCAGACCCTGTCTCAAAAATAAAAATAAAATGTAAAACATAAAATAGCCCCTTTGCCATCCCACCATTTCAAAGGTGACCAAAGAAGGCTGCCTGACAGTTAAGCTTTAGGAAAAGCAAAAAACAAACAAACAAACAAACAAAACACATTTTCCTTGCCCAACCCTTAGCCCACAAGAGCAGAGCCAATTAAAATTTAACCAATTAAAGTTCCAGCTGCATCTGGTGAAGCTGCCACTGTGCTTTATGGAAGGCAGCCAAGTTCAAGTTTTATTCATCACTCTCATGCTTCCTGCTCTTCTGATCCTTGCCCTGAAAGGTCTTGAAACTTTCCGGCAAAAGCTGACATCAAGGAGTGCTACTCGGAGCCACAAATAAGTCTGACAATATGAAGGAGCAAAATATCAATTCCAACGGATGAGTCGATCTTGGCTCCGTACAGAAAATGATTTTAGTCAGTGAGCAAACTCCACCTCCTGCTTTTTTATTTTGTTCCTGTCCTCCTCCTTCCCCGCCAGCAATTTTCCCCTCCTGTCCTCCTCCTCCTGGCCTCCCGTTTTGATTAATTCTGTTCTATTGCGTTCCTTTCCAGGGGAGGCCTCAGAGCCACTTCAGGCTCCAGTTCATGAAACAGATCCTCACCACCTAGACGGAGGGCTTGGTTTCTGCAGGTCTGATGTGCGGGGTCCCTGACTCACGTCCCCAAATATCTCCGCAGCCCCACCCTGCGTTCCTCGAATTCCAGCTCTCCCATTGTGTCAGGGCATCATTTTCAGGAGGTTCTTGTTCAAACACAAGTATTCTACCTGGGAGTGGGAGTGCATTAGCCCATTCACAGATTAGGCAAATTGCTTTGCCATAACTAGCAGAGGAAAGTCACCCAAAGTCATGATAGGAGAATGGAAGGGGTCCAACGCTTCTTTTATGTGGGGACCTTGGATGCAGCAAATATAACAGATGCCTTGGATGTTAGAGAAATGAGAAGGGGGGCTGCAAAGGGAACATTACCTACCTCCTATTTAGGTCAGGGCAGCCCTGCACCCTTGCCTATCAGCACAGCCAGCCTTGCCAGGGTGTGTGTGTAGGGAGAGGGGGTGGTTCACCAAATATTTCCTCATGCAAACGCCTGAAAATGACCACTGGCCATTAGGTTTCCTCCTCCTGCAGATTTTGCACACCATTCAGTGAAGGGTCCAAAGCTGTGTGGATTCTTCTCACCCGGTGTCAATGAGTTTATTAGAGAAAGCTAGGTCAGAGCCAGTCTGGGTAATAGAGAGGGAGAAAGTGCTTGAGGGCCAGATGGGAATCCAGGAGAAGGGGAGAGAGCACTGGGCAGGCAGAAACCAACTCCCCTCCCCTTGATTTGCAAGACAAATTCACTGCAAAGCAATTTGTCGAGTGACCAGTGCGCTGAGAGCCTGGAGCCACTCTTGCTTCTGCATCTTGCAACTCTTTTCTGGATGGGTCTGCAGGAAGGAGTCCCTGCTCCTTCTCAGAGCAGGGCGAGCTTTTTCAGGCAGCACACAGCATTTCTGCAAGCGCTCTTCCAACCCAGCGGCAGCCTTATCTAGAAGCTTCCTAGTGCTGACAGCGGATGCCCTGTGATTGCTTGGGAACTGGGTTGGTGTTTGTGGCTGTCGGCATGGCTGGAGTGACAGCCCGGCAGCTGCTGCTGGCCGCTTACTGCGGGAAGCTGACTCGCAGTGGCAGCCAGCCTTGCCTCGGTGCTGACGGCTGGGGTTTTAGTGCTTACTTGGGCAGCGCAGTCGCTCTGATGAGCATCTGTGGGTCCTGAATGCATCAAAGCCACAAAACCAGCAAGCCTGGAAAGAAATAGCTAATGCTTGCCGCTAATGCTCTGGGACGGCCGGCCCCTGCTGTTTGAGGCCAATGTCACGATTTCAATCCGGAGGGATTCTAGATATACTGTCTGACCAGAGAATGCAGGACTCGAAAGGGATATTAGAGGTCCCTGAACTCCACCCTTTCATCTGCAGCTGAGGAAGTCAAGGCCCAGAGTAGTCAAACGATTGGCAGAGGCCATGCAGCGTCTCCAGGGCACAGCCACACACAGGACCAACCTGGATTTCCCAGAAAAAAGGAGGTTTGGTTTTCTCCCCGCTAAAAACTACTGTGATAACTGGCTGGGCACGGTGGCTCACATCTGTAATCCCAGCACTTTGGGAACTGAAGCAGCCGGATCACTTGAGGGCAGGAGTTCGAGACCAGCCGGGACAGCATGGAGAAACTCTGTCTCTACTAAAAATACAACAATTAGCCAGGTGTGGTGACACGCGTCTGTAGTCCCAGCTACTCAGGAGGCTGAGGTAGGAGAACAGTTTGAACCTGGGAGGCCAAGGTTGCAGCAAGCAGAGATCACACCACTGAATTCCAGCCTGGGTGACAGAGAGAGACTCTGTCTCAACAAAATAAAACAAAACCAAACCCAAAACGATGTGTTTCTTTTTATCAGATGATGAAAGCATATCTTCCCTTTTCTGGTCTCCATGAAGCTTAGAGCTAACGAATGGATCTGATTGTGACCTCGGCAATTGATCTCTAGGATTTTATTCATCACTCTGATCTGCAGAAAACCCCCTTTCTTCTCTTCCTGGGTCCCATGCCTCCCTCGCAAAGGGCAGAGAGTAAGACCCTCGCCATGCAAGGGGCCGCCTGAGTAGACCTGCCTCTCGCGGAGCTGCACTCTCCCTCCATCCCAGATCCTGGCCCAGCGATCTCCTTCTTATGATTTTTAAAAAATGTTTTCTCACTTTATTGTAGATTTGTCTTTAACATAGTCACCCTAAATCACTTCCAAGTCTATTACTGCGGGGATCTGAATCCACTGTTCTCAGCAGGGCCACTGAATCAAACCCCACTGGGCACAGTTAATGAGAGAGATGCAAGATGGTCCGGGAATGCAATGCCTGTAAAAAACACATGGGGACGGGGCTGAGGAAGCACTTGTCTCAGCCACAGGTGTGGACACTGTTGCCATCAAACGCTGAGCAATTACTTAACCCAACTCAACAAATATTTATGGAGAACCTCGTCTGTGTCTGGCCCTGTGCTAGAAATGAATCAAACACAAACTGTTTCCCTTGAAGAACTCAGTTTTGTAGGGAACACGGATGCATAAAAAATAAATGCAAAATCATGTGAAAAAAGCCCCAAACAGCATGTAAAGGGGTAGAGGTGGCACAGAAGAGAAAAGAGTTGTTCTGTCAAGAAGACCCAGAAAGCTTCGCAGAGGACTTTTCAAGGCAGAGGTGCCCACCTGCACAAAGACAGAGTTGCAAGTTCATTAAAAACAGCAAGATGAGAAGTGTTTAGATTCTAAACCCATAAGCTAAAATATGCTCCCAGCTCTCTCAGCAAGTGCCCTCCTCTTCCTTTCCCAAAGCATTTGGATACAACAGATGCACAAACATCCAGACCCCAGCAGCACCTCTCCTCCAGCAATTGGTCTTAGTACGTAGATGGCTGCGTCTACCTACCTAAGGGGTGGTGACAGCCACAAGTCACCACCATCTAGCAGCGGAAGTTGCTGAACACCTGAAAACGAACCTCCTGCACACACACACAAAGGAGCTTGTACAGCTGTCTTATTAAATGCATAACTAGTTTATGCAGGAGACCACTTCTGATATCCAAAAGAGCATTTTGTGGATAAATACCATATTTAATACTTCCTTTTTCTTTAAGCAGATTTTTCATTGCTCAAATGAGAAGGAGGAGGAGGACTGCAAATTATGTGAGCTATTTGTTCTTAGCTGTAAGTATGGACAGAGATGAACTGTAATTTACCACCTCTTCAAAACTGAGAATCATGTTTTACTTTAGCTAAATCAAGTTTAAGTTAGCTTGGTTGCTAAAAGTAAAAGGCAGCTTGCTGAGACTTGCTTTGAATCTTTTCGGCGACTCCATCTCACCTTCACAGCCACTTTTCTTGAAGCCAAATGGCAGACAGGCTGTTAAAGGGGATTGGAGGTGTGGATAAATCACATATTTCTTCCCTCAAATAACAGGGTGTAGAAGATAAGCAAAAAGGAAGCAGAATAATATAAGAGTAAATGATTTCACTAAATTAGAAGCTGGGGAGAAAAGCAATAACTACTTGTGGCCATTTTTTAACCATATGGCTTTCCCTGGAGGAAAACACCAGTTCGCTAGAGTCTTTTTCCTACAGATACTGCCTTCTGGAGCTCCAATTACATGTGTTTTAGACCAGTTGATGTTGTTCCATAGCTCTTGGCTACTCTGTTTTGGTTTGTTTTTTCCCCCTCTTTTCTCTCTTTTCTTTCAATTTGAATTATTTCTATTGACTTATCCTCAAGTTCTTTAATTCTCTCCTCAGTTATGTCCAGTCTACTGATGAACCTGTTGAATAAATTCTTCATTTCTGAGAAAGTGTCTTTTGTTTTCAGCATTTCATTGAACTTTTTCTTATAGTTTTCATCTCTCTGCTGAAAATTTCCATCTACTCATGAATGTTATCTACTTTTCCCACTAGATACTTTAACATATTAATCATAGTTATTTTAAAGTCCATCTAATACTTCCAACATCCAACATTGTGGTCATCTCTAGGTCTGATTCTGTTTATTGCTTTGTCTCTCGACAATAGTTCATTGTTTTTTTCTTTCTTTTTTTTTTTTTTTTTTGGTGTGTGATAATTTTTAGTTGAGTGCCAGACATCAAGCATAGAAGAGCAGTAGAGACTGAGGTAAATAGTATTTACGGCTGGAAATCAACATGCCTCTTCTTCTGTGAAGTTGTCAGCATGGAGGTGAGAAGGCTGAGTCAATCTCAGGGGTTGACCTGAGTTTGAGTTTTGTTGTTACTTTCAGTGCACCACAGCCTTCACATTCTTACAAAGGTAGACTGCGGTTATCTTGAACTTTGAGTTGGAGCTGGGGTGCCAGGGGCTTTTTGTGTGAGTGTTCTTGACCTCCCTCAACTTCCAGCCATCCTGCATGCCTGGGCCTTAAATGAGGTAATTCTCCATGCTCCTACTCTTCTCCCAGCAGTGGCCTGCTCTTCCTTATTACAACATGTTAGGCTGGCAGGAATGGGCATGTTCTCTTTTGTCGTGCTCCAGCTTCAGTATTAGGCAGGCTCTGTACATCTGGCCCTCTAAGGTGGGATTTCTTTTCCATGTTTAGCAATCCTTCCCCCTTCTCTGTGGCAGCAAAACCTGTCTCACTTGCACTGGTCTTGGGTGAGTTTCTTGCTCCTCCCCCAGCAGTAGTCGACCCCTGCTTGTTTTTTTTGTGTTTGTTTTTGATTTTTTTTTTTTTTTTAGATGGAGTTTCACTCTCATTGCCCAGGCTGGAGTGCAGTGGCATGATCTTGGCTCACTGCAACCTCCACCTCCCAAGTTCAAGCAATTCACCTGCCTCAACCTCCCAAGTAGCTGGGATTACAGGCGTCTGCCACCACGCCTGGCTAATTTTTTGCATTTTTAGTAGACGGGGTTTCACCATGTTGGCCAGGCTGGTCTCGAACTCCTGAACTTAGGTAGTCTACCCGTCTCGGCCTCCCAAAGTGCTGGGATTACAGGCGTGAGCCACCACGCCCAATTGCCTGCTTGTTATTGGTGTAGAATCCCGGGCCCAAAACAATCTACAGCCCCTCCCCTAGGAGTCCCAAGGTGGCTGCTCCTATCTTCCCTACAGCAGCAAGTCATTGGCAGGAATGTTTCCTACCCCTCCCCTGGCTGAGGCAGTTTGTTTCTATTCCTCCCCTAGGTCTACGGTCTAAGGATTGGTGTATCTCTGTATGCGTGCACTCTATATACACATTCATGTAATCACCACCCCTCAATGTCTACTTCAAATTAAGGTTCCTGAGTTGGTGCAGTGAGTGCTGGATAAGCCAGCTCAGGCCTCTGGGGCTGACACACAGGTCTTTGCTCAACCATGTCCCCTGGGATACAGGCGCAAACCAGGCCCAACTGGCAGACCTGTGGGCTTCAGCCTGGGGCCAGGCACTGCCTCCCACACCTGGACAGCACTGGATTAACAGGCCTGCTCTTACAGGTAGGCTGGGCTGGCTTCTGGCCATGCAGGGATCTCTGGTCCCCAGGAGGGGGACAGGGCAGGTGAGGATGCTGGGTGGGTGGGGAAGAGCAATTGCCTTGTTCACCTCATGCACCCATGGGGACCTGGGAGTCCCATTTACAGATGGGTGGGGCTTCCAACCCACTCCACCCAGAACTGGGCTTCCCTCCTCTCAGCACCCCATGGAGGTAGGGGAGGGGAGGCCTGTTTTATTCTCAGAATAAATGTTACCACAATTTCAAAAATAAAAATAAAGGTGAGAGGGTCTGTTTTTGCTTCACATGAGGGAAAGATCTGGAGAAGCGGTGAAAGCTTTGTGTCCGTTCCTCCCTCCACCCCTGCCTGCACAGTCACAGGTCACCTCCTACACACCTGGCTGTCGAGGGGGCCTCCTCTGGCTCCTGACGTAGCCCAATACTTCTCATGGGGGCCCCGTGGAGAAAAGCCTGTTCCAGACACACTGGCCCACACTTGGCCTTCAAGAACTTTTAAGATTTTGGTGGCTGGGTGTGATGGTTTTTAATCCCAGCACTTTGGGAGGCTGAGGTGGGAGGATCCCTTGAGCCCAGCAGTTCAAGGCTGCAGTGAGCTATGATTGCACCACTGTCCTTGAGCCTGAGTGGTGGAGTGAGACCTTACCTGAAAAAAAAAAAAAAGATTTTGGCTTGTATGGTGAACACCTCTCTTTCCTGACCTCTGCCAAAGCTGAAGCGATTTACGTGGCCCGCTTCTTAGAGGGCTTTGCCTCTGTTTGAAATTCTGTTTACTCAGCTGCCTTACTACCTCAGGCAGGCATGAGATGGGTTCAGGAAAAAATGATCACTTTGTAAATTATCGAGCTTTTTGTCATTGTCGGGGTAGGAGCCATGCTCTCTGCAGCCTTCTGCATCCTACATACTCCCTGTACTGAGCCCTTAAGGCCAGCTGTCCCCATATGATCTCTTTCCACATGGTCCTAACATAGGAGATAACCTTTTAAGGCTCTTTTTGGCAAAAATCTTCATGCCAAGCACACACACCTAGAGCTGTGCACCTGCCTTTGCTCTTTTTCAGGTGGAATGTCAACTGACAGGATTGTTCTGAAAAGCGATCTGTGTGATGGGCGGGGAAGGAGACCTCAGCTAGGCTATGTTTCTTTTAACATTTTTAAGAAGAAGAAGAAAAAAGTCACATTCAGCCTGATTAATTCAATGTGGAGTATTTTCTTGCACCAACTGTGAGAAATTCCATTGGCAAAATACACAATTCCAGACATTTGTTCTCGTTAAATTATTCCTCTGTTTAGCTCTTCTGATTGCCCCAGTTGCACTAATTGATTTCCAAATGTATGAATACAGGAGACACGGGGAATTTAACTCTTCCTGTCAAGAGAAGGGGAACGGTTTGAAATAGAAAGGCCTTGGTGTCTCTGCAAAACTGCAAGAACATCTCAAAAGTGAATGCCTACATTCCCATGAGGACACACAGCCCTCACACCTCCTTTCCACGCAGCTGTTTATTTCACCCGTGCACAAGGCTGGCCCTGCCTCTATGGAGCAGGCAGCTTCAGCTGCATCCCGTGACTGAGGACCTCCCCACCCCACACCTCCTGAAATTCACTGCTCAGTCCCCCACTCCCTTTCTTTGAGCTGTGTTTCCAGAGAACCTAGGCAACATGTTCATATAACACTCGGGAAACACAAACTTTGCATCAATCAATATCTATTATCCAATGATTGGTCGAGCCAGGCCCAGAGGCAAGGGAGCACTGGCCAGGGGAAGATATTATGGGGATGGAAGGCACCGCAGTCCTAGAAAGAATAGGCCCGATAGCAGTGGCAGAGACACCAAGGAGTCTGAGGACCCCAGAGTGAATAAAATGAAAGATGAGAAAAGAAATGCCTAGATGCTTTTACCTTTACCCATGCAGGCAGCAAAGATCCAGGCAGAAGATCTTGCCTGTGATAAGGAGGAAGTTGTCTACATAGTGGACTCCTCTATTTAATATCCTAGGTTAGTGGGATATATTTCATATCCCACTTTCCTATTCAATTTGGATTCTCTGTTGAGTTATTATAAACAAGCAAGTGCTATACTCGATGTCACAGAAGCTTAATTCCGCAAATAGCAACCAACTTGTACATGTGTGACCTCTAGCTTTGCTCTATTATTGGTCCTTGTTTGTGGAGTGAGACCACAACAGAATATATTACGTTTGCAGGTCTGCAGCCCTGCAGCAGAGTAGGAGAGAAGAGCCTAAACTGGGGTTACAGAGAGGAAAAGAAGGACTGGAGTGACTGCCATACTTACTCCAAATCCTGAAACTGATGAGAATGAAAGAAAGAGCAGGGAAGAAAGCAAGGCAAAGACCATGGAGCCACAGGAGGCAGAGCAGATGATGGGAAGGGAAGGAGCGACGGCATGATAGTTTGTCTAGAAGAGGAAATGAACTGAGACACATCAAAAAAATTACTAGAGCTATATAAGTTTTGATTTCTTTCCTCAAATCGCCTACATCAAATTTTCAACCAAAACAGAAACGAAATCAAAGCTGAAGGAGTGCTTTCCCATCTTCCCTTCTCATCCTTCTCCTTCCCTCCCCACCCAGCTGGAGATGTCGGCCTTAGAGGGCAGTGAACAGGGAGGTGCCCTGCAGGGCATGGGCAGCAGCGTGTCTGGGGTCTGAGAAAGAGGACAGCTAATGGAGTGGTTGGGAGGTTGTCATCACACTGAGCAAACAAGTCAGTGAATATGTTAAGGAGGACGGGCATCAGTGGCATTCAGGCCTCCTGCTGTGTGAAGGACTGTACAAACATGGGGAGAGGAAAGGCTAGAAAGAATTCCGAGCACTGGGCTGGAACCAGAAATATTGGTGTGATCTCATTGATTCTTCATATATATATATATACATAGACAGCTGTAGACGTAGTTAGCAGACTCATGTATGCATACACGCATGCACACAGACATATGACAACCCGGAGCAATGGGCTCATCGGGGGCTGGACCCTGGTGTCTAAGTGCTGTCTCCACTAACAGGAACCAGGGATCTTTGGAGAAGTGCTGAGCCAGGGGTGGGGCAGGGCAAGTACAAAATGAGCCTGGGGCACCTTGTGCCAGAAAGTAGGAAAATGCTCAAGGAATGATGAGGACATGTCAAAGGATGAAGAAGCCAACTGATGGGAAGGACTTTTATTGGCCCAGCTTAGACTTGACCATTAAAATAAGTCATGGGAGTATCAGGTTGAAACGAAGACAAATCCATAGGAGACAAATCCATGAGTCCAAACAGCTCTACACAAATAAAGAAAAAATAAATTAATGGGGAAAAGAAAAAGCTTATCCTTTAGTAGAACGCCAGCTAAAAAATGTAGAAGACATGATGGAAATGAGGAATCACTGTCTGGAGCCACCACAGCAGTAGCTGATACAGGCAGATGTCATTAATGGGCTATTAATGTCATTAATAGACTGAAATATTTCCCTCCCTCAACACAATACTGATCAATTACAAAGGGAAAAGCAGTGAACTTATAGTAGAAAAACGTGGCTGGCACCAACTTTACTTGGTGATCAAGATTAACATCCCCAGGAGTGGGGAGGGAGCATGATTTCTTTTCTTTTTTTTTTTTTTTTTTGAGACAGAGTCTTGCTCTATTGCCCAGGCTGGAGTGCAGTGGTGCAATCTCGGCTCACTGCAAGCTCCGCCTCCCGGGTTCACACCATTCTCCTGCCTCAGCCTCCCAAGTAGCTGGGACTACAGGCCCGCCACCACGCCCAGCTAATTTTTTTATATTTTTAGTAGAGACGGGGTTTCACAGTGTTCACCAGGATGGTCTCGATCTCCTGACCTCGTGATCTGCCCACCTCGGCCTCCCAAAGTGCTGGGATTACAGGCGTGAGCCTCCGCGCCCGATGGGAGCATGATTTCTATGGTATTCCTGTCCAGCATGGCCATATGGCCATGAGGCAGCATCAGACAGACAGCTGAGGCTCAAACTACAGCATGGAAAACAGTCAAACACATGAGAAATGGGCACGCTGAGGGCCTATTCCAGATGGAAGGAGGCTGATGAGACATGACAACTAAATGCAAAATATCTTCCTGGAGAGATTTCTGAACCAGAGAAAGAGAGACAGAAAAAGGTGGAGGGGAACAGAGACAGCGTGAGAAAACAGACAGAGACAGAGAGACAGAGAGAGGAAAGGATGGAGGGGAGCAGGAAAGGGAGCGGAGGGAGAAAGAAGAAGGGGCGGGGAGATGTGAAGGAAGGAGGCACAGAGAGAGGGAGAAATTGTCAGAGGAGGGACAGTTAGCAAAATCCTAATGGAGTCTGTGGATTGGATGGTTGTGTTGCATCAGTGTTGATTTCCAGATTGGCAGGCACGTGGGATGGATACGTGGGAAAGTGTCCTTACTTTTGGATGGTGTACACTGGACTGTCTGGGGATGTGCCGAATCAGGTCACATGTCCTACATTATAGACAGATGAACAGGGACAGGAAGTGTAGAAGAACGGGCGTAGATAATGCAGACACGGGAGATGCGGGAATTCTCTGTACGTTCTTGTAACTTTTCTATAGATTCGGAACTACTAAACAATTTTTTAATGGGAGGTAAGGAGGAGTGGTGGTGAGGTGCAGAGGCTGCTGGAGGAGAGGAGTGATGTTGTGGGGGTAATTCTGGGGTCTAAGTAGGGGACAGGTGGCCCGCTGGGGCTTCTACACATTTTGGGAATCACAGCCAGTATGAAGTTATAATTACATCTATCTGTTCTGGTTTTTCCTTTCTTTCTTTTAGAGATGGGGTCTTGCTATGTTGCCCAGGCTGGAGTACTATGGCTATTCACAGGGGAGATCACAGCTCACCACAAACCTCGAACTCCTGGGCTCAGGCGATCCTCCTGAGTAGCTGGGACTACAGGTGCAGGGCCATGCCTGGCTAATTTGTTTTTTAATGTTTAATTTTTAAATTATTGATTTGTTCTGTAGGACAAGGTCTCACTATGTTGCTCAGGCTGGTCTTGAACTCCTGGG
This sequence comes from Homo sapiens, assembly GCF_000001405.40. Taxonomy (NCBI): domain Eukaryota; kingdom Metazoa; phylum Chordata; class Mammalia; order Primates; family Hominidae; genus Homo; species Homo sapiens. Next base: position 41,745,954 of record NC_000008.11, read on the forward strand.
CTCAAGCCATCCTCCCGCCTCAGCCTTCTGAGTGGCTGGGCATCTGTCCTATTTGTAAAGGAACTGTGAGGCACGACCTTTACTGGAGTTCTGATATTATTCCAGGATGGAAACCCCAGAGTGCAATCAAACACACTAAGAGAACAGCCCTCAGCCCACAGGGAAACCCGCTGATGGGGGAGACCTCTTCTGGAGGGCAGGCCTCTCGTTCTGCGGGGCCATACCACCTGCAGCCTCTTTCTAACCCGGATAGTTTATGGCTCCCCAGAGACTGCTTGGTGGGAAAGGTCTGCTAAAAATATATGATCTTGGAATCTAAGGAATCAGAAGCCAGGCAGAGCTGAAGCAACTGCCGTAACCCTAGTGGAAAATCACACCTGATCTCCTTTGCAAATCTGTCTCTTGCCTAGGGACAGGAAAGACAGAATAAGAGAAGAAACTGAGAGGACAGCACAAACTCAGAGAGAGGTGGCGCAGATGGAAAGGGAGGCAACCGGCTCTGAGCATTTTCTCTGTTTGCTTTGTTGCAATCTAACTTTAGCCCTCCTGCCTGGGTAGCGCTTAGGATTCACAGTTTGCTGGATACTCATGAGGAGGAAAAACACTCTAATCCTTTTCATTACCTTAAGAAAAAGGAATGCACAACGATTTTAGAGCTCTGCAAGGAAATGAATCAACCTCAGCTCACCTTCTTTCTATTTTGATTGTACAGAACTCGCAGCAGCCCTGTGCTCTGAGAAATCCTGCATCTCAGCAGCAAATCAACTGCAGAGGCTGATGGGCCCTGGGGAAGGTGGAGGAGGAAGTGTGAGCTCGAGTTAATGAGAGAATGGGACTCTGAAATGCAGTTCAGCATCTAAGAATATCTCCTATGGACTAGAAAGAGCATCTATGCCCGAGATCTTGGTATTCTTTAAAAAAAAAAAAAAAAGACCCAGACCTTTAGAAGAAGGGCAGTGGGGTCAGGAGAAAGGAACCCTGGGCTTCTAAACTGTCCTTATCTATGACCTCCCAGGCTTCAATTTATGCTGCTTTGCAATGACAAAACTGCTCTGAGCTTCCAGTTTCGTCTGAATTCCATAATTCCAAGAATAAGACAACGTAACAGCTTGCAGAAAAGAGTTAAGCTATGTGTTTTGCATGTACAGAAAAAGTAATATGCCAAGATTCATATAAACTGTTAACAGTGGTTTCGCAGAACGTAAGGGAGTTAAAATCAGAGCCAAGGCTTGTCAAAACGGACAGAAAGGGTTTACACCAAAGAAGTCAATCGAATGCAAACAATCGTGGCCAATTCTCATTCCTCCTCTAGTCTCATCACAACCATGGGATCTGCTTTCAGCGTTTCCTCTAACAAGCAGAGAGGCAAATCTTCCTCAAGGCCCAGACCGAGTGTCATTTTGCCTGTGACTTTACCTGTCCCCTCTCTTTGCCACACTGTACCTTATTTCTAGCCCCCTAAAAGTGGATTGCTTTCTTGGCCATGTTCCACGGACCTTGATAACTCTCTCAAGACCCTCATCACACAGAATTGCATTTATCTGCGCTTGTGCCTGTCTATCCCAAAGGCCTGAATTCTTTGAGATCCTGTGTTTTGCTCACCTTGGTAATCAGGTCCTAGCATGGAGCCTGGTGCATAAGGTTTGCAGAATTCAATGCACCTTCATGGAACCTGCCACACACAGGCCTATCTTTTTTCTTTGTCTCTAAGCACTATGAAGATCATGTCTAGTCTTCATATTCTAAATTCCTAGAGCAATGAAACCATAATGTGGAGTTTAGAGAGTGTGTGTTCCTTGCACTACATTCCGGATCGTTCCTGAAGGTGCTAGTCACCCTTTTCCCAGTCCCTAGGATTCCATGGAATGTCCCTGCTGTGACTACAAATGAAGATTTTTATGTAACTGAACTGGTCAATTAGCTCTTCCTTGGCTGCAGAGGAAGGGAAAATGAAACCAGTCTGGGGCAGATCACCCAGAGCAATAACAGGCTTGCTGCGCAGTGTCAAATCCATCCTCTGAGTCAGTACAGAGGCTTGGGCTGGGTGTCTCAGTCCTGGGCTCTGAGACTCTTCACCTCTCTGAGTCTCCCCAGCCTCCCTGGTCAAGCACCTGCTCTAACCAACTCTCAGGGTGACGTCAGCATTAACGGTGTCGCAGGTACCAGGTGCCAGGCATAGGGGCACCTAGCTGCATATCTGGTTTAACTATTTAACACAGAACACTCTTCTCCCAGGTGAGGGCTCCAATGAAACGTTCTTTCTTCCTCATCCCTATTCCAGAGCTGCACCAAGGCAGCAAGTCTAAAGAAGTTTAATACCACAACACCATCATTTTAGGAAGGCTTTCTGTGTGTTTTCGGGGTGCAGCTAGGATCAGAGAACTATGTAGTTTAATACATTTTTCTATGCCTGTCAACAGTTCCTAAGAAAAAGACAATGACAGAGAAAAGTGCCAGGTTCTAGATCTATACAGATCTAGCTCTAACCTCCTTAGCTGGATTGACCACCATCCTCACCCTCTTTCATTTCATGTACCCCAACCTCCCCGAACTGCCCCCTGCCCCAGTGCCCTTTGGCACTCCAGCCTTTGCAGTCTGTTCCTTCTCACAGCAATTCCTGTTTCCCAGTTCTGTACTCGGAGACTTGTATCCTTCCTTCACAACCTTTCTCTGACTCATTAGCAAGCCAGCCACTACCCTTAGACAAGAAACGACATAAGGGCAGGTCCCAGGACCTGCTCATCTTTGACTGGCTGGCTCTTGGAACATTAGAACAGCTCAAAAAATATTTGTTGAATGAAGCCAGGCGCGGTGGCTTACGCCTGTAATCCCAGCACTTTGGGAGGCTAAGGCGGGCAGATCACGAGGTCAGGAGATCAAGACCATCCCAGCTAACACAGTGAAATCCCGTCTCTGCTAAAAATACAAAAAATTAGCCGGGCGTGGTGGCGGGCACCTGTAGTCCCAGCTACTTGGGGGGCTGAGGCAGGAGAATGGCATGAACCTGGGAGGCGGAGCTTGCAGTGAACAGAGATCCTGCCACTGCCCTCCAACCTGGGCGACAGAGCAAGACTCCATCTCAAAAAAAAAAAAATTGTTGAATGAATGATTACACGGACAAAAACATCTCCTGTACTCCTTCAGGATGGCACTTACGATACTGAATTTGTAATCTTTTATCTGCAAGCTGGACCTTTTACCTGCCTCTGAGTTCTTTGAAAACAGGGCACGAATTTATTCATTTTGGTTAGCCCTAGTCTCTAGCATGGTGCATGGATCATTGTAACTGGTCAATAAATGTTTGCAGAATAAATGAATGAGCAGAGAAATTTCATCTTGGACTTTTTTTTTTTTTTTTTTTTGAGATGGAGTCTTGCTCTGTTGCCCAGGCTGGAGTGCAGTGGCACAATCTCGGCTCACTGCAACCTTCGCCTCCCGGGTTCAAGTGATTCTCCTGCCTCAGACTACCAAGTAGCTAGGACTGTAGGCACCCACCACCATGCCCGACTAATTTTTTATTTTTAGTAGAGATGGAGTTTCACCATGTTGGTCAGGCTGGTCTCAAACTCATGACCTCAGGTGATCCACCCGCCTCGGCCTCCCAAAGTGCTGGGAATTACAGGCATGAGCTACTGCGCCTGGCCTCATCTTGGACTTCTTCTTCTTTTTTTTTTTTGAGAAGGAGTTTCTCCCTTGTTGCCCAGGCTGGAGTGCAATGGTGCGATCTCAGCTCACCACATCCTCCACCTCCCAGGTTCAAGTGATTCTCTTGCCTCAGCCTCCTGAGTAGCTGGGATTACAGGCATGCGCCACAACGCTTGGCTAATTTTGTATTTTCAGTAGAGACAGGGTTTCTCCATGTTAGTCAGGCTCGTCTCGAACTCCTGACCTCAGGTGATCTGCCCGCCTCGGCTTCCCAAAGTGCTGGGATTACAGGCGTGAGCCACCACGCCCAGCCTCATCTTGGACTTCTTAAGCCCAACTCCCCAAATCCAAAGTCATACAGCATAAGATGATATTCAGAAGTAACTTTTAGACCTCAGTTTCCTGAGCTATAAAATGGAAATTGAATGCCGTGAGCTCCACTAAGCCCTAAGATTCTATAGCTTGGAAAGGTCGTAATTATCACCATCACCAGAGCACAAGAAATCCTGATCAAAAGACTTGGAATTTGGCTGCTGTAGAAAGTACTACACTGTAGCAGAAATTATTGTTATAGGCGCTCCATTTATTCCAAATGCCCGCAACCCTTTACCTTCAAGATAAACATTAGGGCTTCCTAATGCACATGTGGAACTTTAGGGCACATCCAGGGAGCTGGCATGGTTTCACGTGCTTTCCTGGGCTGGGTTTTCGCACTGGAAATCGTGTATGCTTTTGTGATCGTTCAGATGGTCGAGCTTCTGGACACTGCAGCAAATATTGCCAAATACTCGACCCGTGGGGCTAACGCCAGCATCTGAGCCATGCTTATTGCAGGCTCATTATCCTAAGTATGCACGATTGCACAAGGCTTTTACAAAGTGATGGTGCTTAGTCTAGTTCCTACGTGGACTAAGTATAAAATATATAAGCTTTCACCATTCATAGCTATAGCAAACAACATTGCTGCTTTTTTTTTTTCCACACAGTCTGTCAACTGGGTTTATGAGCACGTGCTATAGGTTAAGCAGGATCCTGACACAGAGCAATCAGGAAAGCAAAGCCCTCTCCCCTTAAGGTGCCTACAATTTAGTGAAGACAAAAATAAGCAGACACATACATGCATATGAAGGCACGCAGTAACAAGCACTATGGAGAAAAATGAGACAGGCAAAGAGGACCAACAGTGCCTGGGCTGCTCTGGGAAGTCTTCACTTTGAACTCTGCCTTACGCTGAGTTGTGGACGACAAAGCTTCTCCTTTTCATGGAAAATTATCTCCTGGAGTCTCAAGCCCTTTCTTTGCTATCAGGAAGGCCAAATGAACCAGCAAGTGTCAGCATCATCGGAATAGAACAGAAAACTAAAAGAGTGAGGCTTTTTGCCCCCGGGATTCCAGCTCACGGCCCCCAGTGGAACATCCATGTCAATCTGACAATTGTAGGAATTCAGGGGACACAGGCCGGCACTGCTCTTTTCTGGTTTTATTTTATTTGGTTGACTCATCAATGTGTATAGTCAGTTACTTCATCCCAGAAAGTATTTTTGTATTGCTATAGTCTCCATGAGAAAAAATTTTGATTTGATATTAATCTAACAATAATTCTGGAAACTGAGCATGTGAAGCTAATATGGGTCTGTGCACAATTATGTGGCCATTTATTAAGACAAATGCCAGAGTATCTACCATAGGACACATCCTATGCCAGGCGCTGTGGAGAAACAGAGTCCCCAATCATGGGTTTTGCCTCACTGCGGCTTGGAGCCCACCAGGAGAGGGAAGACCTGCTCGATGTTACCAAGCCACATAGTAGGACCAGCTAGGCTTGAGCCTTAAGAGAGGTACTGACACATCACAAAGGCAGGAATGGCTTCAAGCTATGGGGATCAAGGCTGTCTTCACAGTGGCTGTTGAGCTGAGATGGAACCTACCAACCCATTGCTATGTGGCTGCTCTAGCTGGAAGAATGACCCATTCCCAGGCTGCGTAAGGAGCCCCGGCAAAATGTGTGCTGAGACCAACACATCTGGGGTGATGACACTCCAAGCCTGGGCAGCAAGTCCTCTGGCCTCCCCACCTCTCCTCTCTCCCCATTATTCAAAGCCACCCCGGGGTCCCACCTGGCCCCCGCACCAGCCTCCTCACCAGTCTTGCCGCTCTTGTCCCTGTGCTCTGAGTCTATCCTCCACACAGCAGCGAGGGCAATTGTTTAGAAACCTCCATCAGCATAAGCATCTCTTGTGTAACACCTTCAAATGACTTCACCCTTATGGCAAAATCTAAGCCCTCACCAATGCAAGCCCTCTTTGATCTGACCCCAGGCACTCCTCCAACCCCCCTGCCTACCACCTTCCCTTCCATCACTCAACTCCAGCCTCACTGTTCCCCCAAGCAAACCACTCTTACTCCTGCCCCAGGGCCTTTGCACGTGTTTCCTGCTCTCCCAAGAATACTGTTCCCCAGAAACCACATGGCGCTCTCCCTTACTTCTTCCAGACCTCTTGAAAGTCGTCTCCCTAGAGAGCCCTCCCAACCACCCCACCGAAATAGTCACCTTGACCTTCCTCCTCCCCAGTGTCTCCCATCAGCTGACTTCATGTATGTGCCCATCCTCTTAGCTATTGTCTATTTCCTTCACCAGCATGCACAGGCCACGAGCGCGCAGACTATTTTGTCTGTCTTGTTCAGTGCCTAGAATAGGCCTGGCACAGAGTGGGTGTTTAATGAGTGCTGTGGAATGACCCCACACAGGCGAGTGGGAGTATATTCAACATGCCTTTCCTCCCTGCTCTCATCAGCCCCCGTCAGCACTCGACTTCCTCGAAGGCTGAATGACTTCCAAATATCTATCTTTGGGCTGGACCTCTTATCTGAGTTCCAGGCTCAAATATCCAACTGCTTACTATATATTTCTGCTTGGATTCCTCAGAGCCTCCTTACCAGGATCTGGAACAGCTCTGCTCTTGACTCCTCCCCCGTGTTTCCACACACCGGTCTGCTCCCAGCATCCCTCATTTAGTGGATGGTGCCACCACCCACCTGCCGTGGAAGCCAGCCCTCGGAAAGTCTTTCTTGAGTCTACTTCCCCTCAGTGCCCCATCCAATCCATCACCCAAGCCTGCTTGGCTTTGCTCCATCTCCACAGCCATGACCCTCATCCAAGATGCCCACACGTCCCTCCTGCGCTGCTGGGCACACACAGGCCCCCCCCCACTGCACCGCTGGGCCCTCCGCCTGTTTTCCATGCGGTAGCCAGTGAGACCCTTTAAAGCACAACCCTGATCACGTCACTCCTGTGCTTGAATCTGTGGTTCACTTTCCTCTATGCTCGGGAGAAAGACTGGAATCCTTCATGTGGCTTCTACAAGGGGGGGATATTCAACCAGGACACAGCAGTACAGCTGTGCAGGTGTTAAATGCTGAAACGCTCCACTCCTCCAGGTCAGTGGCCACTGCCGCAGGCTCTTTTTTTTTTTTTTTTTTTTGAGACAGAGTCTTGCTCTGTTGCCCAAGCTGGAGTGCAGTGGCTCGATCTCGGCTCACCACAACCTCTGCCTCTTGGGTTCAAGAGATTCTCTTGCATCTCAGCTTCCCAAGTAGCTGGAATTACAGGTGCCTGCCATCATGCCCGGCTAATTTTTTATTTTAGTGGAGACTAAATAGTTCCATCATGTAGGCCAGGCTGGTCTCGAACACTTGACCTCAGGTGATCTGCCCACCTCGGCCTCCCAAAGTGCTGAGATTACAGGTATGAGCTATCGCGCCCGGCCTGCTGCAGGCTCTTAAGTACCCCATCCCTGCTGCTCTGGCCACTGTCCCCCTCCCCCAGACCCCTTCCCCTCAGTCAGCAACTACGGGGTTAACATCTGGTGCAGCTGGTTAGCACACACATGCATGCACACACACAGCTCTGGCCCAGGGGCACGCTGTCCCAGTTGTTTATAATTTCAACTTCTAGTTTAGATTCGGGGGTACCTGTGCAGGTTTGTTACATGAATGTACTGCATGACACTGAGGTTTGGAGGGCATATGATCCTGTCACCCAGGTAGTGAACACGGTACCCAATAGTTAGTTTTTCCACCCATGCCCTCCTCCCGCCCTCCCACACCCATAGTTCCCAGTGTCTCCTGTTCCCATCTTTACGTCCCTGTCTCTGTCGCTGAGTGTTGTGACTCTCGCCCCTACCTGTAAGCTCCAGCACAATCCCAGCTCCACCTTGCCTGGCTTCTCGTGCTGTCTGCACTGCACCCACTCTGGCCTTCCTTCAACCCTCTGCTCCTTTCTCTGCCTCTGGGGCTTTGCACAGGCTGCTCTCTAAGACCGGCATGTTCTCCCTTGCTTCACCTTATTTGCCTCTGCTCCTCCCTCACCTCAGCTGTCTCTTCCTCATGGTAGCCTTCTCTGACCTCTGACTCTAGGGCAGTCCTCTCATATACTCTCTGCCTTCCATTCATGGTTCCTAACATAGTTTTTGGTATGCATATCTGTTTGTGTCATTATTTGATTAATAGCTCTCACTGCCAATAGACTACAGTTCAGAACGGATAAGGAACGTGACTTTAAAATGAAATTATTCTATCCCTTCAGCCCAGCTCTCCATATACACGTGGAGATGCACAGGAAGTACATTAGACACAGGCATCTAAAGTGCAAACAATAAATTTTAAAATTGGCATTCACATAAGGGGGTTCCTGTATGCACACATGTGTGTGTTCTTACATATAAATTTCTTCTTTTCTGTAGACATGGTAATGATAATGATGATAGAACATTAGTAGACACAGTCTATACAACAAGGAACTGCCCTGAATATTCAGACATCTCTTATATAAGCCAAGAGTTCCTCTTTCCACGCTACTTAGAGTAATTACTTCCTATTATGGCAAACAGTACGCATTCTTTCCACAAAAACATACTATTTGAAAGTGTGTTACTTATGTAAGGATAAGTATTTGCCCTGTTACTGCCACCACAGTCCATCAGCTCAGAAGATTCAAGCCGAAAGCAAATTCTCTTGCCATGACCCCGGGACAAGAGCTTGCTTTTATGCGTGTTTTAAAGAGCAGAAAGCTCTAGTAGCATTAAGAGGCTGGCCCTGTGCACATTACGCAGATGCAGGATCGTCCCGCTGGGTGCATTCGTGGGTTTCATGCAGGCATGGGTTCAGCCACTGCAGTCCCTCCCCCACCACCAGGACTCTCCCTGCAACAGCAAAACCAAACTGCCCTGTGCAACCAGAATGAGGTTCAGGGAACCCTGACCAGCTCCTTTCCAGGCGCAGCCACCTGCAGCTACCTGTTCTGCTCAGCCACAGACCATAAAACAGGGACCAACAGGGCCACATCTGGCAGCTGTGGGAATTAACCAGCAGCAAGGGGCTTTGCACTTGGTGTGTCCTGTCTTTCGTTCCCTTCTGACGCTCATTTCATAACTTGTGGCAGTGTCCTCTTTAAGAGAGAGGCCAGGCTTAGCCAGGACTGCAGTCTTGAGTCTGAGGCAGGAGCCTCCCCTCAGCCTGAAGCAGGGCTGACAGCCACTTGTCACTGGCGCTGAGCCAATCGGAAATGGTGTCAATAAAGTGCAAATAATACCTCGGTGCTTGCTGCTCTCTGAGCCCAAAACGAACCGAAGAGGTGCTCTGAGGAGAGAAGGCAGAGTGACAAGGCAGTTACACCCAAGGCCTCTCCAACGGGAGACCAATCAGGACACAGCTATTCCCTGGTGGCATCAAAATCTTCCAATTTCACACAGAAAATGAGCCCTGGCTCAAGTCTAACACACGTTCAGTTGTCCCCATTTCAGCTGAATGGATTCCTTTGAGAGCTAGAATCTTAACCCTTGGAAGGCCTCTGAAGGTGTGATTCACCTCCGCTGAGAACTGCACTGCGGAGAAACACATCTGCAATTCTCCAGCCACAGTAAGAACAAAGAAAGCCTCCAGGTGTGCATCTCTGCAAGCCCAAGAATGCATCCCAGGTGGAGAGAGCGAGCAACCCACCCTGCCTATGGGGGGCTGGGGCAACACAGCTGCAGCCTGTGCAGCTGCTTCTGGAGGTGCAGTGCTAAGAAGGTCCCAGACCCTGTCTCCTGAACAACTCTCACACCAAGACTCTCACCCTGCCTCCAGGCTTTGCTGCATCCACCTCTTGGCATCAAAAAATGGGCTGAGTTTCAACCTGCTATGCAAAGGCCAGCCTGGCAGATGCTTTGTTAGAACCACCACAATGTCCTCTGGGCTGTGGATATGTGGATGTTGGCATTTCTGGGTGGAGGGATGAGAAAAGGGGCGGGGGGCCTGGTCCTTCATCCAGTTTGCAAATTCCAGTCAGGTCCACATACCTCACTTTCCCTCTGAAGTGCACTGCCAGGGTCTTTGCTTCTTATCACACACCTACTTCTGTTTCCCATCACATACCATACTGCTCCATTCTTTCTGATCTTTTAGCTGTGAATTTCTGCCACTGCAAGACCAACTGAATCCAAATGGGGTCTTAGCCCTAGGAATGGAGGCAGGTAGTATTTTGCATTTTATTTATTTATTTATTTATTTTATTTATTTATTTAAGACAGAGTTTCACTCTGTTGCCCAGGCTGGAGTGTAGTGGCACGACGATCTCGGCTCACTGCAACCTCCGCCTCCTGGGTTCTAGCGATTCTTCTGCCTCAGCTTCCCAAATAGCTGGGACTATAGGCACGCACCACCATGCCCGGCTAATTTTAGTATTTTTAGTAGAGACAGGGCTTCACCATATTGGCCAGGCTAGTCTCGAACTTCTGACCTCGTGATCTGCCTGCCTCGGCCTCCTAAAGTGCTGGGATTACAGGTGTGAGCCACCGCGCCCGGTCTATTTTATTTTATTTCTGAGATGGAGTCTCGCTCTGTCACCCAGGCTGGAGTGCAATGGCATGATCTCGGCTCACTGCAACCTCCGCCTCCTGGGTTCAAGCAATTCTCCTGTCTCAGCCTCCCAAGTAGCTGGGATTACAGGCATGCACCACCATGCCCGGCTAATTTTTGTACTTTTAATAGAGATGGGGTTTCTCCACGATGGCCAGGCTGGTCTCGAACTGCTGAGCTCAGGTGATCCGCCCACCTCAGCCTCCTGGAGTGCTGGCATTACAGGCATGAGCCACTACACCGGATAGTATTTTGCATTTTAAACAGGGGCAGGATGGATAGGGAAACAGTAGATGAGGGGGTAGGACAGAGGCATGTCGCCCATGGAAAACCTAACCTACGTTCAGAAAATCTGGCCCTGCTGGCTTGGAAAAGTCACCCAAGCCACTAAAGTACAGAGGAACCATGAAGACACTATGCTAAATAAAAGAAGCCAATCTCAAAAGTACAAATATAGCAGGATTCCGTTTCTGTGAGGTCCCTATAGTAGTAAAATTCGTAGAGACTGGAAGTTGAAGGGTGGCCACCAGGGGCTGGGGAGTAGTCGGAAATGGGGCGTTAGTGTTTAAAGAGAACAGAGTTTCAGTTTTGCAACATGAAAAGAGTTCTGGAGATGGATGATGATTACAGGATAATATGAATGGACTTAATCCCATTGAACTGTACGCCGAAAAATGGTTAAGACAGGAAATTCTATGCTGCATATCTGACCACAATTAAACACACATTTTTAATGGCTAAGATGGTTTTTAAAAAGTCGCAATGGATAACTGTATTCTAAATTAGAAACAATTAGCATGTGTAACTAAACAACTTAATTGGCAGGCAAATATCTACAAACAAACAAAACCTGTCACCAATCCACAAGCCCAAGCCACACACCTGTTCCCTTCCTGGAGGGTCATTGCCTCTCTATTTAGTTAGTTCCTGGATCTTTGGCTCCAAGCCCGAGTCTCTGCCCTCCAACCCAACCCAAACACATTTTGTTTCCTCGCCAGCCCCTTCTGAAGCTAAGGCTTGGCTGTGTCACTCAGGAGCCCTGGAGAGCCAGCCTCTGCACCAGCCCCACCATCCTCAACCCGAGCCCACTCGCCTTTGTCAGCACCTAACACAAGCGGGGCCTCGTTCCTCGACTTTCTTCTCAGGCTAGCCGAGAACCCACACAGACTGCTGGTGGACAAAGGAGACTGAACATCCCCACTGACACAGCATCTTTCAAAGGCTCTTCCTCCTGCCCCAATTCAAAGGCCACATATTCTAAGACAACAGCGGGAATCAATTGCAACTTCTAAGCGAGGAGACCGCAGGGGATCTGTGCGGGCCTCGCCCACACTGTTCAGGCATCAGCCCTTCTCTGTGGGGCCCTGGGCCACGGCAGGAGTGGAAACAGCAAGGTTAGGGCCTTCCACAGGCAGGAGCCCTGGGGGAGTTTTGAGGCCACTGAGAAAAGGTTAATAGAGGCAGTTTCAAAGCTCTCAGGAAATGGCATCAGGCAAGAGCTACTCTTCAGAGACAACAGGCCTGCCTCCATCCCACTTACCTGGTTACAGGTGTTAATATCTACCCCATTCCGCAGGTGATCCAAAGCTTTGTCCAAGTTACCTGATCTTGCTGCTCTCAGAAAGCTGGTAGCAGCATCGGCCTGTGAGGAAAAACAACAGGCGGTGAGTGTCCTGGGTGTATTAATGACTTCTCCACCCCGTTCAAGTCCCAGGCCCCCGCAGCAGCCCCTGCATCCTCTGATGTGGCACCCTGGTGCCCACAGTGACACCAGGTGTGCACAGGAGCCTGAGAGCCCCTGGTTGGACTGCCTTCACACCCAGGCCTCCCTTCCTTTGGTTTTTTGTTTTTTGTTTTGTTTTGTTAAGAGAGAGTGTTGCTCTGCCACTCAGGCTGCTGGAGTGCAGTGGCACAAGCGCAGTTCACTGCAGCCTTGAATTCCTGGGCTCAAGAGATCCTCCCAAGTAGCTGGGACTACAGGTGTGTACCACCAAGCCCAACTATTTTTTTAAACTTTTTTTTTTTTTATAGAGACAGGGCATCACTATGTTGCTCAGGCTGGTCTCAAACTCCTGAGCTCAAGCGATCCTTCCACCTTGGCCTCCCAAAGTGTTGGGATTACAGGCATGAGCCACCGTGCCTGGCCCCCTTTTGGTATTTTTATAAGCAAACGTTCTTGGCTTGGACTCAGGAAGAATCAGCCTTTGAGGGGGAGCCCATTCCTATGGCAAGCGCACAGCACAGCCTGGTGTCTCCCTGCTCTGAGGTTTCAGGGGCTCCACAGTCTTGCTGAAGAGTTTGCAATATCACAGAGGTCCCTGGCCCCAAGAATCATGAATGCAGGCACCAAAGGAACCAAGCGTGGGCTCTTTGGAGCTGTTTTGTGTTTTTGTTTCTATTTGTCTGTTTTTCCTTTTTAGAGATGGGGTCTCACTATGTTCCCCAGGATGGTCTCGAACTCCTGGGCTCAAGCAATCCTCCTGCCCCGGCCTCTGAAAGTGCTGGGATTACAGGCATAAGCCACCATACCCAGCCCTGTGTTTTTGTTAAGTAAACAAACAGCTATGTGCTGTCAAGTAAACAGCACATAGCACTTACTATGTGCTAAGAGCCATTATTAGCACTTTACATATACAGTCAAGCCCATTTATTCAACCAACTGTGGATGGAAAATTTGCAGGAAAAAAATTAAAAATAACAATACTAAAATAAAAAGTAATACTAACAGAAGGCTGGGCGTGGTGGCTCAAACCTGTAATCCCAGCACTTTGGGAGGCCAAAGCAGGTGGATCACGAGGTCAAGAGACAGAGACAATCCTGGCCACCATGGTGAAACCCCATCTCTACTAAAAATACAAAAATTAGCTGGGCTTGGTGACGTGCACCTGTAGTCCCAGCTACTCAGGAGGCTGAGGCAGGAGAATCGCTTGAACCCGGGAGGTGGAGGTTGCAGTGAGCCGAGATCGCACCACTCCACTCCAGCCTGGTGACAAAGCAAGACTCCGTCTCAAAAACAAACAAACAAACAAAAAAACCCAGTAATACAGAAAAGCAATGCTGTACAACAATTATTTACAAAGCACTTACATTAGGTATTATAAGTAATCTAGAGATGATTTAAAGTATATATGACGATGTGGGTAGGTTATATGCAAACACTATATCACTTTACATGAGGTACTTGAGGATCTGTGGATTTTGGTATCTACAGGGGGTTCTGGAACCAATCCCCCACAGATACCGAAGGATGACTATAATATATATTCACACACATGCACACGCACAGATAAGCATTTTATCCTCATTTGGAATACCCAAGAGGTAAGTGGGATTGCAGAGTCCCATTTTACAGATGAGTGGGCTGAGGCACAGAGAGCAGAAGTGCCTTGTGCAGCATCCCACAGCAGGGAGGAGGCACAGCCAGGACTCAGATGCAGGTAGTGTGGCTCAGAAATTCATGAGCCGAACCTCCCAGCTCTGCAGCCAGCTCGGTCTCAGCTTTAACACCAGGCGCCCCCCAACAGATTTCTTAAATGAGAGTGAAGCTCTTCTGTTCCTTAGCTGCTGCTACGTCACCCACCCCATGCATCTCAGACCTTGCCCCCAGGAACATCTGTTTCCTTTAAAGATGAGTGACAGCCAGAGAGGGTGAGAGCTGAGGACAATAAAATAAAGTTTACTAATTGATATGGTTTGGCTGTGTCACCACCCAAATCTCATCTTGAATTGTAGCTCCCATAATTCCCACGTGCCCTGGGAGGGATCTGGTGGGAGGTACTTGAATCATGGGGGCTGGTTTTTCCCATGCTGTTCCCATGAAAGTGAATAAGTCTCATGAGATCTGATAGTTTTAAAAAGAAGAGACCCCCCTGCACATACTCTCTTGCCTGCTGCCATGTAAGACATGCCTTTGCTCTTCCTTCATCTTCTGCCATGATTGTAAGGCCTCCCCAGCCACGTTGGACTGTGAGTCCATTAAACCTCTTTCCTTTATAAATTACCCAGTCTCGGGTACATCTTTATTAGCAGTGTGAGAACAGACTAATACACTCACAAAGACAAATGTAATGATTAAAGCCCAGTCCTCAGGCATTGGAGTCCGTGGCCTAGACTCAGAGCCACTCCACTGGGTCTAGCTGAGTGCCCTCAGGTACTTAGACACCGTTGGCTTCTATTTCCTTATTTGTAAGCTGGGGAGAGTAAAGCCTTTCTTGTCCCCTTTTCATGATGCTTAAAAGAAATAAACAGTGTTTGGCACATAGTTGCATACAAGGCTGAGTTGAAAGGGTGAGAGTGGTCATATGACAAGCCACACATGGGAGAAGCGTGTGACGCCATTCCCACAGAAGACCCACAGTGGCTTCCTCTCCACCCAGGCACTTTGTCTCCTTCCTCTACATGCCCTCCTAAAAAAAACATGCTGCAGTGGGCTGAATGGTGCCCCCCAAAAGATATGTCCACACTCTTATCCCTGGAACCTGTGAAGGTGACCTTATTTGAAAAAAAAGTCTTTGTAGATGTAATTAAGTCATGGATCTTGAGACGAGATCATCCTAGATTACCTAGGCTGGCCCTAAATTCAATGACAAGTGTCCTTAGAAAAGACAGAAAAGGAGAAGACACACATGCACACACACACACACACACATGCATGCACATATATGTGTATGCACACATGCACACACAGATGCATGCGCACACACACAGATTCACACACACACACACAGATGTGTGCACACAAATCTACACATACACACCCATACACAGACGTGTGTGCACACACATGCACACCAAGAGATGCATACACACACACGCACACACATGCACAGATACACACACCTGCACACATACACATGCACATACAGAGACCTGTGTGCACACACACACACACACATGTTCACACACACGTATACACACACACAGAGGTGAAACTATGTGAAGACAGAGCCAGAGACTGGAGTGACTTTAGCCATGCACAAGGAAGCAAGGAACCTCTGGGAGGTGGAGGCTCATAGAAGAAGGCCCTGAAGCCCTGGAGGGAGTGTGTCCCTGTGGAGGCCTTAATTTAGATCTCCAGCCTCCAGACAGCGAGAGAACACATTTCCGTAGTGTCAAGCCACTAAGTGTGTGGCGATTTGTTACAGCAACCATGGGAAACTCATGCACACACTAGTGATGACCACCCTTGAACACCCTTGAACACAGAAGACTCCAAATCTACAGCCGAAGACCAAATGGAACTCTCATCCTCCTCCACAAAGCAGCGCTTCACGTCTTCACCACTGAAACAGGGAGTCCCTAGGGCATCAGCAGTAGGGTTCTCCAGCCTTCCAGACAGGGGGTCCTCCCTCCACACTCAGGTGCTGCCCCACACCACCTCCCAGCCCCCACCCACAACCCCAGGCCTGCAGAAATGCTGCTTCCTCGCTCTGCCTCCCAGCCAACCTCCTCCATCCCTGCCTCACCCAGCCAACCTCCTCCATCCCTGCCTAACTGGTCTTCCCCAAATCCTGACTTCCTGCCAGCCCTCCCCAACCTCAGGTCCCACATGGGCCCCCTATGATGTAAGCTCAAGTTCAAGTCCAAGCCCTGTGGCTGTCTGTTCATGAGGCACACTCATCTCGCTGTCCCCACAGCGGCAGGAGCCCCTTCTCACCTCCCTTGTCCTCTGTGACATTCTCATGCTCTGTCTACCTCCTAGCCTGCACCTTCCTCCTCCCTGGGCCCTGAAGCTCCATCTCCCTCTGGTTTGCTACTTCCAATCTTTCTTCCCTTCAAGGCCCTGATGGTGGCTACTTCCTGCATGAATGACACTATGCTTAGACACTCAGTATTTGCCATCTTTAAATCTAGGAACCACAAAACAGGAGCTTGTTTTTTTTTTAATGCACTTAAAATATCTCTTTCTCTAGCTATTGAATTCAGGCAAGTCTTGTCTCCCCAGCCAAACTGTTTGCTTCTTGGGGCAGGGACCAAGTCTTCTATCTCTTTTGAATCCTCCAAAGCATTAAGTGTCTGCTAGGGCGAGGCCTCCCTTGACCTAAAGCACATGGCATTCACATCCTAGGTTCCTCAGCAAGGCATCTGTGGGGCAGGAAATATTTCAGAAATGAAGATCAAGCTGTTGGCTCTCCAGGCATGAGCTGGGTTTCCAGAGAAAACCCAGTCAAGGTTTAGTCTCTCAGATAAATGTTACTTATGCTACTGATTCAGAAAGTCTGTCTAGATTCAGTTATTAGGAAAAACACTATATTATTCCCCAAGAATAAGAATGTTAAAGAGACATTTCTCCCACCAATTAACTACCGTTTATGGCACAATAATAGGATTCAGGCTGAAAACCTGAGAATGGGTGGATAAAAATAGACTCAATATCCACTAATGACACTGACTGCTCAAAGCACTGAATCCAGGAAGAAAAGAAGAATATTTATGACAAACTGGCAGGGCGTGGTGGTTCCTGTAATCTCAGCACTTTGGGAGGCCAAGGCAGATGGATCACTTGAGGCCAGGAATTAGAGACCAGCCTGGTCAACATGGTGAAACCACATCTCTATTAAAAATAGAAAAAGTAGCCGGGCATGGTGGTGCATGCCTGTAATCCCAGTTACTTGGGAGGGTGAGGCAGAAGAATCACTTGGACCTGGGAGGCAGTTTGCAGTGAGCTGAGATTGCGGCACTGCACTCCAGCCTGGGCGACAGAGAGAGACTCTGTCTCAAAAAAAAAAAAAAAATTTATGACAGACAAGCACATAAATAGAGGGTAAGGGAAGCTCCATATGGACTAGATTGAGGAAAGCTAAACCATTTCTGTTGTTGCCATAATAGAATACTAAAATTATAATACCAACCATTGGGACAAATGTATTACCAGCATTATATCTTTTAATTCTTATAACAACCTGTGGGTAGGTATAATTATTATCCCCATTTTAGAGGTGATGAAACTGAGGTTTTGAGAGGTTAATAACTTGCCCAAGTTCTGCAGATAAATACTTGGGGTGATTCAATCCAGGGGTACCCCACTGAAGTCTATGCCTTTCCACTGCCCTTGACCCCAAGGGCGTTCTTGGCCATTTCAAGCCTGAGGGTGTTCAGGCAGCCCTGACAGGCTGGCGGCTGGGCAGGCCTATATGCCTCGGCCGTTAAAGAGCTAATCCATGGCAGAGGAAAAATGCTAGGAGGTCCCACTCAGGCTCTGTCCCTGAGCACTCTATTCAGACCAAGACAGGTCTCTAGAAGGGAACCATCTAGTTCCAGCCCTTCTTGTCACTGAGGATAAAATTGAGGCCCAGGGAAGTAAAGTGACCGGCTAAGGTCACCTAGATAGTTAGCAGTGAAGTGCAATTGCTAAAGCTTTTTCTTTCTTTCTTCTTTCTTTTTTTCTTTTTTTCTTTTTTTTTTTTTTTTTTTTTTTTTGGGCTTCTCCAGGCATAGAGTAGTCAGGACTCTGCAGGATCCTCAGGGCATCTGGGAGGTGAACTGCAGATAATGATGCCACTCCCAGTAGCAACTACACATCATTCAGTTTAATTCCACAATGTATTTACTGGGGTCCTATTTCAGGACCAATATCCTGCTAGGGCAAAGAGAGAATAATCACTCAGAATATAGGTCCTTGCTCTCTTGATCTGAATAATCAAGCAATTGTGTTATAAAGCGGTCATGTGCATTGCATGCACCTGTGGATCCATTCCATGAGTATTCATTGAGAACCTCCTAGGGGCCAGGCAATATTTCAGCTACAGAGCAAATGGCCCTTGTTGGGATATGAGACTCATCTTTACCATCGTGTTCTGCTGAGCCCCTACTGCCCATCTGTGTAGTCCAACTGCTCCAATTCAATGACCTGTCCTCAGTACATCCAGCAAATGCAACAGGGCAGGAGGCGTGTCCAAAGAATCCAATGTGTTCCATTCAAAACATTTACCTGAGCACATACTGACCCAAAAAACAACAGCAACAAAATACAAACCTGACCATCTCTGGGCTATGACAAACCGGAGCAGAATGACTGGCCCTCTCCAAGGCTCATCCATTCCCAGATCAGGAGGCCAGGAGGCCTGCTCATCCTATACAGAAAACTACCCCACCGTGTCCACAAGCCCTGGCCACCAGTGAGGTGCTGGCACCTCTGTTGTGCACCCCACCAAAGCTGTCTTCTGGTGTCTCTTCCCCTCCTCATCTCTAGCTTCGTTTTAATCTAATTCTACCTGTGTGCGTGTTCGGGGATCTGCACACAGCAGACATTCTGCTGTGCCTGCATCCCTGCTGCCTAATCAATGTGATGTCCCTGAACTTCCTTTCAAAACAAAACAAGTTTACTTTCACAAAGCTCTCCCTAGGTTTTAAACACACCACATAAATTAATTCACTCCCTCCTCAGAATAATCTCACAAGGCACGTGTTTTGTTATCTCCTTTTTATAGATGAAGTGACCAAGTCACAGAAAAGTAACTTGTCCAAAGTCACATAGCTAATATGTAGCATGGCCAGGATTTGAGTCTAGGTAGCATACTTCTTAACTATTGTGCTATACCGCTTCCTGGGTCAATCATTTCCCTTCCTTCCTTCCTTCTTTCCTTCCTTCCTTCTTTGCCTCCTTCCCTCCTTCCTTCCTTCTCTTTTTCTCTCTCTCTCTTTCTCTCTTTCCTTCTTCCTTCCTTTCCTTTCTTTTCCTTTCTTTCTTTCTTTCTTTTTCTTTCTCTTTTTTTCTCTTTCTTTCTTTTTCTCTCTCTCTCTTCTCCATTTCTTTCTTTCAAGACAGAGTCTCCCTCTTTCTTCCAGAGTGGTCCCCCAGTGGTGCAGTTATAGCTCACTGCAGCCTCAAAGTCCTGGGCTCAAGAGATCCTCCTGCGTCAACACCCCCTTCCCCCGAATAGCTGAAACTACAGGCGTGCACCACCACACCTGGCTAATTTCTTTATTTTTTGTAGAGATAAAGTCTCCCTATGTTGCCCAGGCTGGTCTTGAACTCCTGGCCTCAAGCAATCTTCCCACCTCCACCTCCCAAAATGCTGGGATTACAAGCATGCGCCACTGTGCTGGCCTAATCATTTTCTAGTGCTCATAAGGGTCCTCTCCAGTTCAGCTCTGGCTGGAGAAAGCCTTCTGCCTGGGTTTGGAGGCTGTGCCCACGTCAGGAGAAAGGGAATGGAAGAGAAGGAAGGGAACAGAATTCTTCCTAGGAATTAAGTTCTCATCAGGACTGCTCTGAAAGGGTGGTGAATCCTGGTTACCTGAGACACCCAGACTATTATTAAACTTGCACTTCCTGAGCAGATACTAATATAGCAATAGATGGGGTGCGAGGGGGCTCCAGTATCCTGAGAGGGAGGGGCCGGAAGCACGCTGCAGAATGTCAACATGCTGTCACCCATGAGCAGGGGACATTGGGAAACACCAGCAGGCAGACCCAGGTGAGAGAACCCCAGGGCCTCCTCACACCTTCTCTGGGGGTTGGGGTGGCCTAAGTTTTCCCTAGGACAAATCATGACTGACCTCAAGATTTTTAGTACAAAATTCCTATCTAGAAAGGCGAATGGAAACTGAGCTAATATCAATTGCTGTAAACAGTCATAAGGCAATGCCACTTTCCCAAGGGGTCTTGTTGGAGCAAAATGCAGCTTCTTTAACGCAGCCACTGTCAGAGCTCTCAGGAAGAGATTTCAGGTCCTTTCCTGGGGGACCTGCAGCCCAGCCAGAAGACAGGCAGCAGCCCTGATGTGGAGCTGTCTGCTTGTGCTTGGGGGATCTGAGAGCCGCACTGGGGTATGAGGAAAGACAGCTGTCCCCAGCCAGCATAGCCTGGTAGCCCTGCCTTTACTCCCTTGACGATGGAGAAACAGAGGTGAACACTGGGCCCTAGTGAGTGTGTGTTTTATTATGTTTCTTTCCTTTTGCCTTCCAGAAAGGTGTGCTGTTACAGCTTTACAAACTGTCTCCAGGCTCCCCAGTCTGACTACCATTGGCAAAAATAAAATGAATAAGTTAAAGGTGTCACTGAGGAAACAAGACGCCTGAGCGGAAGTGCTGGGCTCCCTCTTAATCTCTCAACCCGAACTCGGGACATTGGGAAAACCCCTGGGGTTCCCTGTGCTGTCTGCACCCGACCCTGGAGGCTGGGCAGGGTGGGCTGGGACGTCACTGGGGAAGACCTGGCTGAGATGCACTGCTCGACCACTTGATGCTGTGCTCATCTAAGGCCCCAAACCTCCATTTCCCCATTGCTAAAATGGGGATCTTGCCAGGGGGCTGCGAGAATCGAAGGGGACAGCGGCAGAGAGCTCCAGGCTTGCCAGGGCGCCCAACAGGTCTGCCTTCCTCTGCCCCATTCATTTCCTGCTACCTGGGGGCCTCCGGGCGCCTCACGTTTCTGAGTTTTAGGGGCCAGACGTGCCGCAAGCCAGGTCCCCGCCCGGCCCAAGGCCGTGCATCTCCCACCCCCTGCTGAATCTACCCGGCCAGGCTGTCCCCTGGGGTGAGGGGACTTGGCCTCGGCCAGGGCCCGGCCCCCCTCGGGGCACCCCGGCGGCGGCTCCACGCTCCCGCCCGTGCCCCTCTTCCAGGCCGGCCACAAGTCCCGCTGCCTCCCAACCCCGGCTCCAGCCCCTCCGCGGCCGCAGCCTTCAGGCCAGAGGAATTTTCCTCTGGATCCTGCTAGAAGCCTCGGCAGCAGAAGGGCAGCCCCAGCGCGCGCACCCGCACCCGCCGGGGAAAGTTGGCGCCGGGCAGCCGGGCGCGGAGCCACAACCCGCAGGACGGACGCAGAGCCCCGGCCCCGGCCCCGGCCCCGATCCCCGCGCCCCGGCCCCGGCCGGGCAACCGCGACAGCTCGTGCACTCACCGCAGGGTCTGGCCCGGACCTGCCCTGTCGCGCTGCCATCGTCCGGCGCCCGCGCTGAAATCCGAGCCCGGCTCCCGCTCCCCCTCCCGGTTATCTGCTGGGCGGCGCGGGGAGCGCCAGCAAGTTACGCGGCATCTGGCTAAAAATACAGGCGCCCTCCACTCGCCCCGGCCCGGCCCTGGCCCTGCGCTCTCCCGCCCGCCAGCCTGCCGCTAATGGGATCTCTTCATTTTCTCTCCATGATTATGTCAGATGGGAAAGTTAATGCGAAGCGCTCTCCGGAGAGCAGGCACCTGCTGCCAAGCCCTGCGAAGGGGGTGCGCGCGGGGGCGCGGGCGGGGGTGCAGCCCCAGCTGCAGGTGCCGGCCGGCGGGCTCGGGGCGGGCGTCCTGCCCCTGCGGAGGGGAGGCACACACGTCCAGTGGAGGTGAGGAGCTCCAAGCTGCATGGCCTCCCTCCCTGCCTCCCGCCTCCCCGAATGCCCTGGTGAATGGGCCCCGGAGCTTGCCGAGACGTGGCCGGGGTGAGCTCAGCAAACTCTATTTATGCCCCATAACCGATTTGCATGTTTTGAGCTCTTCCATCGTGTCGTGAGATACCAGTTAATCAGCCTATTCCAGATTCTGCCTGAGAGCCGCCAGACGCAGCTGGGTTGCAGGAGGGCAGAGCTGTCACTCCCCGCTGCCTCCCGCACTGCTCTGACGCTGGCGGTTAACTAGCGTCACCCGAGGCTGTGTCCGTGCAGTAAGCAACCAGTGTTCTGTCCTGGGACCACTATCACCCTTTCATGCAGTCATTTCAGGGGCAGATGTCAAAACCCATGTTTGGGATTTTGGAGAAGACTAGGGGTGACATCATCAAGAGTAGGCTCAATTCAGAGGGATGAGGGAACCGTAAGTAAAAGCAGTGTCAGGTAACTGGGCCCCTGGCAATATGGCTTGTTCAGATCATAGGTGTTTTGTATCATAAGCCGGCTTCTTGCTGGCTTCAAGTCACAGTCAAGACACAATACCAAATGCTCTTTTCCTCTCCCGCTGTCCCCTGACATTGTACAGTACAGCTGCGCGTTGGTGAGGAACTAGCACGCTCAGCGCCTATTAGCTGATGGACATACTGCATTATCTCATTTAATCCTCACAGCCACCCATAAGGTAGGCAACACTACTACAGTTGGATAAATGAAGAAACTGAGCCCAGGGAGGTAATGGGTGGAGACCAAGGTCACCACTAGTAAATGGTGGGTCCAACTGGTTCTAAGCCAAATTGATCCAAAGCCCTGCCACTGGCCGCACCAGCAAGATTCCTAACAATAGTGTACTCAGCGCCAGGAAGAGATAATGTGGGGGATGATCTTGAAGGATCATAATCCCAGCATTTTGGGAGGCTGAGGCGGGGGGATTGCTTGAGGCCAGGAGTTCAAGACCAGCTTGGGCAACATAGTGAGACCCCCTGTCTCCACAAAAAAAAAAAAAAAAATTAATTAGCCAGGCAAGGTGGCACATGCCTGTAGTCCTGGCTACTCAGGAGGCTGTGACAGGAGGATCACCTGAGCCCAGGAGTTGGAGGCTGCAGTGAGCTATGATTGCAACACTGCGCTCCAGCCCAGGTGACAAGAGTGAGACCCTGTCTCTAAAAAAATAAAAATTAAAAAAGAAGAAAATACTGTGAGAGTGTGTTACAAAGCCAGGTACGCTTCAAAGCTATGCAGCAATCAGGGGGCATCCCAAGGAAGTGGGATAATCAAAGATCAAGAGAAAAGGCCAGGGTGTTGCCAAAAAGAGGGATCTGAAATGTAATAATACAACTCCTCCCCATGGGGGTTAAAAAACTGGTATTTGAAGATGACAATGTGAGAATTCTCCAGGCATAAGATCCTCCACAGCACTGGGGCTGAACTTGAGGATGGGCACCCTCTCGAAGGCAGCAGCCTGTCTGGATGTAAGTCACACAGCCCCTTCCCTCCCCAGGCACATGCTGCTAAAGCCCAGCTCACCCTCCAGGTCTCTCGCCTTGTACCTCTGAAAACCACCTTCCAGATTTGCTAGAATCCTCTACACAGAGAACTCCAATTAATAAATGATGGTTACTGGAACATCCCTGATCACAGCCCAGTGGAATATCTCAAGGGATTCTAATGCACTGTTCCAACATTAATATTTAGAGAGAGAGAGAGAAAATTCCCCGCTCAGATGAGTAAATAATATATATAATACTTTTAAAAACACGAATGCAATTGACTTGCACAATGAACTGAAAGAGATACTATTTTTTAGCAACTATTTGAGGATTAATTGACACACTACGAGTTGCACATTTAAAATGTACAATTTGCTAAGTTTTGGCATATGTATATCCCTGAAACCATGGCCACATAAGATAATGGGCATAATCACCTCCAAAAGTTTCCTCATGCCTCTTGGTATTCCCTGCCTCCTGCCGGCCAGTCCACATCCTTGTCAAGACTTGGTATGATCTGTCTTAATTCAGACATCCTAATAGATGCACCACATGGCTAATTAAAAAAAATTTTTTGTAGAGAAGGGGTCTGTTGCATTTCCCCAATAACTGATAATATTAAACACCTTTTTCAGGTGCTTATCTGCCATCTATATATCTTCTTTTTTTTTTCTTTTTTCTTTTTTTTTTTTTTTTTTTTTGAGGAAGAGTTTAGCTCTTGTTGCCCAGGCTGGAGTGCAATGGCATGATCTTGGCTCACTGCAACCCCCGCCTCCCAGGTTCAAGCGATTCTCCTGCCTCAGACTCCTGAGTAGCTGGGATTACAGGCATGCACCAACATGCCCAGCTAATTTTGTATTTTTTTAGTAGAGATGGGATTTCTCCATGTTGGTCAGGCTGGTCTTGAACTCCTGACCTCAGGTGCTCTGCCCGCCTCGGCCTCCCATGTTGTTGGGATTACGGGCGTGAGCCACTGCGCCCAGCTTATATATCTTCTTTGGTGATACATCTGTTCAAATCTTTTGTCCATTTTTAAGTTGGAATGTTTGTTTTCTTATTGAGTTTTGAGAGTTCTATCTATACAGAATATCTGTCTTAAAGGTGAGATAAACAGATCTTACAAGTAAAATATTCAAAGCTCAGTAGCAAAACATTCCCAGTCGCATTTTGGTACTCGGTTCTTATAATTCTTAAGCTGTATCTTTCTTCATATTATACAACGCTGTGGGTTATATACAATCACAAATTAAAAGATGTGATAGTCATAGTGGACCAGAAGCTGAATACAACCCACAGCACTCTGAGTGTAATGGGAAAGATGCTGAAGTATTATCAGAGGACTTTAGTTCTCAGAACTGCCAAGAATTCTTGACATTAGTCATGACCTCCTTAGGGTTGAGGCTTTGAAAAACTTAGGCAGGCGATGAGTCAGGCAAGGCCCAAGAGGAGGAGAAAGAACACAACTACAAACATGTTGCTCAGTGAGGCCTGAGGCTAAAGGAGCTGAGATGATAAAGCTAAGGGAGAGAGCCCTTGAAACATAAATTCCAGCACTGCAGCCTGGAATGCCACATTGGAGCTAATTATATGGTGCCCAGTCCCAGGTGTGGTGGCCTGCCACCAGGACTGAATTCTAAATGTCTCCCAGGCAGAGACAGCTTGGTTCTCATGTTCCAAATTCCCAGTCCCTCTCCCTTGCTTTCCCCACCTACTCCTCTATGTGACTGGCACAGTGCCGGGCAGTGCTAAACACAGTGATTACTGACTGGTGTTAGAAGAATGATGTCCCCAACACTTCCATGAGTCATAAAGAAACTGTAAGTCTTGGGGTTCAATTGCTATGGAAAAGATTTAGATTCCACAGAAAGAACTTTCCAGCTATAAGAGATACGTGACTTAATAGAACTCTTTATTCAGAAAGGGTTTAATCTTTGCAGGAGATCCTTCAGGATGGCAGAAAAAAAAAACCTCAACATTTGATCTGGCATATAGACCACTGGGTAAGCTGTACGACTTGGAAGGGTCTCTTTGGGCCCTAGGGATTCAGAAAGCTAAACTATTGTTCTTTTCCCCATAACTGACTGTCCCCTCAACCTTCCATCACAACCACACCCTTAGACCACAAATAATCATCCTGCTTCTCCATCTGCATTTTGTTCATACTTCAAGGCTGCACGTTTTAACGTAGGCATTTAGTGTGCTAAGAACTTGCTAGTGAGATCAAAACAAACCACCAGAAAGGAATTGATGGGCTGAAGAAAAGGCTAAAGACTCTCGGCAGACACAGGCCACTGTTCTAGCCTGTAGCTTCATGGAGTCTTCAGGCTTTTCCCGTCTTGCTAAATATTTTACCTACTGTCTCCTTGCAGGTCTCTCTGCAGACAAGCATAATGAAAAGCTGGAGGCCTCGCCTGTGGGGTTCTGTCCTCTGGGCCACATGCAGCTATGCCAAGCAGGGATGATGTGGGAGAGAAGAAAGGGAAGAAATAGACTATGCAGCACTTAAACCCCCAGCTCGCTCCTGGCTTGATGCAGTGGGCTGTTCTCAGTATAGACAGGGACTCTGGGACACTTGATGGGCTGCTGCTGCTGTCAATTCCTGCAGGGATTTCACGAGCTGGAAGAACACAAGCCTGCAGCAAAGAATCCCATGCGAGTGGGATTCTCAGGCGACTCTGCCTCCCCAGGATGATTTGGGAGAACAGGTCCGGGCTGCTTCAAATGGTGGCCAGTCAGAGACATGAAGTGGCTCCTCTCTACAGGGACATCAGAGCTGAGATCAGGGCAGCCCCAGGATTCGAGAGAAGGGCATCCTGGCAGCTCAGGCCCTGTGGCAATGACCGTCGCGCTTAACCCTCCTATGCAATCAACTCAAACCCAGAACTCAATAGCAACAACACTATTTGCTTTCTGGACAGCCTCTTAAGAGGCTCTAAATCAGTAGGTCTCCCACAATTGAGCTGTGCAGCTTTTGATAAAGGAAATGACTTTTCTGAGCATTGATTTCTTCATCAGTAAAGTGAAAATAGCTTCACCCATCTCTCCAATATTGGGAGAATAATGTAAAATGCTGACCACCACTTCTGGCACATTTGGTAAGTGCTCTATCAATGACAGCTGATGCTCTTTTTTCCTCCTCCCCTCCATTTCTTCTCGACTAAAGCTTTTGTCAAAGGTTAATGTCTCCCCCAGAGGTGTGGGTTGTCACTGATCTTGCTTCAACACTGGAAAATCAAGGCCTCATCACTGCTTACCCAGGGTCAAACATCCATGGTCAAGATCAGGATCCCAAGAAATCTCAAAGCTCTACCCTGCACCCAGACCTCTTGGGCTTACAATGCACCCTTTTCAATGCCCATATTCTCTGCAGCAAAGAAACAATGTGTGGACTCAGTTGTGCCCCCACGCTCCCTGTCCGCAGCTGCCCTTGCAGTGTCCTGCTGCTGGCTGTGGCCAGCTGACCCGTTGGGCTCTCCTCCTGACCCTCCTTCCATCTGTTCCATCCTCACCCACCCAAGGAGCCGCCCCTGCTCCTAGAGACTCTGGGCACCACTGATAAGGGTGGGTACCAGGAACTCCACCCTTTACCGAGAAAGGCAGGCTGGTTTATCGCCACTCAGACCCAGCCAGCGACCACCCTGGGGAGTGTGTCAGCCACCAGGAGCATCGCTGTTGGGGAAATGTTATTAACTAGGAAGGAACTTTACAGAATGTTCCACACAAATGTCACATTGAATTCAATCAGAAATCCAGCCTGACCCCCCCTAAACCTGGTCATTCCTTCTTAACCTTAATGGCAGTGACAGAAGAAAGGGAGAGAGGAATGGAGTCTTGGTTGTTTTTCTATTTAACTTTGTGTAGGGAGTGCCCAGTGGTCAATTAAGGTGTCCTGGGCACCCGGCCTGGCTGGAGTAAGGGATGGCAAGTGCGGGGGTCTATTTAGGGAGGTGATCAGAGCCCGGATCAGGCCCCACAGAGTTGGCACCAATCTCCATCATGTTCTTTTTAAGAGGGTTGGCAGCCCTGGAGTCTATTTTTAAACCCATGAGAAAGGTGCTGTGTGGATTCCAAAAAGGGCCAACATTAAACCCGAGATCCCTGGAGGAGGGAGGGAAGGGGGGAGGCACAGCTGAACCTAGGATTTTCTCTTCACACACACAGGGGTTCCCCTTATTCCTGGGATCAGATATTGACTGTCCTTCCAAAGGGATCTCTTGGGTTACAGGCCCACTCTTTGGCATGGCTTTGGTGGAATTCGACTCCTAACGAGCTCGTGAGTTGGAAAGGGTTTTGCACACCGGGTCTCTTTTTCAGAATTGAGATTTTTTTAAATCCCTCTACCCCCAGTGTGAAAACTCCATGTGCTTTTGATATATCCGGCATCTCCCCCTTCTTCCTACTTTCAAATCACATGTTCTGGAACCCCCGCTCCCTCCTGCATGCACTGCAGAGCCCACAGCCGAGAATCTACAACAGGAAGATCCAAGGAAAGTCTAAGTTCCCCACGGCCACGGTGCCCAGCTCCCCAGAAACCCAGTCCCGGTGCTGGAGAAGGATGGGGAGTGGACCCAAGTGGCAAGCCTGCGGGGGACAGGATTATTTTCCCAATAGTGAGAAATAAACAGGCATCCAAACGCCACTGTTTCCCATCAAATAACCAGATGAAGCGAACAGAATGTTTTATGTACAATAACAAATTTCAGCTTCAGTATCTGTGTCTCTTTTTGGATAAGAAATAGAACCAGAATTCCTAAAGAACAAAATGCCTTGAGATTAAGCAAATGCTTCTGCTGAATAGTTCTGGGACCACCCAGGACCCCCTGGGCAGGGAAGTAGGAGACGAGGTCTCTTCTCATCTCCGCTCAACTCAGAATCCCCAAGCCTAGCACAGAAGCACCACTCAATACATGTTTCCTGAGCAGAACATGATGCAGTTTTGTGCCCCATGTCAACCAGGTAGGAGCTCCCACCAGTCATGCTGAAAACAACAGACATGAGTTTAAGCACAATGCTGGCCGCACAACAGAGGCTCCATAAACGTTAGCTGGATTGGAATCCAGTCAACTCAGATTTCTAAATGAATCAGATGTTCGGGGCTAGTTGACTAAATTGTCAATGTCCCCACGTGCTATTATAGCCCCTGTAGAAACAGCCTGGGGACCACTGTCCTCTTCTGGGCAGGGAAGTTTCAGGTGCTTCCCATCCCAGGGCCAGGGCCGTGCTGCAGAAAAAAGCCTCCACACCCCAACCTGCCCTGCCCATCCTTTCCCCACAATCTCCATTAGTCCTAAATTGCCAGTCCAAGCCCAAGAGAGCAATTGTTTCCTCAGTCCCAAGGCAGCGAAGCAGACAGCTCTTCAATAGTTCACATCTTTCTGCTGAGGGTGGGAAGATATTGGGGTGTCTTGTGGGTGCCTAAATAGAATTCCAAGTGCACCCGCATCACCAAGCACCCTGGCCCACGCCGCAGAGCATGCCACATTTCCCCACTGCGCAAGGAATGGGCTGCATTTAGAATTGACACTTCAGAACATATTGTGGACTGGGGAGCCGAGACTAGAGTGGAATTACACACATTTTGGAAAATGTGGATGAGCGGCACTGCCAGAATGGGCCCATTTACTAAACTACCTCCAGTGTTTCCAAACATTAGGGAAACCTTCCTCTGCGGCCTGCTGGTATGCGAGGAGGAGGAGCACATACTGGAGAAAATGCAAAATCAAAATCATTGGG
This sequence comes from Homo sapiens, assembly GCF_000001405.40. NCBI lineage: Eukaryota > Metazoa > Chordata > Mammalia > Primates > Hominidae > Homo > Homo sapiens. The sequence continues at coordinate 41,775,031 of NC_000008.11, forward strand.
AAGGTGCTAATAGGGAAAATAGGGACTCTTCTTTTTTTTTTCAAGTTGCCAAACAGGCTTAAGTACTGGCAGTGAACCCCATGGCTCCAGAGTTTCTGAAGGATGCCCAGGCGTTGGACAGCCCTGCATGGCACGCTCTTCCTCAGCAATGAAGAAAGATTCCCACCCTTCCTTAGAAATGCAACTTTGCCTGATATAAGCTGCCATCTGGAGCAGGCGGGGCCGACCAGGGGGTACCCTGAGACTCCTCCTTTATTTGAACAATTTGCCCCAAGGGACAGAGCCAGGATGGGTGGCCCATTGCCAGCCAGAGAGACCTGCCCAAGATTCCAGAGGGGCTTGTGACCCTGAAATTTGGGGTCTGTGCCCCTGGAGTTTGTCCAGCCTCTGGAGCAAGGCTTCCCTTACATGGAGAAGGTAGCCTTGAACCATCCATTGGGAACTAGGCCTGGAAGGCCCCGTCCACACCCTCTAGCCCATGATGATTCACCGCAGAGACAATGAGATACAGAAGTGAGAGCAGGAAGGGGGAACTGATTTGAAGATAATAATAATAAAGCTACAGTTAGCAGGGCATGGTGGCTTATGCCTGTAATCCCAGCACTTTGGGAGGTTGAGGCAAGAATATCACTTGAGGCCAGGAATTTGAGACCAGCCTGGGCAACATAGCAAGATCTCTGTTTCTCCATACACACAAAAAATTAAAATTAGCCATACATGGTGGTGCGCACCTGTAGTCCCAGCTACCCGGGAGGCTGAGGTGGGAGAATCGCTTGAGGCCAGAAGTTCAAGGCTGCAGTGAGCTATGATCCTGCCATGGCACTCTAGCCTGGGCAAAAGAGTGAGACCTTATTTCTAATAATAACAATAATAATAGCTACAATGTGTGAGCCAGGTATTGTTCAAAGCATGTTAGATGTTAACACATTTAACCCTCAAAACCACCCTACGAGTTAACAGCTATTATTATTCCCATTTGACAGAAGCAGCTAAGGCACAAAAACATTAAGTCATTTGTCCAAAGTCCTCCAGGAGTAACATGATGCCTGATGCCTGGGGTGGTGCATGAAACACAGTAAAGGGGCTGGCCCTGGGCTTTGCACCATTCTGCAACCTAAGGTATTTTTAGGGTAGAGGGGAAAACTGAAATTCAATATTCTCCAGTAAGAGTTGCTCAGTCTTGGAAATTTAGGTGCAACCGGGGCATCTTTAATAATGTGGCCATTCTCTCTATTCAGAAAAAATGCCAGCCACCAATCACTATCACATTCAATGCAGAAATGTGAGGTATCTGTTTCCATGAACTAGGCCCTCCAGGGTTTAATGAGCGGGGATCTGTCCTTTCCAAGAGCCATGGAGAAATGGGGAGGCCTTGAATCAATAATCCCAGTCCACTCCAATCGAGTTCTCTAGAATTACAACAGTAACATCGTCATGTAACCTCCATTGCACACTTCTGAACCAAGAGAAAGAAGCTCCAGGGAGCTGGTGCTACGTCTTCCCGGCTGGCCCACAATGATCCTAGACTCCAAGAAAGGATAATGAGGTAGACCAAGCCCAGGGGACCCTCTGCTGTGAAACCCACTTCTTCGCCTTCATTGGGGCCCTGCTGATAAGGGGTGGCTTCCACTGGCTAAATGCTGACTGCAGAGGTTTCCTCTCTCTTCCCAGAGCCAAAACATTGCAATTAAACCCAATTAAACTACTAACTGGCCTACCTATGCCTCTTTAATTTTTCCATTTGTACAACTTAACAACAGGAAGACAGGATCCTTCCTCCAAGATGCACTTAAGCTCCTTTCAACGGGGTGCTTAGCAGCTACCACTCGAAAACACCTTGGCGTCAGCCCTCGACTTCCTAGTCCTGTTTTCTCTTTACTACCAAGGAAACAAGAGCAGGTGTCACACATAATACTTCACACAGGGCTCATCGTATTATTTTAATAATTGAAGGGAACCATTTTCTTTCTGTTTAATCCTCTTATGAATTCTGGCTGGCTGCTCTTTCAGATATCTTTTCATACAGTATTTATATCACCCTTTTTGTAACTATTTAAATTTAAAAGGTGAGGAAATAAGCTCTAAACTGTCAACCCTCAGCTGCATTTCTTTCTACGTTGCTTATCTGCAGAAAACTCTGCCCATCCCAGGGGAATCCTAAGGTATGTCTCTAATCTGGGTATTTCTTATCTGCACAATATTGAAGGGTGTCTAGGGGGCCCCCTCTTAAAGCCTTGGCTTCATGTCTTTTTAAAGAAATATGGCTGGGTGCAGTGGCTCACACCTGTAATCCCAGCACTTTGGGAGGCTGAGGCAGGTGGATCACCTGAGGTCAGGAGTTCGAGACCAGCCTGGCCAACATGGTGAAACCCCATCTCTACTAAAAATACAAAAATTAGCCAGGCGTGGTGGCGTGCACCTATAATCCCACCTACCCAGGAGGCTGAGGCAAGAAAATCACTGGAACCCAGGAGGCAGAGGCTGTAGTGAGCTGAGATCACGGCACTGCACTCCAGCCTGGGCCCTGGGCAACACAGCAAGACTCCGTCTCAAAAAAACAAAACAAAACAACAATAAATAAAAACAAACAAACAAACAAACAAACAATGTTATGGTTGTGTTGGCAACTTTCTTTCCAGCTCTGCAGTTCCATGAATTCGTGAAGTGAAGACCTCATTTCTACTCTAACATCAGTGCTGAAGTCCACTTTCATAATCTCCTTTTCAAAGTGACCTGTCTCAGCACTCGTGACCTTGAACTCCTGAATAAAGGGATGTCAAGCATTAGAGAAAGAATGAAAAATGCACAGTGAATCTAGTATCAAACAAAAACAGCCAGCGCATCATTTCTGGAATGACTGAGTTTTAGCCTTCGGAGAGAGACATTTCCAGGATTTCTGAAATAAGATACCAAGATGCCAATCAACATTTCCTAAGGACAATCATTACCAATATCCACACCCGCCTCTACTGCCTCAAGTGCTTTTCGGGTGAGGGTCACAGAGATAAAGTCTCAATGCAAAAATTCGGTGGGACTAGATAGATAGGCTTTTTCCTCATTCATTTATTCTTTCACTCAAATGTGAACTGTTGAATTGCATTGTACAATCTCAGCACCCAGTGGTAGACACAAAAAAAGTAAAGGCTGTTTGGTTCCTACTCTTGGGAAGACTGCAAACTAACAGAGGTGAAAGATAGAGCTGTATGAAAAATAGGACAATAAAAGGGTCAAATACTCAGTAAGATAATAGCTCAAGAGATGCCCCAAGACAGTGTGCAATTAAATACCAAACGAGAGGTTGCAACAAGAACCACCAGGAGTTCAAGGGAGTGGCTGAGATCAGAGAGGGCTACAGCACTGGGGGCATCTTTGATGGAGCAGTGAGAATTGAACAGAATCTTCAAAGACTGCCAGGTTTTAGGAAGTTGTGGGGATCCATTTCAATACCACCAATGCTTTTTCAAAGGCCGCTGTGTTCCAGAATCTTCTTGATTATAAAAGATAATCAGAGAACACAGGCTTCCTGACCTCCTGGAGAGAACGTGTGGATCCAGAACCAAACGCTTGAAAATTAAAACATGTATGTTAGACAACAACATAAATACGTCTATTGTAGGAAGCTGTGTGAATGTTATGTAAAGGAATGATTCGTTGCTAACGATCGTATAGCCTTTACAGCATTAAATGTCTCCCGTTGTGAGGTTGGAGGGAGTTTCCATCCCTCACAAAGATTTTATACAAAGAGGAAAATAAAGTGATGATTTTTAGATTTATTCAGTCATTTAAAAATTATGTGTGTGCCTGTGGAGGGGTCAGGCCTTGTTTAGGATCCGACACTGAACACACAGGCAGGAAGCCCGCGCTCATAGAGCTGACATTCCTATGGGAGGGAGGAGAGAGAGATAGAGGAGCAGTAAGATCTATTTATCCCACAGGGAAGTGGTGAGTGCTAAGAGGAAAATCAAACGTGGAGTGGGGATGGAGAGGGCTGTGGGGTGCAGTACCCGATGGTGTTCAGTCCCGGAGGCCTTTATGAGGAGGTGACACTTGGGGAGCTGGATGCAGGCAGGGATAAGGCAGCAGCACCTGGACATGCCCAGGCTGTGACAGGTAAGCTCCATGCAGTGGGAGACCACTCTAGTGCCCCAACCCATCCCTCTCCTATCCCTGAGACATGCCCCTTGCTTGGTCTGGAATGCCCTTCTCTACACCTACAGATGCTAGACAACTTTTTTTTCCCTTTCTCTCACTCTGTTGCCCAGGCTGGAGTCCAGTGGCACAATCATAGCTCACTGCAGCCTCGAACTCCTGGGCTCAAGAGGGCCTTCCACCTCAGCCTCCCAAGCAGCTGGGACTACAGGTGAGCACCACCACACCTAGCTAATGTTTTTCATTTTTTTTTTATTGAAATGAGGATCTCACTATGTTGCCTAGGATGGTCTCAAACTCCTGGCCTCAAGTGATCTTCTTGCCTTGGGCTCCCAAACTGCTGGGATTACAGGCATGAGCCACTGTGCTCAGCCTCTAGTTTGATGCCCATGGGACAAGCAGTTAGAGGCACTGGTGGAGGAACAAAAGAAAAAAAGAAAAGACAGGAATCAATAGCATTTTAGGAGGTGCTGGGCACTGCTCTAAGCATTTTACAAGTGTTCACCCACTTAACCCTCACAGCAACTTTATAAGTCAGGTGTTCTACTTATCCTTATTTTACAAGTGGAAAACAGGGCACAGAGAGGTTAAAAAACTTGCCCAAGGTCACATAGCAGAGAAGTGGCGGAGTTAGGATTTGAACTCAGCAACCGGAGCCAAGTCGGCCACCGCAAGCATTCTGCTTTTGTGCCTCAAAGACGCCTGTGCAGCAACAAGAAGCTCAGAAATTCTGAGGAAGTAATGGTTAAGAGAGACATGGGATCTGGCTGGGAAAGCCATGAGACAGAGCCTAGGGAGGTTCTTGGTTCTCCACCGACAGCTTTTGCTACAGAGCACGGTAGCCCCTTGTTCAGGCCACTAACTCTAATTAGTATTTTGCATTTGCCAAGTGCCTACCCTGTGCTGAGGCCAATGGAAGGATGCTGAAGTCAGTGACAGCTGACATAGTCCTCCCAGGGCCTCCCTAGGAACTGGCCTGGGATGCAACTGGCCAATCAGACCAGACAGTTGGCCTGGGTTCACTTCTTTTAGAATTTTTTTTAGAGATGGGGTCTTGCTATGTTGCCCAGTCTGGGTTCAAGCAATCCGACCACCTCAGCCACCCAACGAGCTAGGATTACTGGCACAAGACACTGCACCCAGCCTCTTCTTGATTTTTGACCAATAACTTTCCATTATTTCCTCTTAGACTCCAGTTGAATTCATGAATAGCATTAACATTTTTCAAATGCCCATAGGAGTTTGTTGAGTTAACCTGAGTGACTCACCAGAGAGCCTTCAGCTTATTCTCCTCTTCTCTGGGGGGTGAGACGTCCTCCTCTGCCCACCCAGCGGGTGCAGAGGGGAGGGGACGCTTCTCCCTCAGTAGATTCTTCCTTCCTAAATGGGCCAATGTGTCTCAGACACTGAGGGTCAGGGTGTTCCTGGAGTCTGAGGCCTTGGCAGCGCTGGCCGCCAAGGGAACATGTGTTCCATGGGCCACCCGGAGGGAACATGTGTACACATGTGTGCATGCCTGTGTGTGCACGTGTGCCTGTGTGTGCATGCGTGCATGTGTATGCATGTGCACGAGTGTGTGCATGTATGAGTTTGTATTTGTGTATATATGTTCTCGTGTGTGTGTATGTATCTGTGCATGCATGCATAGATGTGTGTGTGCACATATCAAGGCAACTTCAGACAAAGAAACCAAGAGTGGGTCCCAGGGGGTTAGTTTCTGGGGCTGGGGACAGGGTTGGGGGAGAGGATGACAAGGAGGATGCAGCTGGGGGTGGGGAGAGAATATACTACAAAAAGAAATCAAGAGTGGTTCTGGCATTTAATTTCTAATCTCATCTCACTAGAAAACTTGTAAAATCCTCAACCAGAAGTGCTAAAGAGAAACGTCTCTGCCTGGTTCTTCTACATTTGTGGAAAGTCTCCCTCTCTGGAAAACAGTCACCACTTTCTGCTTTCACTGGGGACTACATTTGGAAGGCTGGAGAGAAGAGCTGAAAGCCAACAGGAGGTCTTGCTGGTGATGTGGAGTGGGTTCCATCTGTGGCCCATGCACCCCAAAGCCTCTCCAGCCACCTCAATCTCCTGGCCCTCTGCAGTTTCTCTAAAACGTGGCAAGCTCTGGACCACACACAAGCCCAACAGCCAGGACTCCCTGCTGAGCAGCCATTCCCCAACTGGAAGGGCTACCATGCCAGGCAATTCCGAGAGACGCCTTTTAGGCAGAATTCACGAGAATCTGTTCTCGCCCCAGCACAGCTGTGCACGGTGCCTGCTGCGTGGGTACCACACCCAGGGACCACCTTCCCAGGCCCTCTCACTGTATTTTCACCACCCTGCCCTCCCTTCTGCAGCCATCTACACACACTGCTGTTGTCTTCTGCAGAGGAATAAGCATGCCTCAGTCCCCATCCCAGCAAGAGCAGGAGGCATGGCAGAGGTGGCACCAGAGAGCACATCCCCTGTGGCCTGGGACGGACCATTCCACAGTCACCCCACTGGAGTCTGCACAGATGGCTCCTCCCTGCCCTTCATGGGAAGGGACGGAGCTGAGGGCACAGAGACCAGCAACCAACAGACCCCCGACTCAGGGCGGTGACCCAGGGCCAGGAGGGAGGCAGAGGGTCTCCAAGGCCAAGAGGGCTGGGGGCACAGGTCAGCTTCAGGGTCCATCCCAGGGGCTGGTACTAGGAGAGGGTGGAGAGCACCCTGCGTGAGGGCTGGGGGTCCCTGCTGCTGGCGGCTCCCCTGCTGCCTCACAGCTAAGGGTCTATGTCACAGTCAGGGACAGAGCGCCAAGAAACACCCCTGGCCAAACTGGGAATGGAGCTAAGTAAACCCAGGGATTTAAATAACTGGGATTTTTAAAGGCTAGGCACAAAACAGGGGTTTGTGACAATGTGCAGAGCCCTCCATCTAGAGGAAACATTTCTTATGTGCCTGACACCAGCTCCATCTCACTTGGGCCCGGGGCCCTTTAGCAAGGGTTCCTGCTGCCACACCCCCTGCCATGGGGCCACCAGATGGAAAAATAACTGAATATTTCCATAGAGAGCTTTCAAACCAAACATGCAAACTCACAAGGCCAAAATGCATGGCCAAGAAGAAAACGCAGAGGTTTGCTGCAAAGGAGCCCACCGTGTTGGGGGAGGCTTTGCCTGGCATTTCTTGGGTGGGTATTTCAAACAGGGAGAGTAAAGCTGCTCTCCTGCAGGTCCCTTAATGTCACCCTCTGCGTCTCCTTTTACCTATTTGCCACTAAGCAGCAAGCCACTGAACCATTCCACTCCCCAGTTTCCTCCCCAAAATAAGATCTTATTTCCCAGAGGGAGCAGCGTACGGACTGAGTGAGCCCTGCATCCAGCAGGTCTTCCCCTAAACATTGTAGAGCCCTCCGTGCCCCCAGGTAATTCCTGACACCCAGAAAGGACGGGGCCGCCTGTTGAGAACTGTCTCAGGGGGTCTCAGATTCTCGCTGAATTGAATTCTAAGCATTTTATTTGAATCAAAATATATCACATTGCATACATTAATGTTTACTTCATCTTATGCATTTGGAGTTAGAGCCTCTCTAATCACCTATGCGAAACTAAGTAAGCAAGGTGTAAATCTGGATCCGAAATTAGATGAAAAAATTCCATCCTGTTCAGCTTATCAAATTTCAAGTATTTCATTAACTTGATCATTAGATGCTGGCTGATCAGAAAGTCCCAAGATTTCTAACTACTGTAATCTAAATGGTATAGGCGTTTCTAAAATATCCACACTGAAAAAAAGCTCCTTTGCTCATCCCAAATCCATTTCATCTGATTGAATGATTTTCTCATTTCCACAGAGAGCTGTTAAACCAGCCAAGCAAACTATCAAAGCTCCGCAGGCCCAGGAGGAGGAAGAAATTAGACGACATTTGGATAAGTCAGTTCTTAGCAAAGTAGTAGTGCACCTAATTAAGTGAATGCAGCGCATGGGGTTTCTGTGAACCAAGTCCTATTTCCTCTGAGAGTTGTCTAACTGGTAATCCAGTCATTGAAGGAGATCGTTTCGAAAGTCTCCCAAGTCCTACTCCCGGTCCATGCAACTGTCCCTCCTCCCAAATTATCCACAAGACTCTGATCAAATACTTCCCTCTTTGGAGAATTCTAATTTTTGGAAAGTTCTTTCTCATCTCAAGTTGAAATCTGCTTTCCTGTGACTTCTACCCCACCCTTTCCCGGGTCCTTCCCTGGAGCACCAAGGAGTGAATCTCTACTCTTGCTGGTAGCAACCTGGTGACAATTCGGGACTTTTTTTCAGCCTTTTCAGTATTCTCTTTTCCTCTGTTCCTCCAAAGTTTCTCCCAGGCATGCAGAAAGACCCTTTTCCTCATTGAACCCCTGCCTACGTCCATCCAATGATCAAGGTCTCTCCAACAAAGGAAAATCTGAACGCCATCCTCTTAATGGAGACTGACACTGCATTTCCCAAAATGTGTTCCCAGGAACACCAGCCCTGTGCAATGTCACCCACACCAATCCAAAGGGTGCTCTGGGCAAGTAAATGTGGACAATGCAAACCTTGTCCTTACAGAGTCACAAACCAAGGAAGCATATTACAGCCCTGAGCAGGGCCAGGTATGGTGGCTCACACCTGTAATTCCAGCACTTTGGGAGGCCAAAGTGGGAGGATCATTTGAGGCCAGGAGTTTGCCACCAGACTGGGCAACATAGCAAGACTCCATCTCTAAAAATATTGTTTTTAATGAGCTGTGCATGGTGGCATGCACCTATAGTCCCAGCTACAGGAGAATCACTTGAGCCCAGGAGGTCGCGGCTGCAGTGGGCTATGATTGCATCACTGCACTCCAGCCTAGGCAGACTTGGTGGCATCGCAAGACCCTATCTCAAAAAAAAAAAAAAAAGCTGTGAGCATTCTTGGAGAAACTGATTAACAGTGTTTAAGCCAAGATTCCATAATCGCATTTGACTCTAAAACTCTTTATTTCCCCCACATAACACACTTAGGGAAAGGATGGTTATTTTCACTCTGACCGAGCTTTGAACACTTCACTATATTTCTCTACCCCACTCTCTCACCCCCACTCTCTCTACCCCATTCTCCACTCCTAGCCTCCTGGTGCCCAGGAACTAACACCATCAAAACAAAGAACTTTAATGCAATAGCTCTCAGTATTTAGTGAATTCCTTCTTAAAGCAAAGCATCCTTTTGGGATAGAATTAATCAATTCCCTAATTTTCTGGCTTTGTAAATGTGAACGTTAGTATATTAAGTATTCACCCCTTCAATAAGATCTGTAATACAATTCAATGCTACCACCTACCGCAAGGACATTTTTCAGGTAATTGATGTTTGTCATTAAATTCACTGACAAATATGAAAGGCAAGGAGAAAACTAGAAACATTTTGGACACTTTTTATCATGCATGTATAACTAAATCTATTCAGTTAAAGCTTTTTTTTGCCTTCCACAAACGTTTTTATCTATAATATTTTTCATATGCACTTGGGAGCTAATTACTGAAAGAAACCTCATGGTGAAGGTTTTGCAAATTAAACAAACATCCTGCAATGCATCTGGGCTTTGAATCTTGATGCATGCACAGTTTTTGAGGTGGTTTTGTTTTTGGTTTTCTAAGTTCAGAAGAAAGCCCTGTACATAGTGGAACAAATTATGTTCCTTCAACAAATCAGCGTTTCTTGAAGGAATGGGCAAAGCAGGTGATACAAAGTTTCCAAAAGATGGGCCTTCCCCAGGTCACACATGTGGTCAGTGGGCTTCCAAGGGTTCCATCTGAAATGCTGCACAGGACCTGGAAGAGCGACGCTGGGCTTTGCCAGCCCTCGAGCCCCGGCTTCTCCTCTTGAGTCTCCTGTTTCTGCCCCTCAGATGAAAGCAGAATGAGACTGGGCATGATGGCTCACTCCTGTAATCCCAGCACTTTGGCAGGCTGAGGCAGGAGGATCACTTGAGTCCAGGAGTTCAAGACCAGCCTGGGCAACACATCAAGACCTCTTCTCTACAAAAAATTTTTAAAAAATTAGCCAGGGGTGTGGTGCATGACTATGGTCCTGGCTACTCGGAAGGCTGAGGCAGGAGGATGGCTTCAGCCCAGGAGTTCAAGGTTACAGTGAGCTATGAACACACCACTCCACTCCAGCCTGGGTGACAGAGCAAGACCCTGTCTCTAAAAGCAATTAATTAGATAATAAAAACACATGAAGCAGAATGAGTTTGTGATTAAGGACTCTGAGTCTAGGGCCAGCTTGCCTGGCTTCCTGCCCTAGTCCGCAGCTGTCTAGCTACGGAGAGGTGAGTAAATCAATCTCTCTGTGCCTCAGTGTCCTTATCTGTAGCCTGTAGTGACCTCACGGGATAACTATGGGGATGAAATGCGCTCCTGCCTGCATGGTTCTTAGATGAGGCCTGGCTGGGGTCCGACCTTCCCCTCTTGTGGGTGTGGTCACTCCAGTCCCAACCACTGCTGCCCCTGCTCGCTGCGCATCCCTGAGGGTCTCCATCACTTCCGGGCCTGGGCCTTCCCGCAGGAGTTGCCGAATTGATCTTGCGGTCTCCAGGCTTCCTTCCTTTCCAGATCACTCACTGCAAGGGTCCTCCCGCTCAGAGCCGTCCATTGCTCCTCGGTGCTTTCCAGACCCTTTAAACACCCTGGCGGAGCCTTGCTCGGCCCTTCTGGGTCCACTTGGTAGCCGAGGGTCCGAGCTGACCTCATGCTTTCCGCACTGTCGGGCAGCGTTGTCATCAGCGGTACTCTCCGCCTGGGAACCCTCCCGCGTCTCTTCTCCCTGTACTCTGGAGTGCCCCTTACAGCCAACTTAAAGGCACCTCCCTGCAGATCGTCCCTTGATTCCCTCCGATGCAGTTTTCTCTCCTCCTCCCGAGTTTCCAAAGCATTGTATCTTGTAGCAGGTTCCTTTTGGCGCGGTTTGTGGTCGAGGCACAGCCCATCTCCCCTTCCAGGCTCTTAAATGCTTTTCAGAGCAGCCACCACAGACTCTGAAAGAAGAGGAGGAGCTCGCGTCTTGCCAGGGGCTAGGAATTAGGAACATCTCAGAGGGGGGCTCCCTGTAGGAGTCAGGGCTGGAGGGGCGTCTACAGGCAGCCCTGGGTGTTGCCCCTGAGCCCTGAGAGAACCTTGGGGACCCTGTAGACAGGCTCCACCCAGGTCACAGTCATAATGCCCCTGAGGAGAAAGCATCTTTATTGGTAAAGAAATAAACAAAATTAGATGCAAACAAGTAAAGCAAAGATCTTTCAACAACACCTTCAGGCTGCCCCAGCCACTGCTGGCTCTGAAGCCATCCCATTTATTCAAAGGCTAGGGACAAGCCCCCAGTGGCCACGTTGCAAACTAATGGAGTCGAGAGAAGGGCTCAGAACAGTTATCCTAATCCTGGAATGGCTATTTAAGTACCACTTTGTGCCTGAGACATTCGGAGCAATTTGCTAATCCCAGCCCAGCACTCACCACCAGGCCCCTTTGTGGTGGTCGGTGCCACACACTAGTGTCTCTGTTTCTCAGATGCAGGCATGAGGACACTGAAAACAAGTGAATATTCAAAACTCCGCAGGAAAACTATCTCGATGGAGCCTGGAAATTCAAGCCTCCCGATTTGCCAGTTCATCCTACAGATGCTTTTTAACCAAATCTGAGAAACACAGTGGTTCTAATGAAAGGCTGTTTCTATGGCAGATTCCATAAAGAGAAAAGAACAAAGGCAGTGATGGAACAAGTTCCCTTCAACGAATCACTCAACACAGCAAGGTTGACATGTTTTCATGGTTTCCCACACACTGAAGTCAGAGTGGGTGTCCAGTGGTCATTCATTTTTCCACTCCACATGTATTTATTTAGTGCCAGAGACGTCCCAAAGCACAGAGGGATGCCTGATGGGGGCCATGGCCTTAAGGGGACCAGAGGGTGAGGAGCTGGGAAGCTGGACTGGAGGGCAGGCCCTGGCCTGGCCCAGAGGGGTGGGCTGGGCTTGGACAGGGGCAGGGAAACAGTGGTGGAGGGGCTGGAGGCCAGTGGAGACGAGCAGTCATGCTTTGTGGGTGATTATATAAAAAATGTGGGAAAAGTCCATTCTGGCTGGTGATATTAAATGGCAATTCACACCCATTTGGTAATGAAAAGCCTCCCCTACCTATGGCTTCTGTGTAGTAGAAAGAGCTGGGCTTAGAATTCACACAGTCCTAGGTCAGACCCTGCCACTTACTGGCTCTCTGACCTATATTTAATGGTGACCCACCCCCCAACCCCCAGCCCAACCTGACAGGGGTAGCTGGGAGAGATAAGGAACTGGAAAACGTGTGGTATCATATGACCTTCTGAGAGGTAAACCAGTGCAATCAACACAGAGACATAGCCCCAGCTAGCTTCAAACATCCTTGAAAAACAGGATGTCTCTTAAGTAAATAGCAGTCAAAACATGGCTCATCTGATTAAGGCTAAACTAAAGAAGGAGACAGAAAGAAGAAAAAAATAGCCAGGCGTGCTGGCCTGCACCTGTAGTCCCAGCTGAGGTAGGAGGATAACTTGAGCCCAGGAGGTGGAGGCTGCAGTGGGCCATGACCACAGCACTCCAGCCTGGGTGACACAGTAAGACCCTGTCTCAAAAGGAAGAAGAAAGAAGGCAGGCAGGCAGGAAGGAAGGAAGGAGAAGAGGAGGGGGAGGAGGAGGAGGAGAAAGAAGGAAAAACACCAGTGACCTAGAAATGGCTACCATAATACACCACCCTGCCCCCCAGTACCCCTGGCAGAGGTTGCTAAGTTATCACAGCACTCTTGCCCATAAGCCTTAAAGTGGCTTCAGAATCTCTCAACACAGCATCCCAGACAGCTGCTATCAATCGGATTGGCGTTGACACCAGGCAGTGAGACTCATTTTCTATTCCAATGTTGTTTAATCAGCAATTTGTAACAAACACAGTGCTCTTGGCTATGGGGCGTGCATGATTCATCAGGCCATAGCACAGTCTCGATGACAGATTCAAGACGATGTCGCCTCCTGTTTCTCTGATTGCGCCCTTACCAGGACATTGGTTGTGACTGACTTGCCTTTTAGGTTTTCTTATTAGGACAGAATTCACTGACCGGAGAACACAAGTGAACAAGAACACAGAATGGCAGAGGACCGGAGGAGTCAGATTTCTCATTGTGAAGTCGGAGTACTGACGTGAACACCAGACACCTGTGAGGTGCATTAAGTCAGTTTCCAAACCTGCTATCCTCTGGTTGTGTCTCAAAATCAAGTTACCAGAACTACATCTCAGACCACAAGGGCACCTACACGACCAGCCAGTCAATATCCCCAATAAACAACTTTATTTCATCACTCTTCCTAGCTGCAATCTCAGTTTCCTCATCTGTAACATGGGTAATTTTTATGTGGCCACTGTAAGCATTAAATATGCTGCGATATTTAATCACGTAGCATGGTGGCGGGTACAAAGTCGCTACTCAAGAATGTTCATGATCTTCCAATCCCCTCGATTTAGGACCTCATCAAACCTTACTGGTAGAGGGGCAATATTTTCACTCCAGTGACCCCTCTTCATCAGCCCTGCCAGATGGGGGCTTTCTGAAGCCCTAACACTTTCCTACTCAGAAAGCTTTGTGGGCTTCCCCAACCCCTGTGGACTAAAGACCAAAGTCTCAGGCTGACGTTCAGAAGGCTCCTCAAACCAGCTCCTCTCTATCTCTTCATCCTCATCTCCTACTCTGTCCACCCCACCTGTCCCTCAACACTGGATCCTACACCTCTCCCAAACACACAAGCCACACTTTTCATGAGGCTTTCTCTGTTTTGTGAAATTCTACAGATTCTTCAAGGCCCATTCAAAGTTCTCTTCCTCTGCAAAGCTTCCCTGGCACACTCTCTTGCTTTCCTGGCCAGAGCGTTCACTCTTCCCTGTTTCAGCCTCCATGGTATTGTTCGAATGCAGCATTTCCCACTTCCTGAGAACAAGAGACTGTGTGATTTACTGTTTCCTATTCCATACTTTCTGTTGGCCTGAGTCAAAGGTGCGTTAAAGGTAGGAAGATCTTCTTTAAATTTCCAGAGTTCTTAGAAGGTTAAGAGTTATTGATCCAGAGAAGAACCTGTGATTTCAAAAAAGTTTATAATCACCGACTTTTCCCAAAAGGCTGGCTCTGATTTCCTGTGTTGCTCACAGCAACCCCAGGGCAACCACGATGGTCTTTGGTTTCCAGGTGCGGACTGGAGATGCGGGGAGGGCACATATCTGATGGAGGATAAAGTCCAGAAAGCAGCAGAGCACAGTTTGGAGGTCAGGCACTCTGGCTGCGGTGCCCACAAGCTGGACCATGTGCTGTGCTGCTGGGCCCCTGCGGTCACACTGCCAGCCTCAAGGCCCTGTGTGGACGAGTTCACCTGCACCAGGCAATCTGGACATTGGGACTGAAGACTAGTGGGGAGACAGGCATCTAAATAACAGTTTCAGCACGACCAGTATGGTGAAGAGTGTCTATATTAGAGAGTTAGGAGACAGACGTGAGCTGGGAACCTCGCTGGGAAACATAGGCCAATCAATTAACTGTTCAACCCTGTTTCCTCATCTAGAAAGCGAGGACACTGTCACCTACATCCCAAGATAGTTTCAATACCACGTTAAGATGAAATATATAAAGAAAGTGCTGTGCTTCTTGTATGGTAAAATGATATAATTCCACACACAAGGTTTGAAAAGCTGGTAGAAAGGCAAGGGATAAAACCCCGGGGACCTCAGGCCACACAGTCCAGCCAATTCCTGGGCTGAACCTGTCGCCACCTGGATGACACGTTTGTGAAGAGGGTGTTCAGAATCTGGGCAGTTCCTGTCACCCGCCTCCAGGTCCACTGTAAGTCCCACATCACTCACCAAACTGCACTCTCCATGCTGTGACAGGCCAGACTGTCCTAGGGTATCTGACCACTTGGAAAGGAATCTTTTTTTTTTTTTTTTTCAGAGACAGAGTTTCACTCTTGTCGCCCAGGCTGGAGTGCAATGGTGCGATCTCGGCTCACTGCAACCTCTGCCTCCTGGGTTCAAGCGATTCTCCCGCCTCAGCCTTCCAAGTAGCTGAGATTACAGGCACCCACTACCATGCCCAGCGAATTTTTGTATTTTTAGTAAAGACGTGGTTTCACCATGTTGGCCATGCTGGTCTCGAACTCCTGCCCTCAGGTGATCCGCTCAGCTCAGCCTCCCAAAGTGCTGGGATTACAGGCATCAGCCACCACACCCGGCCTGGGAAGGAATCTTGAGCCCAGTCACTATCCTAAGTCAGGGAGCTCAGGGAGCTCAGGGAGCGAGCTTCCCCTTCCCTCCTAACCACTGCACCAACACCTCTGCACCTCCCACCCCCACCCCACCAATTCATGACCTGCCCTGAATCTCACTCCTGGCGTTTGCCTAATCCTCAACTAATCCCACTAAGAACTAGTTCCCTGCATCTGTACAACTCGAGATCCTATTATACAGCTTTAAATGCATGCAATTAATAGAAGACTTTGAGATATAAAACCCCTTTAAGAATTTAAGGAATAATCTCTGATGGCGGAACTTTAGACTTTCTGGCTAATGGGGGTTGGGGGAGGTATTCAAAGACTACGAAGACATTCTGGCATCTTCAAATCACGCCGTGTAGACAGAACATTAGCCAGTCCCAAGCGGGACTTAGACATGTTAGAGGTTAGACAGATGGGAGATGAGGGTCCTCTAGCCATTGACTCCCTTTGGAGAAAAAGCAAACTACAGGTACACACCCTGGCCCAGCCCAGCTCCCCCACCCAGAGGAGAGGTTGCCAGAGTGGGCTGACAGCAGGACAGAGGGCACCAGGTGGCTGCACAAGCCGCTAATAGGTTTTCTGAGTAGCTGGAATCTGCTCCACTGTTTGCAAATCATCATCACCCTCCATCAATGGCTGCGCCCCTAGGTGTGGAGAAGGGCTGGACCTGTGCCAGCCTCTTTTCAGCTTTTCTCAGTACTAACTTTGTTTTTTTTTTTTTTTTTTTTTTTTTTTGAGATGGCATCTCACTCTCAGCTCACTGCAACCTCCGCCTCCTGGGTTCAAGTGATTCTCCTGCCTCAGCCTCCCGAGTAGCTGGGATTACAGGCGCCTACCACCATGCCTGGCTAATTTTTGTATTTTTAGAGATGGGGTTTTGCCATGTTGGCCAGGCTGGTCTCAAGCTCCTAACCTCAGGTGATCCATTGGCAGGCACTAACTTTCTCTCTCTCTTTCTTTCTTTTTTTTTTTTTGAACGGAGACTTGCTCTGTCTCCAGGCTAGAGTGCAGCTCTGCTCACTGCAACCTCTGCCTCCCAGGTTCAAGTGATGCTCCTGCCTCAGCCTCCTGAGTAGCTGGGACTACAGGCGCACGCCACCATGCCCAGCTGATTTTTGTATTTTTAGGCAGGGATGGGGTTTCACCACGTTGACCAGGAGGGTCTTGATCTCTTGACCTCGTGATCCGCCCACCTCGGACTCCCAAAGTGGGGAGGCACTAACTTTCTGAAGAAAACTGAAACCAGGTGCCCTTTCTTCCAAAATATTGCTTCATTTCCCACATCTGGAAAGGGCAGAACAGTGTTCTGACCAATAACACCCTGGGGGAGGGCCACAGAGGCTCCCCGCTGCCTTCCAGACACCATGGGGGGCCCAGAGCTTTCTCAGGAAGGAAAACCCTTCCAGGCGTTCCTATAGGAGAGAAGGGCTGGGGTCAGAAGGTTGTTTGCTTGCTTTGTTTTTCCTAATCTGTCTATAAACAAGTTTTCTGCACAGGCAACACACCCTGTCTCATTCCTGCGCCACCTTCCCCTACACGCTAATAGGTTTCAGCAGCTGCTCAGCCGGGCCCATTAGCAGCAGTCAGCCTTCCTCCTGTAATGCGCTTTTCTTCCTGAGCCCCCACAGTAAATTCAGGAGATAAATCAGCCTCTGCTCAGAGAGCAGCAGCCGAGGGGAGGGTGACAGTCAAGGGTGAGCGGGAGGCAGCAGGGAAAACAATGCCACTTCTCACTAGATTTCTAATTGGTTGTCACTGCCTGTCGGAGAATGATGACAAACGCCACACTTGCCCTGAGAGGGCTGCAGTCCAGGCTGGGCTGTGCTGAGAAACCTCGTCCGGCAGGGGTGTCAGGCTGTAACCACCTACTCCCGCACGGGGCCAGCTTGCAAATTTATTTTCCAGACCTTCCCGACATCAATTGGCCCAACATTTTCCTAACAGCCAAAGCTCACGATCTGGGCAAGCGAAGGAGAAGCAGGAGCTCAGACTCATTCATGGGTTTCCAATTAATTCACTTAACAAATCTATTTTTCAGCCCCAGGTTCAAGACCTTGGTCGAAGCCAGGGAAAATAAGAGGAAGTGACTCAAAGATGAGTCAGATGGAGCTGTTGCCCGCCTCCCGCCCGCTCACAGCGTGGAGGAGAGATGACATATATATAAATAAGCGGGGAGGTGTGGAAAATGAGGAGGGCCCTGAGGGAGGTTCTGATGAAGTGCAATGAGAGTTCAGAGGAAGGAGAAACTATTTTATGAATTTTAAAAAATCCCAAGAGCAGAGTATCTAAAAAGTCATCCACGCAAACCCTAGAGCAATAATTTTCAATCGCAGGTTTGTGAGCAAACTGCTAAGCAGTCATCAACCACGAGGTGTTCTGCAAATAATTTACTGTTCATTCATGAATGCAACCAACATTTAATGAGCATCTACCATGTGGCAGGCACTGTGCTAAGTGCCAAGGACACAGCAGTGAACAAGGCAAGCCTGAGTCCCACCCATGTAGAGTTTCTGAATATTATATAAAAATGTCCAAGTGCAGCCTGTTGAAGGAACTGACAGTGTCCTGGAGCAATTATTGTGGGAGTTCTGAATAAGAAGTAGTCCAGGGCCGAGTGCGGTGGCTCATGCCTGTAAACCCTGTGCTTTGAGAGGCCAAGGAGGGAAGCTCACTGGAGGCCAGGAGTTCAAGACTAGCCTGGGCAACATAGTGAGACCCCTGTCTCTACAAAAAATACAAAAATTAGCTGAACGTGGAGGTGCACACACCTGCAGTCCCAGCTAATCTGGAGGCTGAGGAAGGAGGATCACTTGAGCCCAGGAGTTGGAGGCTGCAGTGAGCTATGCTTGTGCCACTGCACTCCAGCCTGGGCAATACAGTGAGACCCTGTCTCAAACAAACAAACAATAAAAAAAAATAAATACAACAGTGCAGGATCAGGACAGGAGGCATCTCAGGAAGGAGTCTACACTGTCCTAAGAACACTGTGAAGCCACTGAAGATTTAAAGCAAGAAAGTGAAGTGGTAAGATTTGCCCTTCTAAAACAGCACTTTGGTTGTGTGTGAAGAATGGATTAGAGGGAGTGAGACCACCTGTAAGAAGACCACTGTTGCTTTTTAAAACTTAGAACACATTCAAGGTTCCCCTCTATCACAGCTCTGCTCTTGCACACTTACACCCGAGCTTTCTTGACAGCTCATGCTCCAGAACCTTGTTCCGCTTTATCCATGCCAAGGTCCCAAGAAGACCATGAAGGATCTTCTGCAGCTGTGATTGCAAATTCATATACTACATATGAATTGTGATTTTATAGTGGCTCCCATCTCCTTTTAAATATAACCAGTGGTAAATTATTAAGTAGGGAGCATCTATGGCACTATTTTCTCATTAAATAGGAACGTGTAAGAGAGAGGGGGATTATTAATACCCAGGTATAGCCATGAAATATGTCATGCAGAACTATGTCAACAACCAGCCCTATGTATCCCAGAGGGAAGCAAGTTGAGAACGGTTGTACTACAATTGCATGATAACACCATTTGCCACACTATATCAGGTGGTTTAATTTGGTAGCCCATCCCTACAAAACGTGAATCCCTGGTTTCAAAGGCATTAGGAAGTCATAGGTATAGGCAGAAGTCAGATGGTGCCATTTGCCTCATACAAATACTATCTAATGCTTCTCATCTCGCTCAAGGCAGAAGTAAAATCCCCACATCAATGTACAAAGCCCTGCATCTTCTGCACCTGTGCCCCTTTCCCAATCTCTCTGACCTCACCTCCTCCTGCTCCTCCTGCCTCACTCTGCTTCAACCACACTGGCCTCCCGGTTATTCCCATGACACACGCCTGCCTCAGGACCTTTGCATGTGCTGTTTCCTCTGGAGTTTGGCCTGGCTGTTTCCTTCACCTCTTTATCCAATGGCACCTCAATGAGGCTGTCTCAGAGTACCCTATTTCAGTTGCAGAACTCCCCACACATCCTATTTCCCTTGCCCGCTTCCCTCTCCCTCAATAACAGGACTGACTTTTCACCTTTCAACAGAATGCAGTTTACTCCTTTATTTTGTTTTTAGCCTGTTTCCTTCCCCTGCTGGGAAATAAGCTCTGCAAGGACAGAGTTTTTGTCAGTTTTATTCACTGCTATATTCCCGGTGCCCCAACAGGACCTAATACACAATAGGTGCTTCATAAATGCTTGTTAAAGGTTTTTGTTTGTTTGTTTGTTTGTTTTTGAGGCAGAGTCTCACTCTGTCACCCAGGCTGGAGTGCAGTGGCACCATCTCGGCTTACTGCAACCTCCACCTCCCAGGTTCAAGCGATTCTCCTGCCTCAGCCTCCTAAGTAGCTGGGACTACAGGCACACGCCACCACGCCTGGCTAATTTTTTTTATTTTTAACAGAGGCGGGGTTTCACCATATTGGCCAGGCTGGCCTCGAACTCCTGACCTCATGATCCACCTGCCTTGGCCTCCCAAAGTGCTGGGATTACCGGCGTGAGCCACCGTGCCTGGCCGTAAAGGTTGTTAAACAGACCTGGAGGACAAAGGTTTTTAGTCACTTCACCTTTAGAAAACACTCTTATTTTCTCTGTTCATTTTGGCAACACCAACAACTGAAACCCTGCTTTTCTAAATATATTGCAGTTTGATTAATCTCAAAATAAGTCAGCTGGTTTTGCAGAGACACTGGCAGAACCATTTTGGGGTGAGAGGTGGCAACCTGGGTTTAAAAACTATTATAGGCCAGGCGCAGCGGCTCACGCCTGTAATGCCGGCACTTTGGGAGGCTGAAGCGGGTGGATCACCTGAGGTCAGGAGTTCGAGACCAGCCTGGCCAACATGGTGAGACTGAGACTTAAAAATACAAAAATTATCCAAGCATGGTGGCACGCACTTGTAGTCCCAGCTACTCAGGAGGCTGAGGCACGAGGATTGCTTGAATACAGGAGGCAGAGGTTGCAGTGAGCCAACATCACACCACTGCACTCCAGCCTGGGCAACAGAGCGAGACTCTGTCTTAAAAATAATAATAATTATTATTAAATAAATAAATATAAAAACTAATTACAGCTGCTTGAGCCACGAAAAAGAATGAAATCATGTCATTTGTAGCAACGTGGTTGTAACTGGAGGTCATTATGCTAAGTGAAATAAGCGAGGCACAGAAAGACAAATACTGAATGTTCTCAGTCATACATAGGAGCTAAAAAAGTTGATTTCTTGGACCTAGAGAATAGAATAATAGATACCAGAGACCAGGAAGGGTGGGTGGGGGGCAAGAGAATGAAGAGAGATTGGTTATGCGTACAAACATACAGTTAGATAGAAGAAATAAGTTCTGGTGTTTGATAGCAGCTTAGGGTGACTATACTATAATAGCAACAATACCGTGTACATTTCAAAGTTACCAGAAGAGAGGACTTGTAATGATACCAACACGTAAAAATGATAAACATTCAAGTCTATGGACACCCCAAATACCCTGTCTTGGTCAGTACACATTCTATGCATGAAACAAACACTCACATGTATTCCACAAATATGTAAATTATTATATACCAATAACAGAGAAGAAACTAATTATAATTGACCCATAAAGTCAAGGGTGAGTTGAGTCTATGGATCCTGGTTACAATAAACGTCTTCAAGCCTCTGTCCCCTTTGCTAATGTTTTCATAACCGAGTAACTCACTTCAGCCTCACAGCAGACCCATTTCCCAGACAAGAAAACTGAGACACAGAGAAAAGTGGCTTGAGGCTGTAACTTGATTTGTGAAAGAAGGCTAATTTTACCCATTTTTTCCATCGGCCATTCCTTATTCCTGCAAAACACTTGCGTTTGAGTCTGAAGACAGTTCACACATTGCACGGGACACCTGCAGTCACCTGCCTCCTTCCAAAGTTGGCTATGATCAGGTCTCCAAGACTCACCCTGAACCTCTGCCCTAGAGTGGTGCCACAAGAGGAAAAAGACTCTACCAACTTAACCTGAATTGCTTGCCGCTGGTGGAACTAAAGTGGGAGGCCCAAGCTTCCTCTACAGAGCCTCTCTCTCCTTAGAAAAAAAAAAAAAATCAACCAGGAAAGGCAAATTGTACAGATGCCACTAAAAAGAAATTCCCGCTTAGTATTGCTTCCTCTGCACCCAGCGACTTTTAGACAAGCAGAAGACGAAATGCCCTGCCCGCGACTAAACCAGACTCCTTTTCACTTACTACCCTTTCAGCGTGTGTGTGGCCTGATGTCCAACTCTGGGCTCTGAATCCATCACTAAACTAAGAACCGTACCCAACAAAGGACACTGACACATGGCACAGGCTGGCCGTGCTGCCAGGCAGAGATAGGACGGGTTCTATCTACACAGGGAGAACAAGAAGGCTGGAGTGGCCTTGCTAACGCGCCATTATCACTTGAAAAATATCCATGAGAGCCTATCTCCCCAGGCCACGCCGCCGCTCTTTCCCTTCCTTCGTAGACATATTTCTCTCCATGAATTAACAACATAAATTAAAAGAACCGAGCAGGTGTGACCATGAGACCACCGGCCTCCGTGAGTCTTTGAGAAAACAAGCCAAAGTCCCCTTCCAAATGACAGTGACAGCCCCCTAGCCGGGTGGCCCACCCCGCAGCCTGTAATAACACACCTACAAAACGCAGTTTAGCAGACTCAAAGGAAAGCCTCTAAGATCTCAATAGATTTGGACTATAATCCAAAAACCATCCCTCCCCAGCGCTATTGCTGACAGGACATAATTCAGAGACCCAGGTAGTTGGAACTCAATTTGACAGCAAATCTCTGGATGTAAAAAATATGAAACTGGCTTCAGCGAGTAGGGCAGAGTCCACCTGCTGCCTTCAGCTACAAGGTCGATGTGCCGCTATGCTAAGGCAGGGAGCCCACGGGGAGGCGAGGCGGGTGGGGTGTGCAAAGCTGCTCTTGCTCGCGTGCTGCCTACTGGCGCGGCCTGGGTGGCCCCCTCCTGACATCTCCCCGTCCACCCGAGCAGCCGCCCAGTACTCACTTCGCGGAAGCCCACAGAATAGGGCATGCCGGTCTTTCAGCAGGGGCCCGCCGAAGGGCCTTGGGGGCTTGAGGAGGAGCAGCTGGGGCTGGCGGACTCACCGCAGCCTCTGCGGGGCCTGTGACGTGCGGGCCAGGCCCCCGAGGGCCTTATCGGCCCCAGAGGCGCTTGCTGTCGGGCCGGGCGCTCCCGGCACGGGCGGGCGGAGGGGTGGCGCCCGCCTGGGGACCGCAGATTACAAGAGCACCTCCTCCCCCAACCCCAGGAGGCCCCGCTCCCCAGGCCTCGGCCGGCGCGGACCCCTGGTTGCCCCGGGGTCGAGAGCAGCCGGGGAGAGCTGAGTTCAGAGCCCAGAGTTGGACATCAGGCCACACGCTGAGAGGGTAGTAAATGAAAGGGAGTCCGGTTTAGTCGCGGGCAGGGCATCTCCTCTTCTGCTTGTCTAAAAGTCGCTGGGTGCAGGGGAAGCAATACTAAGCGGGAATTTCTTTTTAGTGGCATCTACACAATTTGCCTTTCCTGGTTTTTGTTTTGTTTTGTTTTGTTTCCTAAGGAGGGGGAGGCTCTGTAGAGGAAGCTTCGGCCCTGGGTGCCCCTGGGTTGGGAGCAGTCGGGGAGCGCTGAGCCAGGGCGCACGCCCTGTCGGCGCTGCGGGTGTGGGGCGCAGGAGTCCTTCTGGCCGGCCCCTCCGCCCCCCGGGGAGGCTGGAGCTCTCCAAGGCCGGGGAGCCTCCCGAAGCGCGCTGCCCCCTCTGTTCTCCGCGTGCTTTCACTAGGGCCCCATGCTGCTTAGTGGCCGATTTGCAGGGAATCTGGGCACAATCTTAATAACACCAGGGCCAAAAATAACAACGTTCCTGGGAACCGAGGTGAGTCACCGCAAACAGCGGCTAGGAGGGCGTGGGATGGCGCGGGCAGGGGGGCGCCCAGGCGGTCCCGCAGCTGCCAGAAGGTCGGGGCTGCCCACCAGCCAGGCTGGACCATCCCAGGCCAAGCTCCTGCAGGCCTGGCCTAGGAAGCCGCCTTTTGCAACGTCCGCCCGTCCAACAACGGGATGAGATGTCATCTGCCCAGAATGGCTTTATCAGTGAGAACACCATATCCTGGAATGGCAGTTGGTGGCTGGCAGAGGGAACAGGTGACCCCGAGGAGCTGAGCTGCGGGGCCAGGGGCATGGCAGCCTCCCTGGACCCTGGGGGTGGTGCCATTAAGGTGGGGGCTGTCTCCCTCCATGGTTTCCTCTAGGGGTGGGTGTCACCGCTGGGGGCCTCTGGTGCAGTCCTCCCTGAGAAGGGTCTCTCCAGCCTTCCTCACGTGATGCTTGGCCTCCTGCTGGGCCCACGCTGGTCCAGGTCCCCTGACGAGGCCGCCATCTGGCTTTAGAGCTTTCCCGCAGCACCAAACTGGCCTTGCCATGAGGGCACAGCTGCTGCGGAAAGATGCCACCGAGATCAGCTTCATGACCCGTCTGTGTTTTCCACAGCAGCTGGAGCGCACCCCATGGACGCTGGGCCATCTCCCCGGGGACTAGTGCCTGACAGAGCTGACAGAGTTCTAGGCCACATGTGGGCTAGAAGGAACCGCCATGTCTACCACAGCACAGTCCTTAAGCAGGAGCCTTTTGAAGCACTTGGACTCAAAACAATGGCTGTTTGTTGTTGTTGTTGTTGTTGTTTGTTTGTTTTGAGGGAGCCAGAAAGCTAAAAAATGTAAAAGAAGCAGGTCACATTAGACATGATTTCAGACAGCCTCCCCGAAGGACAGATGATCTCACTTGGCAACACATACTGGGCCAGGCTCACTCATGAGGGGGCAGCGTGGCATGCACCCCACTCAGGGGCAAGAATGAAGCTTAAATATTAGCTGACTCAGAACATAGCAAGTGCTCAGTAATGGCTTCTGGAACGAACCCGTGGTTGTCACCAGCAGGAGTGACGAAAGCTAGAAGCCGTTTCACCATCCAAGGAAGAGGAGGAACAATATTTTTCTCTTTGGAGTTCCCACACTCAGAAGAGAGAACACCAGCATATGAACACAGAGTGTCACATGATGTAGGAAACATCCTGTAGGTAGAGAGTATAATTCCAAAGCTTAGGATCCTGCTAGTTCCTTGTGCAGTGCTTCCGGTGGGCAACATGGTGCCTCCCCAGTCCCTCAGGCTTGAGGCGGGCCAGCACAGCTTCTCTGGGAGCCAGGTCATTTCAGAATTTAACCCCAGAACTAGGTCACCCCAGGCAACACAAGGCTCCTCTCCCTTGGATACAGGAAGCGGAGGAAAAGGCCAGGCATGCTCAGGGGCAAACCAACACCCAGGTGAAAGGGAGCTGGGCTGGTTTCGGGGAGCAGCCTGGTTTCAGGGAGCCGGACTCACGATGTGCTTGAGACCCTCAAATTCACCCCTGGAAGCAGCTGCCCCCGTGACAAGGAACTAAGGACAGGCATGTCATGGACTGTGAATTGGAGTGACATTTGTCCCTCCCTTCACCAACAGACTGCCCCAAGAGCTTCCCAAGTTATCTGCCATAGAATACCTTGTTTCCCTCGAGTCTCTGAAAGGGGGCCGCAAAAGCTGTCCCCACGCTGGAAATGCAGGGCCAGGCTTTTAAAGTTTTGCTCCCGGATTATGAGAACACCTAGAAAATTCAGTGCTCCTCTCCACTCCCCCAAACCCCTTCACAAGCCCCCACCCTTTGTTTAACAAACATATATATAGTGCTTTCCTGGTACCAGATACTACTTTAAGCACTTGACAAAATATTTAGTCATACATAAAACCCTTATAATTACACTGTAATTCACTCTCGTCAGATCCAGTCATTGTGAAGAAACGGAGGCACGGGGAGATTAAGAGAGCTACTTAAGAAGACACGGTGCCAGGTTTCTACCCAAGCCATTTGGATCTAGGGTCTGGAGGCCATGTGAGCCATTTTGCATTAGATTAACGCTTTAATTCAGTTCACAGTTAGACAATATACGTTCCCCATCTATATCTATACCCATCTGGAAGGCAACAAAAAGATAATAAACTGATAGTGTCATGTGCCCATGACCCAGCTAACAAAGAGGCTCTGGGTTCCAATGCCCCAGTCTTTCATGGGATTCCATCGACCTCATGCCCTGCTCCCCTCCCCAACAGAGATGGAAACATTATCCTGAATTTTGTGTTTATCATCCCTTGTTTCTCTCTATAGTTTTTCCACTTATGGTTGTATGATTTTTGTTTGTTTGTTTTTTGAGACGGCATCTCGCTCTGTCACCAGGCTGGAGTGCAGTGGCGTGATCTCGGCTCTACCTCCCAGGTTCAAGCCATCCTCCTGCCTCATCCTCCCGAGTAGCTGGGACTACAGGCACACGCCACCATGCCCAGCTAATTTTTGTATTTTTAGTAGAGACGGGGTTTCACCTTATGGTTGTATCTTTAAACAATGTCTTGTTTAGTTTTGCCATGTTTTTGGACTGTGAATAAGTAGAATTATTATGCTGTGTGAATTCTTCTGCTACTTGCATTTTTGCTGCAACGTCATGTTCCTGAAATTCAGCCAGGATTCATTTATTCCTTTTCACTGCTGTGTGATATCCCATTGTAGGCAAATAGTACACAATATTTATTTATTTTCCAGATGGGATCTCATTCTGTCACCCAGGCTTGTAGTGCAGTGACCCCATCACGATTCACTGCAGCCTTGAACTCCTGGGCTCAAGCAATCCTCCTGCCTCAGCCTCCTGAGTTGCTAAGGCCACAAATATTTATCCATTTTACTGCTAATGCAATTTGAGCTGTTTTCAACTTTTTCCTATTAAAACATTATTGCTATGAACATTCTTATAAAAGCTTCCCAGTGCACGTGTGTGAGATCTTTCTAGTGTGTATGCTAGCAGGAGAATTACTGAGTTTTACCGTACATGTATCTTCAATCTTATTAGATAACACTGACTTGTTTTTGAAATTGGCTCTTCCAATTTACACTGTCAACAGCAGGGTTATGTGGTTGCCCTGCAAGTTCAACAACATTTGGTATTGTCAGACTTTAATATTTTTGTCAATCTGGTTGGTATAAAATGGTATGGTGTGGTGCTTTTTATTTGCATTTCCATGATTACTAATGAGGTTGAGCATCTTTTCACATGTTTATGGGCCATTTACTTTTCCTCTTCTATGAAATTACTATTCAAGCCCTTTGCCCATTTTTCTGTTATGTTGTTTGTCTTTTTCTTATCGAGGTGGAGGAGTTCTCTGCAGTCTGAATACGAATCATTTTTCAGTTATGTGCATTGAAAATATCTCCTCCCAGTGTGTAGTTCTTTACACTTTTTAAAATGGTATCTTTTAACGAACTAATATGGGTTTTAATGTGTCAAATATGTTGATCATTTTCTTTATGGTTTGTGTTTCTTTTGTCTTAAGGAGTCCACTTCTACCCTGAGCTTATACAATTTTTTCTGTATTATATTTATTTTATAGGGTTTTTGTTTTGTTTTGTTTTGTTTTTTGTTTTTGAGATGGAGTCTTGCTCTGTCGCCCAGGCTAGAGTGCAATGGCACCATCTCAGCTCACTGCAACCTCCGCCTCCCGGGTTCCAGCAATTCTCCTGCCTCGGCCTCCCGAATAGCTGGGACTACAGGCACTCACCACCACGCCTGGCTAATGTTTGTATTTTTAGTAGAGACAGGGTGTCACCACGTTGGTCAGGCTGGTCTCAAACTCCTGATTTCAAGTGATCTGCCCACCTTGGCCTCCCAAAGTGCTGAGATTACAGGCATGAGCCACCACGCCCGACCTATAGTTTTACTTCTCATATTTAGGTCTTTAAATCCACTTGACTTATTTTGTGTATGATGTGAGTTGAGTTCTGATTTTTACTATGTGGATAATGAAATATCCCTGCACCATTGATTAGCCCATCCTCTCCCAGCTGAACTGTGTCATGTTCATCGTTTATTAAGTCTCCACATGCATGAGTCTGTTGGAGAGGAGAACTCTCTCCTATGATCCATTGGCCTATAAGTCTATCTCAGTACTGATGTCATACTGTCTTCATTGCTACTGCAACTAATAATACATTTTATAATAAATTTTAATATTGTCCGCAATAAGTCTTAGTATTGTTGAGGAAGTCTCTTTGCTTTATTCCTCTAGAAAAGCATCATAACAGCTGGGCACAGTGGCCTACACCTGTCATCCCAGCACTCTGGGAGGCCGATCACTCGGGCAACATGGCAAAACCCCATCTCTACTAAAAATAGAAAAAAGTAGCCAGGTGTGGTGGCTTGCATCTGTAGTCCCAGCTACTGGGGAGGCTGAGGTGGGAGGATCACCTGAGCCTGGGAAGTCATTGAGGCCGCAGTGAGCGATGATCATGCCACGGCACTCCAGCCTGGGTAATGAGAATGAGACCCTATCTAAAAGAAAGAAAGAAAGAGAGAAAGGGAGAGAGAAAGGGGGGGGGGGAGAGAGAGAGAGATGAAAAAAGAAAGAGAGAAAGAGAGAAAGAAAGAAAGAAAGAAAGAAAGAAAGAAAGAAAGAAAGAAAGAGAAAGAAAGAAAGAGAGAAAGGAAGGAAGGAAGGAAGGAAGGGAAGGAAAGGAAAGGAAAGGAAAGGAAAGGAAAGGAAAGGAAAGGAAAGGAAAGAAAGGAAAGAAAGAAAAGAAAAGAGAAAAAGAGAGGGAGGGAGAGAGAGAGAGAGAAAAAAAAAGCATCAAAGCTTCTCTTGGTCCTTTGCCCTCTTGTTTGATATTTTTATTGGGTTGTTACAGTCTATAGATACATACATTTTTGTATCTTGAGCCTGTAGCCAGAAATCTTGTTGAGCTCTATTATGAGGTCTCCTAGTTTGTCCCTGGCTGGTCTGAGTGCAGTGAT
The DNA here is from genome assembly GCF_000001405.40 of Homo sapiens. Taxonomy (NCBI): domain Eukaryota; kingdom Metazoa; phylum Chordata; class Mammalia; order Primates; family Hominidae; genus Homo; species Homo sapiens. The sequence goes on from NC_000008.11 coordinate 41,803,370, forward strand.
GTTTACAACTAATTGGTCACATTCAGTTACAGATTTATTTGTTCCTTCTCCATTCCCACTGCTTCACTTGACTAGCCTTCAAAAAAATTGACCATGATTCTCTTTGATTTTTCTCTGTAGACAATTATTATTCACAAATCAGGACATTTTGTTCTCTTCTTTTACAGTTTTTGCACCCCTTCTTTGCTTTTCTTGCTCTATTACATTGGGTAAGATATCCAATATATTTTTGAACGGAAACAGTGATAGCATGTTTATCTAGTTGCTGACTTAAATGGAGCTGCTTTTAAAGTTTTACCATTAAGTATAATGTTTATGTAAGACTTTTGTGAATATCTTTTTATTAGTTAAGGAAGTTAGCTTCTAGTCTCAGTTTATTAAAATTTTAATCATGAATGAATGTTGAAATCCAAATTTTTCTTTTCCTTTTTTGTGAAGGTGGTACATTGCATTAATAGATTTTTCTAATGCTAAACTATCCTTCCATTTTTGGGTTAAACCCTTCTTGGTCGTAATGAATTACTTGTAATATAGCACCATTGAATTAGAGTTGTGGAATTTTCTACAGGATTTTTGCACCTATATATTCATAAGTTATATTGGTTATTTTAATTTGCTACTGCTGCATAACAAAGTAGCCCCCAATTGTGCTGATTAAAATACGTAAATTTAGTATTTCAGAGTTTCTGTGGGTTGGGAATTCAGGGGCAGCTCATCTGGGTGGTACTGGCACAGTGTCTCTCAGGAAGTTGCCATCAAGATGTCAGCTGGGGATGCAGTCATCTGAAGGCCCAACTAGGGCTGGGATTCACTTCCAAGATCCTCAGATGGCTGCTGGCAGAAGCTCTCAGCTCCTCACCTCATGGACCTCCCATAGGGCTGCCAACCATCCTCTTACACTGCAGCTAGCTTTTCCCAGGGTGACCCAAGAGAGAAGGCAGAAGCCACGAGGCTGTCATGGCCTAGTCTAGACATCACATATCATCACTTCTGCCACATTCTATTTGCTAGAAGCAAATCACTAAACCAGCCCACCCTCAACAGCAGGGAAATTGTCAAAGGGAAGTATATCGAAGAATGTGTACATATTTAAAACCCCCACATGGCCTATCATTTTCTTTTCCTAAATTGTCTCCAGTTTTAGTATCATATCATACTAAACTCATAAGGTGAGTTGGCTGGCTTCTCTCCCTGGCTATGAGAGGGATTAATTAATTGCCCGCAAAATAATCTGGTCTTTTTCAATGAGAGGGTAACTATGGGAGGGAGATTACTGATTTACTTTATTTCATGTTAAATGTTTGCTCAGGCTACCAGTTTAGGAGATCAATATTTTTAGAACATATTCCAGATTCTGAAAACTTGATTCTCATTCGCTTAAACTTTACACATCTCCATCTGCTTGGCACTGGCTTAGAGTGCTGCGAAATTCCCACATTCCGGCAAAACACGGTGAAAACAGAGAAGTGACCTCAGTCATTTTAAAAAGTCAGCATGAAGAGTGGGGAAACTAAAAGCTTTAAAAGGTTAAACAACAGATGCTTAATTAATTTTTTAAAAATTCAAGGGTAAACTCCCACTCATTCCGGTAAACTTAGAGAATAGTGTTGAATGGAACTCAAACTTTTTTATCTCGGGACCCTTTTACAGTAAAAAATATTAAGGATCCCATAGAGCTGTTTCTTTCTTTCTCTCTGTGTGTGTGTGTGTGTGTCGTGTGTGTGTGTGTGTTTCTCTCTCTCATAGAGCTCTTTCTCTCTTTCTTTCTCTCTCTCTCATAGAGCTCTTTCTCTCTCTCTCTTTCTTTCTTTCTTTCTCTCTCTCTGTCCCTCTTTTTGTCTCTCTCTCTCTCTCTGTCTCTCTCTCTTTGTCTCTTTCTCTCTCTCTCTCTCTCTCTGATTCTTGCTCTGTCACCCAGGTAGGGGCACATTGTTACAATCATGGCTTGCTACAGTCTAGAACTTCTGAGCTCAAGCAATCCTCCCACCTCAGCCTCGAAGTAGCTGGGACTACAGGTTTGTGCCACTGTACCCAGCTAATTTTTTTAATTTAGTTTTTGTAGAGACAGGATCTCACTATGTTGCCCAGGCTGGTCTTGAACTCGTGGGCTCAAGCGATCCTCCTGATTCAGCTTCCCCGAGTACTAAGATTACAAGCATGAGCCACTCCACTCAGTCCCATAGAGCTTTTTCTTAAATGTGACTTATATCTAGCAATATTTACTATATCAGAAATTAAAACTGAGAGTTTCTAAAACTATGTATATATTAATTCATTTGAACATAGCATAATAAACCAATTTCACATTAATACAGACAACATATTTTTCTGAAAAATAACTATATTTTCCAAAAACAAATCAGTGCAAAGAGGGTCACTACTTTCCATTTTTGCAAATCTGTTTAACATCTGGCTTAAGAAAAAAACAGATACGTTCCCATATTGCCATCTACATCAATGTGGTGGAATAGGTTGTGTCAGTTGAGGTATGTGAAGATCTGGCTTCGCTTGGATATGTAGTTGGAAAAAGGAGGAGTATTTTAATAGCCTTTTCATTTAATTGTGAAATTCTTTTTGTATACTACATAAAAACTCAACAAGTAATTTCTTAAAGGCTGGTTACAGAGTGGAATCACAAAGAATATTAATGAGCTTTTCATATCCTTTACACTTGCAAGAGAGGGAAAGTGAAAAAGTCCAATAACATTGCTGTATTATGAAGAATTTTGACCCTAGAACCCCTTGAAAGGGTCTTTGGGGAGCTCCCTGGGTCCCCAGGCTACACTTTGAAACTGGAAGTTTAGGCACTCAAATATACCTTGACGTTAAGCTATTTTTAAAAATCACAGAACCAGAGTATGATAGACTGGACAAGAACTCAGTGAGTGGTGGGGCCCATGTCCTCATTTTGAGAATAAAATGGCAGCCCAGGGAGACAACACAATTTGTCCAGGATCTTTCCAGAGCAGAGTTCATGCATGCCCTGTTCTTTCCACTACTGTGTATAAAAAGGAGCAAGATAAAGGGAAAAAAGGAGGAAAAAGATAATATAAAAGCAGCACAGGCCAGGTGCAGTTGTTCATGTCGGTAATCCCAGCACTTTCAGAGGCCAAGGAGGGAAGATCACTTGAGGTCAGGAGTTCAAGACCAGCCTGGGCAACATGGCGAAACCCTGTCTCTACTAAAAATACAAAAATTAGCTGGGTGTGATGGCACCTGTAATCCCAGCTATTCGGGAAACAGGAGAATTGCTCGAGCCTGGGAGTTAGAGGCTGCAGTGAACCATGATGGTTTGAGCCTGGAAGTTCAAGGCTACAGTGAGCTATGATGGTGCCACTGCACTCCAGCCTTGGCAACAGAGCTAGACTCTGTCTCAAAAGAAAAAAGCAACACAATGTTGTAAGAGCAGATTGTGACAGGCTCCACTCTCGATGGTTTTCCATGACGATTGTCCAGTTTATAGATGTCTTGTCCTCAGAAATCCCTGGTTATGCCTGCATTGGATCATGCTGTTGCTGCTAACAGTTTTACCATCCACAGATGTGAGAAAAATAGGGGAAAAAGTAAATCCATAAAATTATACTTCTTATCCTTATAAGAGGAGGGATGGAAGAATTAGATACTTTACAATAATGCTAATAATTAACATTTATTAAAATTTATTAAGCACTTACTATGTTCTCATTCATTCATTTGTTCATCATTCATTTATTCACTCATCCATCTTTCTCGTAATATTTACCAAGCACCTATTATGTGCCAGTCATACTACTAGGTATGCAATGGGTAAAGAAAACAGACACGGTCTAGAGTTTTGCATTGTTATTCACTCATGACTCCAGCAATCTGATGGGGCAGGCACTGTGGTAACCCCCATGTTACTCATCAGATGACCGAGGCAAGAGAGGTGCTTACCAAGGTCACAGAACCAGTGAGAAATGGAGACTTCAATCCAAGTCTCATGCTTAACCATGACACTATATTGCCTCCCAGATAAGACTCTAACGTGGCTTTGAGTCACTTATAGTTTATTTATGTTAATTTATACTCCCTTCAAGTCCAGCATTGGAAACAGAGAGTCCGTACTGCCCTGTCTGTCGTGGCCCTTTCACCTTCTTCCTGTGAATAGCTGGCCCAACATCACACCTTGTATCTGTAAGCAGGACTATCCCTAGGAGTTGACAGGAAATGGCATTGAAGAGGGGGTGGTGTACTAGATGGATCACACGGTGCTGGTGGTGGCAGTGGTCATGATGAAGAGGACACTGATGAGGCCGGGCGGTATCACATAAAATCTCTGATCCCCTCTAAGTGCTCTTGAGATAATATTTGAAATCTTAGGGCATTGACTTCCTCTCTCGTTTTTAAATCTGAGAGTAAAATACTAGTGTTCAAAGGACGCTAGTTGAAGAAAGCCAGATCATGTCTCCAAAACTTCCCTCTCTCCAAGCATCTACAAGGGGGAGCCAAAGAAGGGAGTGGGAAGGAGAACTGGGTTTCTCTCTACAAAGAGGAGGAGGAGAGGAGAAAGAGAGGAAGGGGGACAAAAGAAGGGGGAAGGAGGAGGGAGGGGAAGAGGAGGAGGGGAAGAGGAGGAGGGGAGGAGGAGGAGGAAGAAGAGAGGATGATGAAAGAGGAAGAGGAAGAGAAGGACTCCTTCTGGAGACTGTGCCTGGCCAGCCCCAAGGTCGGCAGCCCTCTGCTCTAAGGCCAGACCCAGAAAGGGTCTTCTCTGCAGAGCATGCCAGAGCCAGGGACACCCCACCTCCTCTATGAGTGCAGCACCCTGGGGCTACCTGCTGCACCAACTCAGACAGCTCTGGCCCACCATTGCAGACCCACCATGCAATTTCTGATCACACCCAAGCTCCCATGGGGTTGTTTCAATTCCAGAGCAACTTTTCCTGACAGCTCCTTGTCTAGAGAAAAGCACTGGAGTAAGATGGTCTCAGTCCTGGGTGAGCCTTTGTTACTTAGGCCATGGAACCTGGGACATGCCACTTACCTGTTGTAAGTAAGGCACAGTGCCTCAAGCCTGTAATCCCAGCACTTTGGGAGGTCGAAGCGGGTGGATCACTTGAGGTCAGGAATTCGAGACCAGCCTGACCAACATAGTGAAACTCCATCTCTATTAAAAATATAAAAATTAGCCAGGTGTGGTGGCGGCCACCTGTAATCCCAGCTACTTGGGAGTCTGAGGCAGGAGAATCAAGTGAACCCAGGAGGCGGAGGTTGCAGTGAGTCAATATCGTGCCCACTGCACTCCAGCTTGGGTGACAGAGCGAGACTCTGTCTAAAAAAATAATAATAATAATAAATAAAAATGAAAATAAGAATGTTTGCTGTTTCATTTAACCCACCCCCTACTGCTGCACACAGATGCTTCCTAAATTTTTTTTGCTAATTTAAACGTTACAGTTAAGATTTTGTGCTCTTGAATGTGACTATTTCCTTAAGATCTTTCCCAGATAATTTTCTAGACTGCCTGAAGTCACAGCTTATGAACATTTCTGAGGCCTTATTGGGCATTATAGATTTTCCAACCAGAAAATGAGTGTTTCTCTGCACCGTGCTGGCAAAGGGTATTTGTTGTTATTATGTTTTAACTTTTTGCTATAGGATTATCATCCCCACTAGTCACCCAGCTGCATGACTGCCCTGCAAGTCTTGTTCTTGCCTTTGGATGGCCAGACCCAGGTGACCACACAAATGTGGTTCATCCAGGGCTCACACTTCCCCAGGTGACTCTCCTTAACTGGGGAGTCGTTCTTAATCTCCACTTTGATCTCATGCCTTACGGGTCTTTTTTGTACATGTTACTGAGTTAAGGGCATGACCACCTTACACATGCTGGCTTAGCCAAGATTTATTTAGCTAATTATCCCAATCCTTTGAGGATCTGTAAAACAAACACTACATCTACACCAAATGCGCAGCTCTGTGAAAACTTCCAAGCCAGCAGGAGGTTTCCATCTTATAATCATCATAGAAATAACGTGGAGCAATTAGCAAACGCGTCAACATGCACTATGGTGTGTGATACTCAAAACCATGCTGGAGTTTCAATTATCATGAAAAATTGTTATTATTCCTGTTTTACAAAGGGAGAAATTGGGGCTGGGCATGGTGGCTCACGCCTGTCACCCCAGCTACTTTGAGAGCCAAGGTAGGAGGATCACTTGAGCCCAGAAGTTCAAGACCAGCCTGGGCAACATAGCAAGACCCCACCTGTACAAAAAATTTTTTAAATTAGCCAGGCATGAGGGTGCATGCCTGTAGCCCCAGCTATTCGGGAGGCTGAGGCAGGAGGGTCGCTTGAGCCCAGGAGGTCAGGCTGTAGTGAGCTATGATCGTACCACCACACTTCAACCCGAGTGACAGAGTGAGACCCCACCTCTAAAACAAAATAAAAATAGGGAAGAATTGAAACTCAGAAAATCAAACTGCACTGCCCATGATCCTACAGCTAATTACTGACTGAGGCTGGAATCCATTCTTCTGACTAAACCCCAGATGCTCTGCCTCTCCTACTTTGTGAAAGTAATCAGTCCTGTTGTTTCAGGTTAACTGACGGCTGGTGGTCTCCCACCGTCATGTTACCGTGAGCCACGGGGATCCACAGATGTGGGAAGGGCGTGTTATATGCAGGCAGTGGGGAGGGGGGACAGGGAGAGAGACTGAAGGAGAATTTCGCTTCAGGTTCCCCTAAATTCCATCTTTACCCCTGACCTGCTGATTATAAAGTTTAAAACATTAAAACATCCTGCTGAAGGGTCATTCTCCAACCTGAAGGGCATTTAGACACCCAAACTCTTTCCATTTCTGCTTTCAGATCTGGGCGAGGTCTGCCTGATTATTCATAGTTTGGCATTTCCTAAATCCAGGTGGCGCTGGGGGAGGAAAGTCCGTCAGACTGACAAATGCTGAATGTGCACAACTTAGCTGAAGAATCAGCGAATCTGCGGTTTCATGTCAGGAGGTATAAAGATTGGAGGCTATTTTATATTTCCCCCCAAAAGAGGGAAATCTTGGGCAATGGCCACTCCAGCTTTTTCCTGCACCCCTCAGGCCGTGGATCTGACCTCCACAGAAGGAACGTGTTTCCACGGTGAAGCCATCTGTGGCCCCTCTGCTGAGGCTGCCCTACAGCCGTGCAAAGGCTTTTTAGTGGCTGGCAAACCCACTGTCTGTAAGCAGTGGCTGCAGGTCCATCGGGCCACACAGGAGCAGAGCATCTCTGAGTCATCCAGAGTGGAGCCTCTCTTCTGGCGTCCCTGACGGGCCTTCCAGAGCAACGTGCCGCCGAAGCGTAATAGCCCGATGGGTTCATCTTGCCCGCTGCCCAGAAAGCCAAAAGCGCGGAGAACAGGCACTGCCCCAAAGTAAGGGCCTCATGACCACAGGGCCGGGAGAGCCAGGAGAACAGGAGAAACTTCCCACACCTGTCTCCCCGGGAATTCGGAGGCCAGGGTGTTTTAAGGGTACTTTGGCAGGCAGAGGCTGGGAAACTGAAACAATGGATGGCATCACAGAGGTGCCTAAAATCGTCTTCACGCAGGTGCGTCAGTTCGCGGGTGCGGGTCTCAGGACCAGGTGGCGGTTCTTGGTCTGCAGAAATGCTAAATCTGAAAAAATATCTCAAAGGCCCCTTCTTTAGGTTTCACAGTAGTGATGTTATCTCTAGGGATAGTCAGAGAAGTTATAAATCTTGCCTGCCCTGGTTACATGACTCTGGGGCAGTACACAATTTATAGAAAAACAAGCTAAGCATGGCAGCTCATTGTTTAACTCTGCCTATCCTTTAGCAAAGCTCAAGCCGCTACCATAATTCAAACCTTGTTTCATGAATGCAGCTTCAATCTCTGAGGAAGGGAGCGGGGGTTTCAGTTTTTCTTGCTTCAAAGTTTAATTATAAACTAAATTCCTCTCATAGTTATCTTGGCCTCCATTCCAGAATAAGCAAAAAACAAAACAAGAAACAAGTTAGCCTATGAGATTAGAAGCAAGATGGAGTCAGTCACGTTAGCTTTCTCTCATTACTTAGAATTCTGCAAAGGCGGTTTCAGAAGACTCGGAAGTCCCTCCTCACACAGGAGCTGCCATTGCCCCGCGACTCCCACCTTCCGCTTCCACTTCTGCCCATCAGCCCCATTCGGAATAAACCCACCGCCTTCCCCCTCAGTCTTCATCCACTCTTAGGGATGGCACTGCCCTCCCTGGCTCAGACTGCCCTCTCCAGGCCACAGGCCAGACCCTTCCACCAGTCTTTGTGCTGCAGAGACCAGAGCACGGAACCTCCCAAACCTCAGTGTGTTCAACTGCACAGTGGGACTGCCAATAGTGTCCACCTGACAGGGATGCTGTGAGGACTCCGTGAGGTTATGCCGGTGCAATGTTCAACACAGTGCCCACACGTGGTATGTGCTCAGTACATGTAGCTATTGTTATTATTATTATTGTTAATTTCTCTGACTATACTTTTAGTTTGTCCATGTTTCTCAAGATCTTTCAGAGGTGGTGATGACATACCTGTATATGTCCTAACACAAGACAAAGAGCAATTATAGCCTCCATTCATCTGAATATTTAATGATCCAGCTCCCTGAGAGTTAAATGAAGCTGCTTGCTATGTCTGCAGGCAACTGTAAACTGGAATGTTAATCAGTACATGGCCAGGGATGGGGCCCAGCAGCACATCACTAAAGCTCTCCCTTGGGGCTGATATTAATTCATCAAGTAACCCACTTAATGTATAGTTGTTCCATGAGTTCCAAATCACTTCGTTATCATCATCCAACCCAAATATCTTCATTTTCCTTCACTTTGTCTGCAGGGGAGCAAAAATGGCTTCTCTCCACTGTTCTAAGTTCTTTGGCTGTGCTACAAATTAAGTTGACATAATACAGATGAACAGGGAGAAAACCATAATTATATACATAATTATATATATGGGAGTCCCACAAAATATGAGACTCAAAGAAGGGTCAGATGTTTGAAGCTGATAGAGTGTCCTAAGCTGTAGAAAGGAAGAAGGGCCTGGGGCCTCCAGGAGGAGGCAGTGGCCAGCCATGGAAGGTCAACGGAGGAAATGCATGGTCAGCAAAGGCTGTCCTGCTATGCAGATAAAAAGTAAAAGTTGTCTAGAGCAGTCCTCTTCCTGATAAAGATACTTTCATTACTGTAGGTTTCTTTCATAGATGTAGATTTCCTTGACAAAAAGACAGCTTCTTAGAGCTACTCTTGTGTCTGCAGTTTCTTAGAATAACCAGCATGAAATATACCAGAGAATAGCGGTCCCCAAGCTTTTTGGCACCAGGGACCAGTTTTGTGGAAGACAGTATTTCCACGGACCGGAGGTGGTGGGATGGTTTCAGGATGAAACTGTTCCACCTCAGATCATCAGACATTAGTTAAATTATAAGGAGTGCGCAACCTAGATCCCTCTCATGCACAGCTCACAATGGGGTTAACACTCCTATGAGAATCTGATGCATTCGCTGACCTGACAGGAGGCGGAGCTCAGGCAGCAATGCTTCCTGGCTCATTGCTCACTTCCTGCTGTGCGGCCTGGTTCCTAACAGGCCCCGGACAGGCTGAAACTCTCCCAAGAAGTTTTTAAGTCCAGAAACTGAGTTGGTAGTTTGTCCAATAACCCACCAAAGCGTCATTTCTATGGCAACAAAAGAAAAATATAAGTTAATAACTGGAGCAGAGAATAAACCAAATTTCTAAGTCTGAAGGGCAGCCAGTTGAGAAAATGTCTAGATTGTGGGTTATAACGAAGCACATTTTGCAGTTTGAATGTCTCTGGCGATCTAAGTGGCCCACAGGGCAATAGGCACAAAGGTTATCCATACACAGCATGTTGTGGCGATTTCTCCAAAGTTCACATCAGGTCATCTGGCTTCAGCTTGCGGGGCTTCTGGAAAAGGACAGCTTTTGTTTTTAGTGATTCCAAGTCAGAAAGGTGGGAGAAATTCTGAAATGTTAGCTTGTAGAGTCATAGCCAGATATTAAGAAAATTCAGGTTCCAGTACAGTTTAGAGGTAGATAAACATCTCAAGAAACATGAAGGCCAGAATATAATAACAGGTACCCTATAGTTTCTACTGAAACATGGATTTTCTTACAGTCACCCCCAATTTTACCAAAGGTAATTACAGTAAGACTAATATATCTGCAAAATAACTTTAGTCTTCTGAAACTTGGCCTGAGCATTTACAAAAGTGCAGCAAGAATGGTGATTGATCATATAAGCTCTTTGAAGTCTGTTTTGCTAGAACTTTTAATAGGGAATCTCAGATTGGACTTTTAAAATCCTATTAAGGTTAGGAAGCCAAGCAAAGGACTCATCATCAAACTTCGTCTGTAATACCTGTAGATTGGGGTGAATTCCTCTCTTTTCAAGATCCCTAAAATATTCTGAGGTTCCTGGGCCTGCCAAGAAGTGACATTCCTTACCCACCTTTAATGTAACAATATGAACTATGTATTCAAGGTACCACATCAGTTGTTTGTTTTTCCAAGGGCTTCATTGGCTCCATAAAGTCAACCTTAGTTCCTTAAAGTTGTCTGGCATATTATAAAATGTGACATTCCAGTCAAAGCATTGGTAACATAATCAGTGTTTTCAATTGTGTCCTGTTACAAGAACAGATTCTTATTACACTTATGCAAATAACTATACTGCCATTTTAAAAAATTCATAGAGGCCGGGCGTGGCGGCTCATGCCTGTAATCCCAGCACTTTGGGAGGCCGAGGCAGGTGGATCACGAGGTCAGGAGTTCAAGACCAGCCTGGCCAACATGGTGAAACCCTGTCTCTACTAAAAATACAAAAATTAGCCGGGCGTGGTGGCAGGCACCTGTAGTCCCAGCTACTCAGGAGGCTGAGGCAGGAGAATGGCGTGAACCCAGGAGGCGGAGCTTGCAGTGAGCTGAGATTGTGCCACTGCACTCCAGCTTGGGCAACAGAGCAAGACTCCATCTCAAAAAAAAAAAAAAAAAGTATCCTCCTGGGCTCATTCATTTGCATGTAATTAGTTCTTATTCTGCTTCATGTTATTAGCAGTTTCATGAATCCATCAGTTTCCTTATTAGAATTCTGGAGATTACTATGCAGTCTGGTGGTATGATCATAAAGTTATCAGAAACCTGTATTCCAAAATATTTGTCAGAGTGTTTTCCATGAATCTCCTTAAAGAAGCTTTTAGAGAATTAAAGTAAAACAATAAATGGATGACAAAGACTTAAAATAGCCATGGTTAAAGATCGGATGAGATTTCATTATAATAATGATGCACCTGACAAGCTATTTATTTATTTTTATTTTTTTATTTTTTATTTTTAGATTCTTATTTTTTTTTATTATTCATTTTATTTCCATGGCAAACAACATCTTAAAATAATAACTAGAATCATGACTGATTTATCGGAACTTAGCAGATTTCTAGGAATTGCATGTAATAACGTATATCCACATAACTCAAAGAAGGTTAAACATCATTTCCTACTTGATAATGCTTTCCATGCCAATGTAACATAAAATAAGGCCAATTAGCTTAGTAGGTATGTTTTATAAGAAGACAGAACAATTTGCTTTTGAAAACTTCCAGGGGCCCATCTGAGAAATCCCGAAGTTATTTCGAGATCAAAAAGATTTAACTTTGAATTTGATTTTGGAAAGTACCAATATCAAAAGGTTTAAACATTTGATTAAATAGGATCACAGATCATTATGAAGTAAAATCAAAGTGACATGAGATCTTAAAGGCAAATATTAAAGGCTTACATAATCATAAAAAGCCTTAACTCTTTTAATATTGAGAGACTCAGTTTTCTTAAGTAATCAAAGACCTAATAATGAAAACATGAAGCACAGGAAATTATTTTGATAAAACACAGAATCCTCTTTTTTTTAAGGCAGATCACTCAAAAGGTGGAAAAAAAATTTCACTATCTCTTATTAAGACTACAAAACACCCTTGTTGTTAGAAGAGAAGACTAAATTCTAGTTTTGCATCAGTGTACTTTTGATATTAAGACTCATTTTAAAAACCGTTATAATAAATGTATTCCATTTTAGTCAGTTTGACCCTATAGGATCCCTCTTGCTCTCTTTCTTCCCAACTTCATGTCCATTCAGTTTTCCCCCATCTTTCCTTCTTTCATTTTGAAACAACCTTTTGATAACCTCTAAACTAGACAAAGTTATTTTCCCTCTACAAAAAAAACCTCATACCTTATAACAACTTACTTTCCTTGTATACTTTCTATGCAGAATTGTTTTTCTTATCATTTACAGTAGTTTTAATTATGTTATTAGAATTTTAAGACTTAGTAACCCTAATTTCCAGTGAAAACCTAGGAAGCAAGCAATTTTGAACTGTCACATAACATTTGATGACTGCATATTTCATCATTTCTAGAAATATATGCTTCCTCATAGAATACTTTTTCAATGTGGAACAGGAAATATTTACTAACCCAAGTATATTTTGTCTCTATAAAATTTAAGAACCCAAAGGTAAATAAATTTATGTTCACCAGTTAATGTTTCAGTACTTTATCTTATTTGGAAATAAACTAGACATTCGATGAAGATATCGAAGGGTATACTTACCAAAGAGATTGGGAAACCTTTTTAAACAGACATATTATAAAACATTATTACTGTTTAAAAGTCCATTTATAAACCTTTATCGCTCTTACATCTGTGTAATTCACTTGTTCTTAACAATTATGTTTGGATTATTCATAAAAATTAAATAAGACATTAGATAAAGCTAGCCATCATTTCACGCTATTTCCATTAACTATTTTCATAGCACCTGCATGTTATGAGAGTCACAAAAGCAAGAACATAAAAAGTTAAATAATTGGACTTTTGTCTTACTGATGTGATTGATATACACACAGTAATGGACACTGCAGTTTTACTTGCACAGTTGCTCTTAGGTTGAACCCATAGTCTTACGATTTTAAACATCTAAGAGATGAAAATTTGGTTGCATTATATTTAATGCTAACAATTCTGAAGACTTGCCTGTTTTAATTAAACAAATAATATTCTTTTTTTTCTTATTTAGAGATAAGGTCTTGCTCTGTCACCCAGGCTGGAGTGCAGTGGTGCAATCATAGCTCACTACAACCTCGAACTTCTGGGCTCAAGGGATCCTCCCACCTCAGCCTCCCAAGTAGCTGGGATGCACCACCCCACCCAGCTAATTTTTTATTTTTTGTAGACACAGGGTTCTTGCTATGTTGCCCAGGCTGGTCTTGCCCTTCTGACCTCAAGCAGTCCTCCCACCTAAGCGTCCCAAAGTGTTGGGATTACAGGCATGAGCCACCAGGTCTGGCCAATAATATTCTTATTTACCAAATTTTATCGGTTACATGAAGTTGAAAAGCACTTTGGTTAATTTCTCTTTTTCTGAGAGAACAATTTTTATAAACACTTATTTTTCTTTAAGCCAATTAAATAGACCTTATCCAGAGATAGAAAATATCACATTACATGACATACATACATACTTAGACATACATAACCATATAGATAGAAACAGATCTTACTAAATTTTAACCATGTGCCAGATACAATAATTCAAAACTCACTTATAAGAGAATAGCTGGATCTGGCAAATGGGACCAGTGAAGTTTCCCTGCTCAGGTGGCTCATGCTTTTGTACTCAAGACTTGTCATTTGCCAGTTTCCAAATAGTTTCTTTTTTTTTTTTCTTTTTAACCTGAGAATCATCTCCCTGAAGTTTGCACTTCAAGAAGGATCTTGATAAGATCTTAGATAAGACAGGTTAGAAAATTTACATCTCAAAAGCACAGAGAAAGAATTCAAGTTTTCAACAGGAAGGAGTTTTGGGGGGCACATTTGCCTATTATCAGAAGTCTAGGATAAATCTATTAAAACTTTTCCTTCTTTTTCTTAAATGCAAGACACTTTTGTTTCCAGTGTTCTGATTTGCTGAAGTTTTTGCAAACATCTTGAGATGAACAGGTGAGGTTTGGGTACTGGTAAGAAGGCTAGGTGGGCTTTGAATTGCTTCCAGAGGCACATTCCTGCTGTGATAAAGCCTCAATGTGTAAGACGAGGACAGTTGTTTTTAATTCCCCTAAGAACTGGGTTGCAGCCTGAATGTCAAGGTGCTGACCCATCCATCCGATCTTCAGTTTGCTCCTTTATATCAAGAAGCAGATTTCCAACTAGGATGGAAACCAAAATATTCCTCTGTTCTAGAGTTAGAGCTATTTGTCTAGAAAAGTTTTAATAAACTGTTTTCTTTCTTTCTGAGTACACAGTTCCATTTTAGCTTAGGAGGGAAGAGCTAAAGGAAAAAATTCCTATCATGCTTTATATAAACCAAAGCTCTAAACCGAAGATATACCTAACAAGTGACTCAAGACCAAAACAAACATGCTTTTCACCACTGAACCATGAATGCATGAGGCATCTCCAAAGAGAGACAAAAAAGATGCAGCCCTTTCACAATCCAGGGCCACTCCCAAAGACAGCCACGGAGAGAAACCCTGAGACGATGCTCCTGAGAAGTGGCAAGAGTTGGTGTGCCAGCTGCCAATGGGCTGCACCCATGTTTCTGTCCGGCCACATTCTTGGAGATTTCCAACCTTTTGGATGGCCACCTGCACATACAGGCCCAATAACCCACGTGCCCCCGCTGGCTGCAAAGTCAAACAAAGTTCTTGGGGAAGAAAAAATAAAAGAAGACGTATAGGAAAGCAATAACTATCCACGGGAGGGAAAGGGTTAATAACTAATGGGTACCCCAACACCAAGACTCAATTCAAACCCATTCCTACAAATGTTTCCCGCCTGAGCTAATGGAATTTACTGAGAAAATGGAGATTTGGAGGAGTAAAGTTTTAAATCAGGGGCCCAGAGCTCCAGAGTTCTTCCAGAGGGTCAGGACCAGGGAGTTGTGGATATAAGAGAGCACAGAAGAGGAATTTAGGCCAAATTTAAACAATTTTAACTTGGTTCTAAACTTGATTTCTGCTTTTAATCTTGCTAAAGGGGCCCTAAAGCTAATCATTAAATCCATTATGTCTTCTTTTCAGTTGGATTATACCATAGGTATCAGTAATACAGTTGTTTAGGATGTGAGCTCTCTAAAAATTTTTTCAAATATAGCCAATTTATTTATCCCAGAGGTAGTGACTCAAACCAATAAGTCTTTCTTTCTTTCTTTCTTTCTTTCCTTCTCTTTCCCTTTCTTTCTCTCTCTCTTTTTCTTTCTTCTTTCTTTCTTTCTTTCCTTCTTTCTTCTTTTTCCTTTCTCACTATATTGCCCAGGCTGGTCTTGAACTCGTGGGTTTCAGCAATCCTCCTGCCTCTGCCTCCCTAAATGCTAGTGAGAGAGGAGAATGGAAAAAACCTGGTCAGGCAGGCAATTAAAGTGTGTCCTTGGTTGAATTCTTTCAAACAAAAGAACAGTCCACAGGCACAGATAAGGGATTGTGCACAGCGGGGCTTGCCTAAGACACGCCCACAGCTGCACAGATAAGAAAGCCTACACAGGTAACTTGCCCAGACATGCCGGCAATGGAAAATTCTGTTCCCTAACATATGCACAGTAAAGGTAACAAAGCAATATGGAGTAACTCAAGCTAAGGGCCCGCATGCACACTAGAAGGACAGGGTAGATCTACCAGCCTCATTGATGCCCAGACCTCACTGGTTTCTCATAAATAAGCCTTTGCATTCAACTGTAAAAACAGCAACCCTCTTCTGGGTCCCCTCTCCACAGCAGAGAGCTTTCTTCTTTCATTTGTTAAACTTTTGCTCCAACCTCACCCTCGGTGTCCACGCTTCTTAAATTTCTTGGTCGGGAGACAAAGGACTTCAGGTACTACCTCAGGCAATGAGAGACTGCTACACTGTGGTGCACTGTCGAGACTGTAACACTAGGATTACAGGCTGAGCCACCCCACTCAGCTCCAATAAGTCTTTTCAAAGAAAGACCCAGAGGTAACTTGCAGGTTTAGAAAGTAGGCAGAGAAGATGCAGCTCCCAATGATTGAAGAGTTCATTCCCACAGACAGACGAAGAAAGCTAAGACCTTCATTGCCACAGGTGGAAGGGATAGTGTTTGTGAAAATGGTGCCTCCAGCCTCCCTTGGACACATGGGGAACCTCCAGGCACCAGCCTGTCAATCTATGATGCCAGGCAGGACCTACTGGGATTGGACTTTCCCAGCGCTAACCAAGCAATCAAAGGTTGGGATGACAAAAGCCCTTAAGAACTGGGACCTCTGAAGACAAACTCCCCTGAAAGCAGGCACAGTCACAGAGAGAACGCTGCTTATGGCTTGCGACTTGGGCTCCCAGCCTACTTCACTGGCCTCCTGACACAAGCTGACACATGCACCCCAGCCTGGCAGAGGCCAGAGAGTATTCTCACTGATCAAAAATACAGGATCTCACAACATAAAACAAGCTGGAAGGAGAATCTCATCCATTTTCTTCTGTCTCAGGGACACACAGCAAAGTTCGTCTAAACAGACACCAATATGGTGAGAATCATGAACTCAGCAGCCTGTGAGGCCAGCTCAAACCACTGGCTTATGTAGGGCCCATGCCACTGATCCCGCCCTGGGAGTCTCCTCCTTATGACACATGACACAAAAGACACAGGCAGGAAAACAATGACCATCTCTGGGAGGGAGAGAGTCAGAAAATAAAAATACTCATACTCCCCCAAAACATCAGAGTTGCTCCACAGGAACTAATTCACACACGTTTTCTAATTTAAATTTAGATCTCACCTTTTTTTTTTTAGATGGGGTCTCACTCTGTCACCCAGGCTGGAATGCAATGGTACAATCATTGCTTACTGCAGCCTCAAACTCCTGGACTCAAGTGATCCTCCTGCCTCAGCCTCCTGAGTAGCTGAGATTGCAGGTGTCCACCACCACACCAAGCTAAATGTGTGTGTGTGTGTGTGTGTGTGTGTGTGTGTGTGTGTGTGTGTGTGTGTGTAGACATGGTCTCCCTATGCTGCTTAGGCTGGTCGCAAACACCTAGTCTCAAGCAATCCTCCCACCTGGGTCTCCCAAAGCACTGGGATTACAGGAATAAGCCCCCACACCCAGCCACCACTCTCATTTTGACCACACTCGGCAGGCACAGATCCAGGAGCCTAATTTGGTACAAAATGTTACCTGTGGCCAGTGTTTTCTCAGGGGTCCCAGGATCCTGTAGCTGCAGGGGTCCCAGAGCAAGCTAGTCCCAGCCAGTGATGACCCACACTGGGTACCAACTGTAGGGAAGCAAAACAGGGCTTTCCCCACCTTCTAGGTCCTTTGGCTGGGATAGGAATTAAATTGACATAAACCAGATTAACAGGAGAAAAACCATGTTTAATTGCATATGTACACACGAGAGTCCCACAAAATATGAGACTTGATGAAGGGTCACATTATTAAAGCTGATACGGCATCCTGAGCTACACAAAGGAAGAGGGGCCGGGGCTGCAGAGAGGTGGTGACCACCAGTGGGAGGGCGAGGGGAGGAAATGTATGATGAACAAAAGCTATCTTGCTGGGCAGACAAAAAGTCCCTTGGGCAATAAAAGTTGTCTGGAGCAACTCTCTCCCTGATATAGACAATTTTACTAACGTAGATTTCCTTTACAGATGCAAATTTCTTTAACAAAGCAACAGCTTTTCAGTGCTACTCCTGTGTCTGCAGTTTCTCAGAATAACCAACTCGAAATATGCTACAGAAGTATATTTGGGGGTGGCATATTCTGGTCTCCTAAGGTCATATTTTAGGGTGCTATGTCCTGAGCCCCATCAGTCTACAAAATCATGAGAGACTTTGTCAATATACAACATATACAAAATAGATAAAAACTTGAAATATGATATCAAAAAATAAATATATATAGGAGTTGTAACATTTTCTTTCCTTGCTAAAAAGGATGGTCTATTTGTTTATATCACTTTGTGGCACTTAGGGAGTACTTTGTTGTACTATAGTTATCTGTGTACGTGGTCATCTCCTTTATTAAAAAGAAAGCTCTTTAGGGGACAGAGATTGCAATATATTTATCACTAGATGTCATTCAACCGTAGGGCTTTAAACAAAATAAGTGCTCAGTAATTACCTGCCAAGTGGACCCTGAACACATGCATGCGTCAAAGGCCATACGAATGAATGACTTCTCCCAATAAGCCATTGTTGAGTATCGTAAAGGAAATGAGTTTAGTTGGCCATGACTTCCTCCTGGTGAACCCATGCTAGCTGCCAGGGAACACTGCTTTTCCCCTAACCAGTGATAAACCATCTGTTTAATAATCAATTCTAACATTTTTTCAGGAATTTGGCCTTATGAAATCTGCTGTCTTGAAAAGTGAGACATTGGCCAGGCGCGGTGGCTTATGCCTGTAATCCCAGCATTTTAGGAGGCCAAGGTGAGTGGATCACCTGAGGTCAGGAGTTGGAGACCAGCCTGGCCAACATAGTGAAACCTCATCTCTACTAAAAATACAAAAATATTAGCCAGGCATGGTGGCGCACTCCTGTAATCCCAGCTACGCCGGAGGCTGAGGCAAGAGAATCGCTTGAACCCAGGAGGCAGAGGTTGCAGTGAGCCGAGATTGTGCCATTGCACTCCAGCCTGGGCCACAGAGTGAGACTCCATCTCAAAAGAAAGAAAGAAAGAGAGAGAGAGAGAGAGAGAGAGAGAGAGAGAGAGAGAGAGAGAGAGAGAAAGAAAGAGAAAGAAAGAGAAAGAAAGAAAGAAAGAAAGAAAGAAAGAAAGAAAGAAAGAAAGAAAGAAAGAAGGAAAGAAAGAAAAGAAAGAAAGAGACAGACATCTACCTGTCTCCAGTTGACCTCTCTAATTTGTCCTGATTTCACCAACATCCCCAAGAGCATCATTGCAACCATATACACGTCCAAGCTCACTCAGCCCAGGATTGGCATAGCTTTGCACTGGAAGACAGCACGCTTGTGTGCTGATGGCTGATTGGGAATGAGGTGGATCCGTTTGGCAGAGTACAATCTCTAAACTTTTAAAACTTCATACTTCTATCAGTAAAAATATTTTTTGAGTAGGTATCTTCAATATACGCATATTAACATATTTTTAAATCATATACCTGTATTATCATGTGCCAATACATGATGTACCATATAAAACATACAACAAAATAGAAATTTTTAAAGGGTGATATTTTTAAAATGTGGATACACAGAAGCTCTAATGACTTCTTTCTGCATCCTTGTACCCTGTACACTGCTGGGTTCAAGGACCCAGGAGACTGCAGGACTTGTGCTTGCAATGAGGATGATGAGCTAATCCCCCGAAGGCCAGAGAGGGTCACAGGCCTCCAGAGCTACTGCCTTGGATCCTTGACCCTGCTACCATCCCACCAACAGGGGCCGCTGGTCACATGGTCAAGAGCCAGCAGTAAGGCTGGATTTGCACCCCTGTACGGGAAGCACAGCACGAGAGCGGGGGCGGTGGAGGGCGATTTGGATGTCAGCCCTGTTTTATCCCAGGCTGATCTGGGGCGCTCCGTGTGTGCCTCGTTCTGGGTAGTCGCTGAGCACCGCTGAGCCTGCCTTGCCAATTTGTGAAACAGGAAAGCTAACGCCTACATGACAGGCTGCTCTGAGCATGAGCGGAGGCAGAAGGGTAAACTTCTGCAATATGGGCAGAGGAGGTGCCCACAAACCTCTGTCTCCTCTCATACACGGCGCATGACCTTTTTATTTATTAGGTGGTATCTGTAAGAAATGAAGTTGCTCAGATCTCATGAAGAGCCTCTGTACTGACGCATGGGAGTATTTTCCTTCTAGCGGGTAGCTGAAGATAGAATTACTTGGAAACACTCTAGGGGGAGAGAAGTGGTTGCTGTAGATAAGAAAGGGAGTGGGAGTGAATGCACAACATTAGAAAAAAACCGCCCAACTTGGAGAAGAAACAGACATATTTACTCAACTTTCCACCCTCCGCTTTTTCTCCAGTGAAGTAATCTTTATATTAGAGATACTTTTCAATGTAGTTGTATTTTCTAAATGTATTATGCAATGTTGAAGACATACAAAAATGAGTAAAGAAAAATAAACACAGGTATCCACTACTCAGCTCAAGAAATAGCACTTTGGGAGGCTGAGGCAGGAGGATCCCTGAAGTCCAGGAGTTTGAGACCAGCCTGGGCAACACAGCAAGACCACGTCTCTACAAAAACTGAAAAAAAAAAATTAGCCGGGCATGGTGGCATGAGTCTGTAGTTCCAGCTACTCAGGAGGTTGAGGTGGGAGGATTGCTTGAGTCTGGGAGTTCAAGGCTGCAGTGAGCTACGATTATGCCACTGTATTCCAGCCTGGGCAACAGAGCAAGACCCTGTCTGAAAATACATTTTAAAATTTTTAAAAATAAAACACTGCCCACACAGTGAAGTCCACTCTCTGCACCTTCTCCACCACCTCCTTCCTAACCCAATATTATTAACTTGGCATTTATCGTTCAAGACACTTCTGTATACTTTTACAACATATATATGTATCCCCAAGTAGCAAATAGTATCTTTTTGAGTATTTTTTGTTTTGTCTTGTTTTGTTTTTGAGACAGAGTCTCGCTCTGTTGCCCAGGCTGGAGTGCAGTGGCATGACCTCGGCTCACTGCAGCCTCCACCTCCCAGATTCAAGCAATTCTCCTGCCTCAGCCTCCTGAGTAGCTGGGATTACAGGTGCACGCCACCATGCCTGGTTAATTTTTGTATTTTTAGTAGAGATGGGATGGGGTTTCACCATGTTGGCCAGGCTGGTCTCAAACTCCTGACCTCAGGTGATCCAACCGCCTCGGCCTCCCAAAGTGCTGGGATTACAAGTGTGAGCCAGCGTGCCCAGCCCTTTTTCAGTATTTTTAAACTTAAAAAGTCTTATAATTATTATTATGACTTTGGGTCATTAACTCACTCATGCAACACATGTTTATAAAGCACCTACTATGTTTGTTGTGCCATGAGTAATCATAACAAAAAGTCTCTTCACTTTCAAGTCCTGGAAACATGTCAGCACAAACTACATTAAAAATGATTCCTTTGCAAATTCATTTTAAGACTTTGCAAATTCTCGCTGCTTTCATGTCACCACTCCTATGGAAACAGAAATTCTATTTCCACAGAAAAGTCACTGTTCTGTGATTAAGCAAAACGGTGGTAGATACCATGATTCAAGGGACAGGGGGGCATTCTATTCTGCATAAAGATGGGTCACGAATTCTAAATAAGTGTCCCCAGAGAAAGCAATCTGGGGCTCTAGGAAAGGTGGAGCCTCTGCCCTGACCCCGCCTTCGCCACTCTTATTTTCTAGACAGCAGAGTTCAGCATAGTGTGGGATTCTCCTGAATCTCATTCAAGGCATCTGGTCAGGAGTGTAGGTGAAAGACCCACTAGCTCCCCGGGATGTGCCTGAGCTCACAGAGCGTGAAGGCAGGGGGTGTGGAGGGCTGGCTGCAGAGCTGGGGCTGGCTGGCTGTAGGGCCTGGCTCTCTTTCCAAGGTTCTAGAGGTGGGGTCCACTCGAGGGTGAAGGGCCCCCATTTCTTGCCTTCCACTGGTCTCAAGTGGCTGGGGCAAAAAAGTGAGCCCAAATTTCACAAGTTACCAACAGAGTAACCTAAAGATGACCCTTCAGTGGCCCCTGAGCGTGGAGGCCACAACGGGAGGGAAGTCCTTGGGGCTGAGCCCGGCTACTTCCAGGTGGAAACAGGAACTTCGGCCGCATTCTGCTCAGGACCCAGAGTCAATGCTGCAGCCACTGCTCGCCCGACTAGGACATTTTTGCTCTTCCAAATGCACTTCCATTCTAGTTTCCTACAACACAGGCTTCTAGCTAAAAAGATTTTGAGCTCATGATGTTACTGTTCTGTGGATTAGGTAAAGAAATGTACTTCTATGAATGTAAATGATCAATACTCTATTAATCTTTCATCACAATTATTAGTAAGCTGCAAAACCTCGCCAGCTCTGTCCCCCCTAGAACTGGCCTTGGGGTCACACTTTCACTTTAATCACACTCTGGCCTCCCATGTCCACCGTACAGTCAGAAGTCGTTTTGGCCACCAACAGTTCAGTGTTTCCGCAAGTCTCTTTGTGGCAACTGCCTCTGAGAACTGTGTCCTGTTGACCAAGCTGAGCTTCTCAGTGAACCACCAGGCCTGAGCTCAACACTTGAAACAAGTCCATTTTCTCCTGGTGGAGACTGCACAGCGTGGTGGGATTTCACCTTACCCTTTGATATGGTTTGGCTGTGTCCCCACCCAAATCTCATCTTGAATTGTAGTTCCCATAATTCCCACATGTTGTGGGAGGGACCCGGTGGGAGGTATTGAATCATGGGGGTGGTTCTTTCCCATGCTGTTCTTGTGATAGTAAATAAGTCTTACGAGATCTGATGGTTCTATAAAGGGGAGTTCCCCTGCACATGTTCTCTTGCCTGCCGCCATGTAAGATGTGCCTTTGCTCTCCTTTGCCTTCTGCCATGATTGTGGGGTCTCCCCAGCCATGTGGAACTGTGAGTCCATTAAACCTCTTTTTCTTAATAAATTACCCAGTCTCGGGTATGTCTTTATTAGCAGCATGAGAACACACTAATACACCCTTGGTCCTGCCCACTAGTGACTTTTTGTAGGCAATTAACAAGCCTTTAGTCCTAATCCAAAGAGGCCTGATGACTTGGGAATGTCAGAACTAGGAAATGTATGCCCCTAGCATCCAATCCTATAGAGGGGAGGGGTCCTTGGTGCCCCCAACCTGCCAGCTGTGAGATTTCTAATCCTCCCTTTGCTGACTGTGCAATTGCCCTATTTTTCTAGAAAAGGCTACTCTGGCCCATTGCTGATTGTCTATGACCCCATGGGGTCTAAGTTACTCACTGTAACTGTCCCCAGAGAAAACAGGCTGGGGCTGTAGGAAAGGTGGGAGCTCTGCCACCTTGATGTAACCTCAGAGCTGGTCCCTTCCTCCTCAGGTCACCATGCTCACTCCTGCTGCCCAGGTCTCAAAGACAGCCTACACCACCCACTCCCTGGCTTAGCACCATCCCCTGCCCTCTGTCTCTGCTGCCTGGGCCTCTGGATTCCCCTGCACCCCAGGCTCACTGTGTGCTGAGCGTCCCACCGTCCCACCAGCACCTCAGCCGGCCCTTCTCCAAATAAGGAACAACATTTTCTTTTCTAGTGATAAGAATAAATCATTTCATTGAAAATAGGAAATACCAAAAAGTAAAAAGAGGAAACTAAAAATCACCCATAATCTATCACATCCTAAACATGATTTACATTTTGATGCATTTGCTTAGTCTTTTTTCTTTGCACATGAATAATACATGTTTTCCCAGAACTGGAATTATACCATGCATAATATTTTGTACCCTTCATTTTTTTTTCTAGCCTTGTCGTAACAATAAACATTCTGCTCTTATCCTTGGATCTCCATGTGAGTTTTCAAATTCCCCTCTCCTCCCCTCCATCCATCTAAATCTTTCCCTGCCTTTAATTCTCCATCCCGTAAAGCCTTGCCTAATAATTCTGGTCTGTATGTATGTTCCTGTCAATATGTTTAGCCTTTGCTGCACAGATTGCATAATTCACTGCTTGATCTATTGTCTTTTCTAATGACTTTGAGAATTGGTTTTCTGTTGCTGGTAATAATATAAGCCCTTAATAATCAGCAACCTTGTCTTACACATAGTAGTGCTCAGTAATATTTGCTGATTTTCAGATTGCTTCACATTATTTGAGCTCCATATTCCCCTACCCTTTTTTTGTTTCTATGCAAAAGTGAAAATTCTCAGACAAGGTTGCTGGGAGCCAGGAATAAATACCCATCTAATGGTAGCAACACTTGTAAGAAAAGTACAGGACTCACATCTTGCGTTTTCCTAATCCAGCCTTTCCCCTTGCTGGTGTGAATGAGATGTATGCCTCCGCCAGAGTAGCTGGCCAAGATGCACCCACACAGGACTGCGAGCGTCTTAGACTGCTCTCTGAGTTGGAATTTAGGGCCTGAATTAGTCAAGCATCAAATGAAGAAATAATGAGATGCAAACTCTCCACATACTATCTTCACAGCTTTAAAATAAAACAAAATGTAATGGCCTTTAAAAGGAAATGTAGGTTAGACAGGATTGCAAGTTAACTACAGTTATTTTATAACATTAAAGTAATAAAAGGTATTTTTTGACCTGGTTTTACAAAGGCTATTTCTTCACACACATACACACACACACTCGAATACCTACCCATCTCCACACACATCCCCTCATATATACACACTCACACACACTCACACGCACACCCACTCACACTCACACACATCCACACACGCATACATACACCCACTCACACACCCCACACACATGCTCACGCCCACACACATGCACACTCACGCACACACCCACATACACACACGCACTCACACATGCACACACGCATACATACACCCACTCACACACCCCACACACATGCTCACGCCCACACATGCACACTCACGTGCACACACCCACATACACACACGCACTCACACATGCATACACAGATACACACCGCCCCCGCCCCCCAACCCCCGACACACACACCCTTGCCCAAGCAATAAAGAGGAAGCCCCCACTGTTTGCAACTCTCCTATTAAAACAGACTAAGATCATTCAGGGTTCAGCCCCGCCCCAGGGCCGCGAGCGCTCAGGGATTTTGATTCCAGACCCTGGGCACCAGGTTGGAATCAAAATGATGGAGTTCCCGGTCGGTCCTCCAGTGCTGAATGTTTAATTTCCTATGAAAGGCTGCGAGCTAGAGGAGGAAGCAGGAACACCCAGCGCCGTTCCCGCCCATCCTCCCGCTCCGCCCCGCTCCGCCCGTGCTGGGCTGTGGCCTCCACACCAAGCAGCCGCCCTGGGCCGCCTTCCTTCGTCTGTGCGTGCAGCGCCGCCTCCTTCAGCTTAGGCCCGACACTCCATGAACTCTCATTTTCCACCTTCTCCGTCTCCAGCTTCCAAGCTGCACAGGGCCAGGCCGAGGTACGTGATGGCGGGCACTGAATTACAGATCCCGTCTGTGGCCGCCAGCCTCTGTGTCCTGCCACCTCCTCCGAGAGGACATCACCGCCACCAGGTGGAGCGAGTCTCCTCCTCGGCGCTCCAACCACGTGCTGTTTATTACTCTGTGGGGATTCCCATACCGAGGCCTCTTCAGTTCCTGGAACAGTAGCACTAAAAGGCTCCTGAGTGCCTCTGTTAATTTGATTGTTCTGGTTCGCACTACAATGACCGGGCTGGAGAGGGGGCGCTCGTAATGAAACAGGAACTGCTCCTCGCGCCCGCTCCAGAGTCCTTTACATCTTTGGGGAGAGGGCATACGGGGAGCTACATTTCATTTTCCTGAAGATTTTCCACGCGAAAGTGCTGGGGAGAGAGTTGGGCCTGGGAGGCTGCGCCTTCTTCCCGCGAATCCCGAAAACTGCGCGGCAAAGGCGGGTTCCGCAGAAGTCGCGCGTGACCCGGGGCGCCGCCCTCCTCGGGGCCCATTCGGATCTGCCGCCCGTCCTCTCCAGAGCGCCCCCTGGCGCCCTCTAGGCCATCTTGATTCCACCGCCGCAGTTGAAAGAATTAATAAATAAATCCTAGTCTCGCGTCTAGACCGGTCCGTGAGGGTCCCCTGCTCACCGGACACCCTGCCGCAATCTCTGCTGTCCCATTCTGGCCTCCCTACGGGGACGGGGGCCACCGTTTGCACATCAGCGGCGTTTGGGACAGCACTGTGCAAGATCTGTGACTCGGCTTTCAGAAGCTTCTGCCACAAGGCTTCAAAGGAAACCTTCAATTTTCACATTTCCTAGGGGGAAAAAAAATCTGAGATTTCTTCTTGTGGCTTGATGAACTTAGCTTTCGTCGCTGGAACAAAACCCGAGGAACAGCGTCTTCGCCACCCTTGCCACCTTACTGATGTTTCTCAGGGGGCACATGCCCATCGCAACCTTATGACCAATCCCATTTTTCAGATGCAGAAAGAGGCTCAGAGAGGTTAAGTGCTACTTGCTCAAGGCCACAGCAGGGAGTGGAGCTGGATTCGCTCCCAGGCAACTGACCCCAGCGTGCAGTCGATGCCTTCTCCTAGTCCCACTCACCGTGTAAGACCTGGTATTTACAAATTAGATTCTCGTTGTGCTTCTCCATTGGAAGGGCACTAGGGGAGCTCATTGTCTAAGACTGCCATCCCTAACTGCCTTTTAAAAAGAAATCTGGGCCGGGCGCAGTGGTTCATGCCTGTAATCCCAGCACTTTGGGAGGCCGAGGCAGGCAGATCACGAGGTCAAGAGATCGAGACCGTCCTGGCTAACACGGTGAAACCCCGTCTCTACTAAAAATACAAAAAATTAGCCGGGCGTGGTGGCGGGCGCCTGTAGTCCCAGCTACTTGGGAGGCTGAGGCAGGAGAATGGCTTGAACCCAGGAGGCTGAACTTGCAGTGAGCCGAGATCGCCCCACTGCACTCCAGCCTGGGCGACAGAGCGAGACTCTGTCTCAAAAAAAAAAAAAAAAAAAAAAATCTGACGTGACAAGGCCTTTAGTTTTTATAAGTGAGGTCTCCTCTCTTTGCCTAGATATTCCTCCGATAACATCAATGAAATTTTGCCCAGCACAGAGCAAGTACTAAATAATGATTTGGTGAATCTAATGTTGAGCCTGCAGTAATCCAACTAGAAACACCCACTCAGCCACTCGGGCATACCTTTTATTTGGGCAAGGGGCACTGCAGTTCTCTGGGCAGGGGTCAGCTAGGAGAGACCAATAGATGCCCCCACCCCAGGCTCCTAGACCCATCTCCAGGACCAAACAGCCAAAGCCCCTCTTCTTTTCTTCAAAATACACACATTTCTAGAAATTCTCTGCAAAATACATAGGCTACTAGATAAGCACCCAGTTTCCCTCTGGGGTCATTTGTTCCCGAATGAGGCTTATTAAAAGAGGAAACTATTTTTAAGCTAAATCATCAATCAAAAGTATTCTTCATTCTGGTATATGGCTGCTTTCCACAGATGATAAAATCCCGTCAACTTGATCCAAAGAAAAAATGACCTACATAACAATGACAGCATGAATAACAATTAATCCTCCATTGAAATGTTCAAAAGCTAGAATTGTGGTAAAGCCAAGATTCCCAGGGAGTGTCAGGAACTGCTCTCTTGATTCTAAGCTTGAAGCAGGTAAAGAAAAGGTTGTCTGGGACTAGGGCTTTCGGGGATAGGACCCAAATCCCAAGGCAAAGGGAGTCAGAAGCGAGTAAGAAAAGCAAACAGCTCCTACCTACCCAGTGCCAAAGAAACGCAGACACCAGTTCTGTGTCGGTTCTGCTTGAAAAGGTCTGAGAAGAATAATTTGGTAGATGAATCATTGAAGAATAATTTTGCAGACAGCTCCATCAAGCCAAATGCCCAGCGTGAGGGCTGTGTGTATAATACTGTCATAACCTTTGAAGATAGATTCTGTTCATCAACACGGCTGTTTACATAATCACTTGGTCACCTCACCAAATGGATTAATCTTTTTGGTCACATTCCTTATCAGTGCATGGAGAGGCTAATTGTTGGTGGCCCAATGTGTCCCATAAACGGATCCCATGAGAATAAGCTTGCAGCAACAGATGATGAAGGGAACTGAGATACAGACGAAAGCACAGCGGCCTGGGAGACAGGAGACGAGGCTCCGCCTGGACCTTGACGACGACCTTCCTTAAAACTATGGACTCGTCATCTGACCTCTCAAGGCCTCCATTTCCCCATCTGTAAAACCGAAAGCCCCTCAGCAATCTGGGGCTATCATCTGAAAAGTGTGGGCAGCTGCGGGCGCTCATACCTCAAGCCCCAAGAGTTTCTTCTTCTAACAGTAACATACTTTGCACATGACCCAGCAATCCCACTCCTGGGTATTTACCTGATAAATGAAAACCCATGTTTGCCGGGCATGGTGGCTCATGCATGTAATCCCAGCACTTTGGGAGGCCAAGGTGGGCGGATCACTTGAAGTCAAAAGTTCAAGACCAGCCTGGAAAACATGGTGAAACCCCATCTCTACTAAAACTACAAAAATTGGTGGGGTGTGGAGGCACATGCCTGTAGTTCCAGCTACTCGGGAAACTGAGGCAGAAGGATTGCTTGAACCCAGGAATTGGAGGTTACAAGTGAGCCAAGATTGCGCCATTGCACTCCAGTGCAGAGCAAAAGTCTGTCAAAAAAAAAAAAAAAAGAAGAAGAAAAAGAAAAAAGGAATGAAAGGAAAGAAAAGGAAGGAAGGAAGGAAGGACCATTAAGAAGGTACCTGTACCCAAATTTGCAGAGCAGCTTTATTTTTATTTATCACCGCCCCAGACTGGAGTCAACCCACACGTCCTCAGCGTGTGAATGAATAGACCAACCGCAGCACCTCGTACAGTGGAGTGCTACTAAGGAGCGAATATGGATTCACACAGCAACACGGGTGCATCCCAAAAGCATGCTGCTACACGGATGCAAGGCCTTCGGACTATATGATCCCATTTAGGAGACAATTGGGAAAAGGGAAAATCCAGGGGTGAAGAATAGATCTGTGGTGGCAGGGGTGGGAAAAGCGGGGAGGATTTGCCTACTGAGGGGCAGCACAAGAGAATTTTGCGGGGCGATGGATCTGTCTGTATCTTGACCATAGTGATGATACATGACTGTGCATTTGTCAGAACTCACAGGACTGAATGAAAAGAGAAGTGAATTTTACTGCATGTGAATTGTTAAAATAAATGCTAGACAGTATTTTAAAAATCAAGCCCAGATCCTGCAAGACATTATGGCTCCCCACCAGAAGGGGAGAGACGGGGAAAGAGAAGTGTCCCCAAAGTTAACCCACGTTCCCTGGGACCCACCTCCCTCCCCACTGCCACTTCCCACCAGCCTCACGCACGGGCCAGGCCCTTCCCTTTGCAGCTCACAGCCCAGCAGATGTTAGGTCAGAATGCGTCCCCTCACTTGACTAAAGGTTTACAGCCAGCAGGGTGGAAATGAACCAGATATTAACACCCCCTCCTCCATGCCCTGCCCACCTTCTGGCCAGTACCAGTGAAGCAGAAGCCACTCTCCCACCCCCAGGCTGTCCCAAAGCCCTGAAGACCCAAGAAAGCAGAGCCAAGTGGAGTGACCCTGATACCAGGGCCAGCTGCCCAGTCCCCTGTAGCTGGGGAGGACCCCCTCTTCTTGTGAGGCAGACACTGGGAGTGACCCCTCCCTGCAAGGGAGATTTCTCATCCCCCAGGGTTCCCAGAGGGTTCCCAGAGGAAATACAGGATACCCAATACATTTGAATTTCAGATAAAAAATAAATAACGTTCTGATACAAGTCTGTCCTGTGCAATATTTGTATGTGTTTTTATTTGCTAAATCTGGCAACTCTGTCCCCACCCACAGGGGCATGCCTATGGTCACCACACCAGAAGGTAATCCATTACATCTCAGTAACTGTAGATCCATACACCCAGATAATTTGCTTCTTGGCTCATCTCCTGGGAATTAGAGAACTGGGTCTGTTAGCCAAACTCTCAAGACACCTGCCCCAAAACAACCTGGGGTGCTGAGGAAGGGGCACAAAAGGCAAACAGCATGCCCTCTCCAACTCCCACCCCTACCACAATCTGAGCTTAGAAGCCAGATGTGGGTGGCGTGGGAGGGAAAGGCACACCAGCCTGAGCACCTCTTTCTGAGCAGGCTGTGTGGAGCGAGGCCCCAGGCCCATCCCGGGCCTCCCTCCAGCACCCATCAGACCCTCTCAGAGGACACAGCGATCACCCCTAGAGACCCCTAGATAGACTCTGCACCCAGCCCAGCCTCCCAGGTCTCCCCCAGTCACCCCTGGTGGCCCACAGGGATTTCTTCACCTTCCAAGTGCCCCGTGGTGATAGCAGGTGTCTGGGGGTGGTGAAACCCACGGGTCTGTGCAATGTAGGGAAGGGGGTGGTGCCTCCTTTCTGGGGCTTTTTATTTTGCCATTAACAAAGGAAAAATCTGTCCAGAATTTATATTAAAAGCTCCAGCAGATGCTAAGCAGCTGGTCTCCATCTGCAAGGTTGATGCAACAAGGATAAACGGAAGCGTGGGGATTTAGGTTAGCTTAGACATGGGAAAGGGAGTTGTGAAAAGAAAGAAAGCCGAAGATGGGAATGGTCACCGTACAAGTCTAGGACATCTCCTTGTCCCTGGGTGTCCCAAAGATGGGCTAGAGTTTGCCTGATGAAGGGCCCTATCCATTCATCAGTGAACAGGCAGTTATTAGGCACCACTGTGTTCCGGGCTCTGTGTTGGTGCTGTGGCTGCTAAGATGTGTACAGAACAATCCTGGCACTCAAGGAGGTCGTGTTCTAGGGGACAGCCACCACCACAACGGGGCAAGCATACAGCAGAGTACAGGAATCCTGGAGCGCTGAGGAGCTGCAGGATTGGACTAAGAGCCCCGAGGCCATGCCTGACACTAGTATGAAAGGAAAAGCAGAGGTCAGCCAGGAAGAGGCTGCGGAGGGACGGGGTTTCAGGCAGAGGGCCCTGCGTGGATAAAGGCATGGAGGTGAGAAACCGCTGGAGTACATGGGGAACATGGTGTGGCTTGGGTGTGACATCAGAGGGTGAGAGGGCACCAGATGGAGGCCTAGCATGATCAGCAGGGGGTTTCCCCCTGTCCCAAGCAGCTGGAGGGCTCCCAGCAGGTCAGAGCCACAGGGTCCTCCATGCATTTTGGAAAGGTCACTCCAGCAGGAGGAGGGTGGCTGTTCAGGAGGCTGTCCAGGCTCTGGCTGCCGAGGCCTCCACATAGGCCATGGCCACGGGGCAGAAAGCAGGGGTAGGATTGAGAAAACCTGGAGGCAATGCCAGCAGACTCGGGAGAATAACAGGATGTGGGAGGTGAGGAAGAGGCAGGAGAAGATGAGCTTCAGGTTCCCAACACCAGCAAGCTGGCTAGGAGCAGGCAAATGACGCGGCGCCCATGTCGGAGGCAGCACTGGGGTTTTGTTCTTGCAAACCCCTGGCTCATGCCGAAGACCTGCCTCGGCCGGTCAAACCCCATCCCTAAACCCAGGACACAAGTCACCACAGAGCCTGCCCTGTGGTCTCCAGCCTGGCCTGGCCTCTCCGCAGCGTTTCAGCCACAGTTGCACAGGTGCGGCTGGACCTGGACCTGCTGAGGGAGGTTCTCAGGGTCCGGAGCTGGCCTTAGGTGGTCACCATAGTGAGATCCTGAAGGCTTCGAAGAGGCCACAAGAAGTACAGGAATATAGCCCAGTCTTAGCGGAGGCCATGCAGCAGATGGGGCCCTGGGGAGGGATTCCGGAGCACCTGGTCCCATGCTGGGGCTCAGCATCGCTGTCTGTCCAGGGATGAGCATGCAAAGGCCACATCCTGCTGGGTCTAAGCTCTGGATCCTGTTGAGGACAGAACTCAGCAAATACAGCTCAGTGCTGCCGCCTACTGCTCACCTCTTGCCATTACACACTCAGTGCGGGGATCATCCCCGCTGCCCGGGAGAAGCTGGAGGGGCAGGGTCCTGACCCAGAATGGACATCATCCTGCCCCAGAACGGCTAAAGGACCTCACGAGGCTTCCCTACAACTCACTGTCTGATTTGAAGGCAGCGAGATGGCGCTTAGGAATTAGGTCAGAGCAGCTACAAGGGGCGCAGGCCTAGAAGCAAGCCGGTGTTCTGGCCATTGGAGGGCCGGGGGTCCCTTAGCAGAAGTTAGCAGGTGTAAGCGGGGTAGGTGGCTCATGCCTGTAATCCCAACACTTTGGGACGCTGAGGCAGGTGGATCACCTGAGGTCAGGAGTTCAAGACCAGCCTGACCAAAATGGTGAAACCCGTTTCTACTAAAAATACAAAAATTAGCCAGGCGTGGTGGCGGGTGCCTGTAATTCCAGCTCCTCCAGAGGCTGATGCAGGAGAATCGCTTGAACCCGGGAGGTGGAGGTAGCAGTGAGCTGAGATCGTATTATTGCACTCCAGCCTGGGAGACACAGCGAGACTCCGTCTCAAAAATAAAATAAAATAAAAATTAAATTAAAAAAAAAAGCTAGCAGGCGTATATTCTGCAAAGACCTTCGGGCCGAGGCTGCAGTCACCTTGTTACAGAGGCTTCCGCAGAAAACATCCAGGTTTTGAGGGGGCGAGGGGAGGAGCGGGGAGCAGGGGATGCTGCTGCCAGCAGAGCCCACACTGGCCGCAGGGCTGCTTCTGTGCAGCCTGCACCAAGAATGGTTTTTACATTTTTAAATAGTTGAGAAAAGGATTCAAAGACAGAAGAATAGATGCAACCTAGAACATGTGGTCCTCAGAGTCTGAAATATTTACTATGTGGTCTTTGGCAGAAGTGTGCTGCCTCCCAGCCTACACAATGGCCCAGACATCTGTCACCTGAGATGGTTGTTCAGGGTCAGGCACATTGTCACGGAGAAGCCTGCAGTGTCGCCCCGCCTGGGAGGACCCTCATGCCCAGCACAAGCTCCCAGAGTCTCCCATAGGCCCCACCAGGGAGGGGAGAGGGCAGGGGGAGAGGCAGGGTAGCCGGAAGGACCACGGCTCAGGTCTGATCTGCTGGTCTGCAAGCCTCTCTCTGGGCCGTGTCCAGCACAGATGTTCAGGTCGGGGTGGCGATGCTTCCCCTGGAACTCTCAGGGACGACACAGCTGTCAGAGGCCCCAGCAAGTCACTTCAGCCACTCTGGGAGACTCCAACTAGGCCGGAAGTCCCCCAGAACCCACAGCATCTCACGGGACGTGCCAGAGTGGCCTCCTTCTTGCTGCAGATCCCGTCGCAACAAAATGCTGCCGACTGCTCAGTATTTTCATTCACAACCCAAAGAAAAAACACCCCTCCATGCTTGCTGTTTGAGGGGAGAGGAAGTCATTCGTCACATACATTCATTGAGCAAGGTTTCCATTCTCCAGAGATTTCTTGCTCTGTCTCCTGTCTGCAATAGCAGGGACCATGTGACTAGAGAGGAGGAACTCATTGTGGCTGCAGGCACCCTGCTGTGAGCACAGCCGTGCTGGGCCCTTCCTTGACACCGCCCAGCAATGTGGCCGGGCTCCCGGTCCCCCTCCCCTGAGGTGGTGGTGGGCTCCTAGACCAAGTTCCATTCTTCAGTGCCCTGGCTTCCAACCGGCGAAAACTCAGCCCGGGCTAAGGACCATGAGGGCAGGGGCCTCTCAAAAGGAGGGTAAGAGGTGGATGCAGTGGCTCACACCTGTAATTGCTGTGCTTTAGTAGGCTTTGCTTGGGGCCAGGAGTTCAACACCAGCCTGGGCAACATAGTGAGACTCCTGTCTCTATAAAAAAAAAATTTTGTTTTAATTAGCCAGGCATAGTGGCACACACCTGTAATCCCAGCCACTCAAGAGGCTGAGGCAGGAGGATCACTTGAGCCCAGGAGTGGAAGGCTGCAGTGAGCTATGATTGCACCACTGCACTCCAGCCTGGGCAACAGAGTAAGAAGCTATCTCTGGGGAAAAAAAAAAAAAAAACAAAAGGAGGGTAAGAGGTTTCCAAGGCATTGCGCAGAGCATGGGCCTGGGGTCCTGGTCTGTGGTCAGCAGTTGTGTGACGTCCCCCCAAGGGCAATGAGCATTGGTTAAATGAGATAAAACCAGCAAAACGTCCATTGAGAGAAGATCCTCAATAAATGTGTCTTTCCCGTACATTTCCTTAACTGGTAAAATGGAGATAATATCATCAACCCCTTTCTCACAGAGTAATTTTAAGTCTCAGGTGAGACAAAGAATGCAGGAGAGCTTTATAGCTATAATCTCTATAGTCACACCTTCATCCAGCACTTACTAGGTGCCACTCACAAACTCAGTTCCGGGACAAAAGTGAACAAAGACAGAAGCAGTCCCTGCCCTGGTGTACATTTCAGTCTACTTTTCATAACGAAAGATGGTGTGTTTTTTATTACTTGCGCTGTGGTCCTTTTGCTCAGGAGTTGGGGGGGAAACACACTGACACATGGGCTTCCTAGTCCACCATTAGTGACCTCCTGATCCAAGGATGGTTATTTGAACATTCATTTCTCCACCTGTCAAATGGGATATTTGCGAAAATTAAATGAAATAATATGTATGAATACATTTAGCCAGTCCATGCACATGGTAGAGCTTAAAAAGTGTTGATTTAGGCCAGGCATGGTGGCTCACGCCTGTAATCCCAGCACTTTGGGAGGCTGAGGTGGGTGGATCACTTGAGGTCAGGAGTTTGAGACCAGCGTGGACAACATGGTGAAACCCCATGTCTACTAAAATACAAAAATCAGCAGGGTGTGGTGGCAGGCACCTGTAATCCCAGCTACTCAGGAGGCTGAGGCAGGAGAATCACTTGAACCCAGGAGGCAGAGGTTGCAGTGAGCTGAGATCACACCATTGCACTACAGCCTGGGCAACAGAGCGAGACGCATCTCAAAAAAAAAAATGTTAATTTAATGGGATGACACCTGGTGAACACCGTAAGCTCATTCACCTGAATGGCCAAGGCTGCAGGGCAGGCTCTGGCCACCTGAGTTTTAGAGGAGGGGTAACTGGACCTCAGACATCACCTCCTCCACACACCCATCTTCTCCTGCCATTTGTGGTCCCTCCCTGGCCCCCTCACCAGTGCCTACAAAGACAGTGCTCACAGACATGTTAATAACATAAATTGCCACTGTTTATTGAGCATTTTACATGCTCCAGACACCCATCCCCTCACTTTATCCTCACACTGAGGATACTGGAGGTACTATTGTTATCCTTTTTTACAGATGGGGAAAGCGGGGCACAGAAAGGTTTGGTGAATTGCCCAAGATCACACAGCTGGTGTGAGGGTGGCCAGGATTTGAAGGCTAGTCCATCTGAGGACATCTGAAGTTAATGGTTTCCACGCTGTAGGACCTGAATAACCTGGATGGCCAGGAGCCCAGGGTATTTGTAAAACATGCTCTACTAGTAAAGCTAACATTTATTAATAGTAAGCACTTACCGTGTGCCCCAGACTGCTGTATTATGTTTTAAAGTGATTGTTAAAGATGTAACAATGGGCTGGGCATGGTGGCTCACGTCTGTAATTGCAGCACTTTGGGAGGCCGAGGCCGGCGGATCACCTGAGGTCAGGAGTTGGAGACCAGCCTGGCCAACATGGTGAAACCCCGTCTCTAGTAAAAATACAAAAATTAGCCAGGTGCGGTGGTGCGTGCCTGTAATCCCAGCTACTCAGGAGGCTGGGCAGGAGAATCGCTTGAACCCGGGAGGCAGAGGCTGCGGTGAGCCTGGATCGTACCATTGCACTCCAGCCTGGGGGACAAAGCAAGACTCCGTCTCAAAAATAATAATAATAATAATAATAATAAAGGCCGGGCGCGGTGGCTCATGCCCATAATCCTAACACTTTGGGAGGCCAAGGTGGGAGGATCACCTGAGGTCAGGAGTTCAAGACCAGCCTGGCCAACATGGTGAAACCCTGCCTCTACTAAAAGTACAAAAATTAGTACGGCATG
The DNA here is from genome assembly GCF_000001405.40 of Homo sapiens. NCBI lineage: Eukaryota > Metazoa > Chordata > Mammalia > Primates > Hominidae > Homo > Homo sapiens. The sequence continues at coordinate 41,838,941 of NC_000008.11, forward strand.
ATGGTGCATGCCTGTAATCTCAGCTACTTGGGAGGCTGAGGCAGGAGAATCACTTGAACCCAGAAGGTGGAGGTTGCAGTGAGCCGAGATGGCACCACTGCACTCCAGCCTGGGTGACAGAGTGAGACTCCTTCTCAAAAAATAAATAAATAAATAAAGATGCAACAATGACTGTACCACCTGCACCAGTTAGTAGCCATGCTGCAGAAAGAGAAATTCACCTGTCTCCTCCATGTGTCAGTAACTTCCAGTTAAAACTGGTGCTTTTATATAATAATGATGGGAGCTAGGTAGATAGTACTGACCCTGTGCCAGGCATGATCTGAGGACTCTGCATGCATTAACTAAGATGGGACCAACTGTTATCCTTACTTCATCTGAGATAAGGAAACCCAGTCACTTAGCCAGGTTCCCTGGCTGTTGGTGGCAGATCTGGGATATAAACCCACTCTCCGCCCACTCATTACACCTGCCTAAGCTGCAGTGGGCTCAGAGGCCATTGTGAAGCAGACACAGCAGACCCTTTTGTCCTCAGAAAACTGTGAAACAGTGTTTAGCAGGAAACAGGCTTGGCCTCCCCGAGGCCCTAGAGATGATTTTCATATCTTTGGAAGGCACATATCGGTGGGATAAAAATTCCTTTGCAGAAACATTGCCCAGGAAAGTGTATTCAGCCCCAAATCCTCACCCACTGTGGGACTTCATCCGCTTCACCAATGACTTATGACAACCACCTCAGCCAAAATGACATTCCAGAAAACAAGGGGTCATCTGTCAAGGTGGCCAAAGACAAGGAAAATCTGAGACACCGTCACAGCCAAAAGGAACCTAAAGAGGCATGACAACTAAATGTCATGTGGCATCCTGGATGGGACCCTAGGACAGCAAAAGGACATGAGGAAAAATATAAGGAAATCCGAATAATGTATGGACGTCTAGTTAATAAAACTGTATCAACACTGGTTCATTCATTACAACAAATGAAGCATACTCATGGAAGATGTTACCAATAGAGAAACTGTGCATGGGGCTTATGGGAGCTCTCTGTACAAGCTTTGCAATTTTTCTATAGATTTAAACTTGTTTTTTTTTTCTTTTAAAATTATTTTTATTTTTTAAGGAGATAGGGTCTCACTACATTGCCCAGGCTGGAGCGCAGTGGCTATTCACAAGCACGATCCCACTACCGATCAGCACAGGAGTTTTGACCTGCTCCATTTCCAACCCAGGTTGGTTCACCCCTCTTTAGGCAACGTGCTGGTCCCCCACTCCCGGGATGTCACCATATTGATGCTGAACTTAGTGTGGGCATCTGATTGACATAGCGCACTAAAGCCCAGTTCTCCTGCACTCAAGCGATCCTCTCACCTCAGCCTCCCAAGTAACTGGGACTAAAGGCACACTCTTTAAAAATACAATGTGTTATAAAAAATATATACTCATTAATGATACTACTTAATTTTGTACCTACCTCTTTTTTTCACATTTCTGTTAGTCTTAGCTCTGACTGCTATAACAAAATACCATAGACCTGATGGCTTAGACAACAAACCTTTATTCCTCACAGTTCAGGGGGATGGACGTCAGAGGTCCAGGTGCCAGCAGATTTGGTTCCGGGTGAGGGCTGTCGCCCTGGCTTGCGGGCAGCTGGCTTCTCTCTGTGTCCTCACACTACTGAGAGGGGAAGCTCTGGTGTCTCTTCGTCTTCTAAGAAGTCCCATCACGGGAGCTCTACCCTCATGGCTCAATTACCTCCCAAAGGTGGGGTCTCCAAAGACCGCCACACTGGGAACTAGAGCTTCAATGTATGGATTGGGAGCAGGGACCCAAACACGCAACCCATAATACAACTGAATTCCATAAGAGTATATCAACGCCAAGAAAAGAGTGGCCCGCTTGAAACGTCGGTAATCCTTCCTTTCACCTCATGCCTGTTAGGATGGCCATATTGAAACAAACAAGGAGTGCTGGCCAGGTCATGGAGAAATCTGAAGACTTATCCACTGATGGGGAATGAGAAATGGTGTCGCTGCTACAGAGAACAGTGTGGAGGGTCTTTCAGCAATTACTGCGAATCTACCGTGTAACCCATCATCAGTCCCACTTCTGAGTATTCATCGAAAGAACAAAAATCAGAATTTCCAGGAGACACCTGCAGCCCCACATTCACTGCGGCAGTATTCACCGCAGCCAAGACATGGAAACAGCCCACATGTCCAATGTAAATGAATGGATTGAGAAAATATGGTCTATCCATACCACAGAATATTATTCAGCCTTGAAAATGAGGGAAATCCTACTGGGAACTTGGAGGACATTACACTTAGTGAAATAAGCCAGGCCTACAGGAACAAGTGCTGCATGATTCCACTTAAACGGGGAACTAAAATAGTCAAACCCATAAAAGCAGAGACTAGAATGGTGGTTGCCAGGGGCTGAGTGAGGGAGAGCTGGGGATTTGCTGCTCAATGGGCGTAAGTTTCCACTATGCAAGATGAATGAGTTCCAGCTATCCACTGTACAACATGCTACCTACAGTAAACAATACCGCACCAAGCACTGAAGCATTTGTTGGGAGGATGACTCCCCGGCTAAGTGTTCTTACCACAAAAGCAGACAAACAAACAAAAAACAGTGGCATACAAGGACACCTTTGGAAGTGATGGATGTATCTATTACCATGATGATAATGATGGTTTCACAGGTGTGTGCAGATGTCCAAACTCATCAAATGTATACATCCAATACACACAGGGGTTTTTTTTTGTATATCAATTACATATCAATAAAACTGTAAAAAAGGAAAAGGAAAAAAATGACCCTTTCCGCCACACATCAAGACGGCTGCCCCTCTCTCTATTTCCTCCTCAAAGGGTAAACCCGGAGACATGGTCCTAACTGGTAACCACCTGTGGCCAGGACCCTGAGGCACCTCCTGGGGCAGAGAAGCAGCTCATGTCACCTGCCGTGGGGACTCCCCCAGCCAGTGCAGCTCTATCCTGCTGTTGCTCCTGTTGCTGGAGTGACAGTGGCATCGTGTGTTCAAACCCACACACTTATCTGGACAAGGATGAGAGAAGCCAGGGCAGCCTCTGTGGTAGGAGCGGCTGTAGAGACACCTTGGCTGGAAGCAAGAAGGCACTGCTCTGACTGTGACCCAGGCCACCCCAAGGGAGGCAGCACCCCAGGAGGCACCAGGGTGGACAGGGCAGGAAGTAAAGCGTTGCTCCCTGACCAGTGCTGTGGCTTTCGAGTAAAGATCTGGAATGAGGCCAGGCGCAGTGGCTCACGCCTATAATCCCAGCACTTTGGGAGGCCAAGGTGGGCACATCATGAGGTCAGGAGTTCCAGACCAGCCTGGCCAACATAGTGAAACCCCCGTCTCTACTAAAAATACAAAAAATTAGCTGGGCGTGGTGGTGGGCGCCTATAATCCCAGCTACTTGGGAGGCTGAGGCAGGAGAATCACTTGAACCCAGGAGGCGGAGGTTGCAGTGAGCCAAGATCACGCCACTGCCCTCCAGCCCAGGCAACAGAGCGAGACTCTATCTCAAAAAAAAAAAAAAATTTTTGGAATGAAGCCCTGGCTCTGCCTTTTCTTAGCACAAGCAACCATGGGCGAACCACATATCCCTGTAAGCCTCAGTTTCTTCATCTGTGAGATGGAGACTCTAAGAGCGCCTGCCTTGCGTCATTGTGGTGGAGGTTACAGGAAGCGCATATTAGTGCAGATGTGGAGGGGCCTCCCGGGGAATTAAACACAGAAACAGTTAAGGCAGCTTTGTTTGGGACTGGGGCTGGGCATTGGAAGGCGTGGATTTGGGGAGTGCTGCTTTCACTGAACTGTGTGAATCTATTATTTAGATTATTTAGATAAAATTACTGAACACATTTTTGGGGGGTTGTTCATTTGTTTGTTTGTTTTGAGACGGATCTCCTTCTGTCGCCCAGGCTGGAGTACAGTGGCATGATCTCCGCTCACTGCAACCTCAGCCTCCCAGGTTCAAGCGATTCTCCTGCCTCAGCCTCCTGAGTAGCTGGGATTAAAGGTGTGCACAAACCACACCCAGCTAATTTTTGTATTTTTAATAGAGACAGAGTTTCACCACATTGGCCAGGCTGGTCTTGAACTCTTGACCTCAGGTGATCCGCCCGCCTCGGCTTCCCAAAGTGCTGGGATTACAGGCATGAGCCACCGCGCCCAGCCAATGTTCATATATTTTAACAAAGTATGCTTACATTGCCTTAAATTTTTTATTTGTGCAAATTCATGCGGTACGTGAGAGATTTTGTTACACGTATATAATGTGTAGTGATCAAGTCAAGGTATTCCTGTGTCCATCACCCAAGTATAATACATTGTTGTGAAGTATAGTCACCCTGCTCTGCGATCAGACATTGAATCTGCTCCATCTTACTGTGCACTTGTACCCTTTCACCCACTTCTCTTCATTTCCCCCCCACCCACTCCCCGCCCACCCCACACTCCTCCCAGTCTCTGTTATCTCTTTCTGAATGCGTGTTTAAAGGGGGGGCCCTGCAGCAATGCTCTCAGCCCTGGTCCAGCACATACAGCAGGCACATGGTCCATGGTGCAGACAGGGCAGCTGGGGCGATCAGAAGATTCATTCCGCTGCTGGAGGCCTCCTCAGGCCTTCCTGGAAAGGCCAAACAGATAGCGGTGATAGGAATCTAGAAAAATCTCATGAGAGGGACTGGCAGACACTAACTTGTTCACCAAACCCCACAATGCCAGATCTCTCCGCTCTCTCTGCCAGAGAGCAGCTCTCTTCTTCAAGGCGATTTTAGGACAAATTTGCAGCAGCTTATACATGTACGGATCTTGTTAACTCAAGATACGTATGATGCAGGCAGGAATCAGAGAGAGACAGGTCGGGAAGGGTCTCCATAAATCTCATGCCATGAAATCACACATTTGTCACTGAGGGAAGCCAAGGAGGTCTTGCTCTGTCACCCAGGCTAAAGTGCAGTGGTGCAATCATGGCTCACTGCAGTCTCCAACTCCTGGGCTCAAGTGGTCCTCCTGCTTCAGCCTCCCCAGTAGCTGGGACTATAGGCATGCATCACCACACCCAGCTACTTTTGTATTTTTATAGGGATGGGGTCTTACTATGTTGTCCAGGCTGGTCTTGAACTCCTGGCCTCAAGCAATCCTCCCACCTCGGCTTCCCAAAGTGTTGGGATTACAAGCGTGAGCCACTTCACCTGGCCTGTCCCTGCCTTTTGAGAGGAGGGCATCTGTGCCCTGCCCTGGTCCAGCTCCTCACCTTGGCAGATCTTGGTATCCCCTCGGGGAAGTCTATAGATGAACCATGGGTGCGACCTGGTCCAATAAGGACAGTCAGAAAAAGCTATATTGGAGGTGTTGGCGAATGGGTAGATCCAGGTCAGAAAAGTGGGCAGATGGGAACAGAGACCCTCTGTACCTCTCGGCCCAGGACAAACAAGTAGAGAGGACACCCTCCCCAACCTCCATCGCCTGAGCCCCAGCCTCCCCACCCAGCCATACACAACAGGCACACACCCCTCCCCGCAACTGATGCACCCACCACACACCCCCCACACACACACTGCCACAGGGGGGCGGGCAGCACAGGAGCTGCGGTCAAAGCCTCGGGGCCCCAGCCCTGCCACCTGTCTCTAACACGATCTCGGGCATGCCCCAGAATCTCCCTGAGCCTAGGCTTCCACAGCTCTGAGTACGGCTCTGCCTCCAAAGAGACGTGGTAATGAACAAATAGGAATAAAAAGTCTCTAAAGAGCTTTGTAAACTGCAAATCAGCTTATCAATGTAAGCTGTTTTTGTTCTTAATGAAATGGTCCTTTCAGCATTGGACCCCAGAAGATGTGATGTCTTGGTCCAAGGAAGTTAGAAGGGGGTGAGTGAGAGACAGCCAGAGGGAAGAAGAGCTGGGAGAGGAAGACAGATGAGCAGGAGCCCGCCTCCTGTCCCCGGGATGCGCTTTCTGGACCTGCTGCACACCCACTGGTCAGAGATGGAATCTGCACCAGCCCCAGGATTGCAACGCGGAAAAGCTGCCTCTACTCAGCAGATAGACCAAGTTCCTGTTTGTTTTGAAAGAGACACTACTCCTGAAAGCAACTGGTAGCCAATCATGTCACACAAAGACGTGAATTCCAGGCCAGGCGCAGTGACTCACGCCTGTAATCCTAGCACTTTGGGAGGCCGAGGCAGGCGGATTGCCTGAGCTCAGGAGTTCGAGACCATCCTGTCCAACATGGTGAAACCCCGTCTCTACAAAAATACAAAAAATTAGCCGGGCATGGTGGCGTGTGCCTGTAGACCCAGCTACTGGGGAGGCTGAGGCAGGGGAATTGCTTAAACCCACCTGGGAGGCAGAGGTTGTAGTTTGCCAAGATCACACCACTGCACTCCAGCCTGGGTGACAGAGCAAGACTCCATCCCAAAAAAAAAAAGAAAAAAAAAAGATGTGAATTCCTGAACCAATCGACTGGCGATTTCTGCTTGTATTCTCTTTTCATTTCTCCTGCTTGCAGTGGTCTCGCGGGGCACAGTGGGGTCTCCCCTCAAGGAGGCCAATGGGACTGACCATGGTGTGGTGCGTGCCTTTGGGGAGAAGAGTCTGGGGCTTGGGGGGGTCTGGATCATGAAACAGTGACTCACTCCCTTCCTGCTGCAGTTGCACCCACTCTGTTAGTGAAGAAGGGAGAAATGATTAACTAACTCTAGGATCCTGGCTCATTTGCATAAACGTGCATAAATTATGTCTCCTCACGAAATGATCTGAGCATGAGTAAAAGCAAATGGGAATGTGTTTTTCTGTTCCCCTTCTCCATCTGTTTTTCTCCTTCCCCTCCTGCTACTTCCATAAACATACCAAAACCGTTTTCAGCTTCCCATGCGGAAAGTACATGCGGGTGCATGTTTTACACAGGGATTTGCAGAATGTTGATATATCAGGGTCACCAAAAGTCCTGCTTTCTTCCATCTTTTTCCCCCTACCTTCTCTCCATATTCATTTCTACCATTTTCTCTGCAAAATAGAAGTTTCAGATTTCAGTGTTCAGCATGCATGGAAGCTGATAATTCTTGAGCTAACAGGGCACAATGATGGACCAGCCAGGAGGCTCCATAAACTGAGGGATGCTGGCTGCCTGCACTGCACTGTGTCTCCAGGGTCTATGATTGGACAAACAAGACGCCTCTGGCCATTTTATGGGGGACAAAGCAGGCCTGAGTATGACTGTGGTGTGGCTGGATTTACAAAGCTTATTACAGACTAAGACGAACTGCTGAGCACAGTCCAGGGTCCTGCCGCAAAGCCCAGAGCTCTCTCCAGCAGCCCACACTGCCCATTATGCTGGCAACTAGCTGAATGGGCAGATTCACCTATGTGCCCTTAAAGGCCCTTTCCAGCCATATTCACCCACAGAACAGAGCACCAGATGAGCCGGGCCTGGAGCTACGATGGCAGAGCTCTGCCAAGGCCCGTGTGGGCTGCAGCTCGTGCAGACGTGTGTCACCTGCCCCATCTGAGCTGACTCCTGAAGGCAGGCAACTCTGAAGGCTCGCAGGGGCTGGCATTTGTCCCAGGAACAGGGGCCAAGGGGAAATTGCTTCTTAATTACTGCTTACAGTGCAAGTTTTTGCTTTGGCTTGGGCAATAGCCAATCCCCCAAAACACATTGAGTCTCTTATCAGCCTGCAGTTAATTGATCCTGGGAATTGATCCGTGCCTTATCCATGGATTCTATTGTAACTAGAGAAGCTGCAGCAACCACCCCTGGCCACAGGCTGTTCTCACAGCTGGAGGATACCCTACGGCCCTCATCTGGACCCCTTTTTCCCACACCCTCCCACCCTGCTCTGCAGATGGTCTGCAGCCAGGCCCTCCTCATTAGGAGCCTCAAGCACACAGTCCACCCTACCTGGTCTGTTCCACATGGCCCGGGAGCCTGAAGAAAGCTCAGCTCCAGCTCACAACCCGAACACCTCGGCCTGCCACTCCCTGCAACGTTCACAGAGTACCATTACCATCGCCTCTCATGGGGTTTTCACACACAGCCCTTGAGGCCAGAAACAAAAGCAAAACAATGTGACTTTCTCACCTTCCAGTGAAGAAACTGAGATTTAGGCCGCAGAACAGAATCACAAACTCAGAACCCCGACAGCAAATAAAGTAGGGTAATTTAATATATCTAGCACTGACAACAAATGACCCCAAAATCTCAGTGGCTTAACACTAGGAGTTCACCTCTTGCTCATATCAGTCTAATGTGAACCAGCTGGCTTTCCAGGCGGCTGTTGTCCAAGTGGACACTTAGGGATGACACCTTCAGCTCTAAGGTTTACCTGGGGAGGTGAAAGCGAGGAAGACGGTGCAGGTGGATTTATGGCCGGGCCTGAAATAACACACATCTTGTCTGCACACATTTCACTGGCCAGAATCAGTCACATGATTGCTGACTGCAAAGGAGGCCGGGGAAAACGGTCTTCACAGGGGACCAGGAGAGGAAAACGCAGGTAAGCATCCACGAGCTGCTACGGAGGTGATAATGACACTGACTTTTATTGATGGAATTCTGTAAGCCAAGTATTGTGACAGGAGCTATATAAGCATCACCTCATTCAATCCCCAAGACAGCTCGTGAAAGATTACTCATCTTCATTTTACACATGCAGAGATTCAGAGATCCAGCAACCTGACTCTAAGTTCCTGCTCTAACGTAGGAATATAGTCTTCTTGTGCAAAATTAAGACATTACAGAGCGGCATTCTTGGCCACCGTGCCTTTTATCCCAGATTCCCCACATACGCACCCAAATTCACCAGAGCTGGCAGTGTGATGTGTGTCCTGAATCTGTTTGTATGTGCATTTAAAATGCATGTACTCATATGATTATCTGATAGATTTATCATTTTCTTTAAAAAATAGAACTGTGGGCCAGGCGCAGTGGCTCACACCTATAATCCCAGCACTTTGGGAGGCCGAGGCGGGCAGATCACTTGAGAGGCAGATCACTTGAGGTCAGGAGTTTGAGACCAGCCTGGCCAACATGGTAAAACTCTGTTTCTACTCAAAATACAAAACTTAGCCGGGTGTGATGGTGTGCACCTGTAATCTCAGCTACTTGGGAGGCTGAGGCACAAGAATCACTTGAACCTGGAAGGTGGAGGTTGCAGTGAGCTGAGATCATGCCACTGCACTCCAGCCTGGGGGAATACAGTGAGACTCAATTTCAAAAATAAATAAATAAATAAATAAATAAATAAATAAATAAATAAAACTGTGCAATATACATTATTATGCAACAAATATCTAGCACATTCCTCTGCATAAAACACCCAGTGATTTTTTTCTATCAGATCACACAGCTTCCCAACTTTCCACCGTAGAGTAAGTAATCCCTTTGGACTCTAGAAGGTTCTTGGCTAAAATGCGAAGACCTCACAGGGGAAGTGGGAAGCGTGAAGCATTAACAGTCACTCACGCCTGCGTGCAGCACCATTGGTCCCTGCAGAGCCGAGCCCAGGGAGACCAGGCCCAGGACTGACGTTGCTGATGCCCTTCCCCAGTGGCCAGCCCTGGGCCCCTGGCCTGGTTTGGGGGTGCTGTCGTCTGTGCCCTGAGACCCTGTCTCTCATCAAATTGCCCAGAACACTGGGAGTTGGGGGATAAATGGATCTTCTCCTTCCACCTTGAAGGTGAAGAAAAATATCTCACCCTTTTTGAAAGAGAGACCAGACTACATCAACTTGAAAATAGCCCCAGGTCTGGACAGCTGAATTTACTGCTCTTAAGGTGATCTCATGCAATCCTTATATAACTGTGCAGACAGCCTGGTATTGGTATCCGCATTTTACAACTGGATACATCAAGTCCAAGCAGGGAGTAGGTGGCCCCAGGCTGCACTGCAAAGCCCATTCCCCACTGCAGGGAACGTTGCTTCAGGGGCCCTGGGCCAGACCCAGTCTCCAGGCCTGTGACCATTGCCCCTGGTGCGACCTGCCCCCATCCACCTGGAGCTTGACCTGCCTCTGTCCACCTGGAGCATTATTGATTGAAGTTTCCACCCTCCAGGGCCAGACAGGGCACCAGGGACTGGAATCAAACCCAAAGAGAATTCAAAAATGACTAAACTGTGTGAACTTGGAACCAAGCTTCAACATTATTTTAGGGACCTTTGAACCACATTTGGAGGGGCTCACTTCATATCCTCTGCCCATCTTCGAAGGCCTAACGGAAACCTTCTGGGTGAGGCTGCCCTGATGTCTGCACTGGAAGGGACCTGTGCTCTTCTGAACTCACACTTACTGTCTGTACAAGTAATAGGCCAGTTTATCAACCTCATCCCATGGCAGCTCTTCTTTGGCCTTGGCCTTTGGCCTTGGGCTGTGGTGAAACCCCGTCTCTACTAAAAATACAAAAATTAGCCGGGCATGGTGGCAAGTGCCTATAATCCCAGCTACCAGGGAGGCTGAAGTAGAAGAATTGCTTGAACCCGGGAGGCAGAGACTGCAGTGAGCTGAGATCACACCATTGTACTCCAGCCTGGGAGAGAGAGCGAGACAATGTCCCAAAAAAAAAAATGTAGTCATTTATCAGGAGTTCCTGTCCTATTTCCCCAAATAGAGGGTAACCCCCTTGAAGGCAAAGGCAGGATCCTGAGCATGACAATGATCCCCTCGGATCCCACCGCCGCGCAGGGAAGGTGCCCACCACACACTCAGGGCTTTCCATCACTTCAGTGTTTTCATTCTTTAATAGTTAATGCTCTGTTATTTCACCTAACAGGACGATGTCTTTTCTACGTGATCTCTCAGCTCCTTTCGTCAGCACGTCACTCACAATTTTCTCTCTTCCTCTTAACTCTTTTTCACCAACCACGCTGAAGTTTGAGAAAACTTATTCCAGCACCATCTTCATCTTCCCCATTATCTATGGAGCACCTGCGATTGGCCAGGCACCATGCTACAAGCAGACAGTATCACCACAGGGATCCCCACAAACCTTTATGGCCTTCCTCTGATCACGCTGTCAGAGCCCTGGCAGCGGCTCTCAGACAGTCCCTCACTGCAGCCTCCCCACAGCCCTGCGACCGCTCCCACACATGAGATCCTCACCCTCCTGCCGGCACCAGGCTCAGCACGCTTCGTGAAGTCACTCGCTTCACCCTTTATAAGATAAGTAGAGTTTTTCCATTTTGCAGATGAAGAAACTGAGGCTTGGTGGGGGTCCCGGCAACTTCCTTTCGCTCTCGTTACAGTGCAGCCGTCGTTTAGCCCATGGGCTAAAAGTTCCGCCTGAATGCCTAATAACTGTTGAAACTAAATAATGCTTAAGTGGGGCTAACGGTGACAACTCTTCACCTGAGTATAGTTGACATTTTTCATAATAAAAATTTAAAATCAAAAGTTGTTTCTTCCAGAAAGAAAAAAAAAATGACCAAAACAGTAGCAGGTCTAACTAACTCACTGGCATATTATGAGCACCTGGCAGATGTTCAATAAATAGTCATTTTTAATCTGTACTTATGAATTTATTTACCTTTTAGAGACAGAATCTTGCTTTGTCACCCAAGCTGGAATGCAGTGGTGCAATCATAGCTCACTGCAACCTCAGCCTCCTGGGACCAAGTGATCCTCCCGCCTTAGCCTCCCGAGTAGCTGGGACTACAGGTATGAGCCACCACACCCAGATAATTTTTTATATTTTTGCAGAGATGGGAATCTCACTATGTTGCCCAGGCTGGTCTCAAACTCCTGGGCTCAAGCCATCCTCCTGCCTTGGCCTCCCAAAGTGCTGGGATTACAAGCATGAGCTACCATGCCTGGCCCACAATAACTAATTATTGAATGAAAAACAAATGAATGAGAAGCTTAGGCAATATGCCTGAAGCCTCGGCTAGTAAGTGGCTGAGCCAGGAGCGAAGCCCAGGTTAGTCTCATGGCAAAGCTCACGTGCATGTCATCACATAGGCTACCCGGCCTCTTTCTAAGGGAGGCGGGGTGAGTCAACACCAGGTGGGTGTCTGGTAAAGAGAAGACTGGTTGAGATTTCTGTGGTCTCTGGAAAAGAAGGCACCTCCCCAGAAATCTTACCTGTGTCTTTTCAATCAAAACTTGCTCCAGCTCTGAGCTGACTTTTGACAGTAAGATGCCTCCCTATTCAATTTTAGTGCTTAGAGATCAATACTGGAGCTGCAGAGTTCACAGAATGAAATCGACCAAATCATGATCAATATTAATGGCACAGCATGGACATCAGCTTACTCAGCGGCTTCTCTCTTCGTCTGTCTCTTCTTTCTCTTCCTCCCTTGAAGCTTCACCAGGAGGCAGAAGCTTCCCCGAGGATGGCAGAGAACACTCCAGCAATGAGGCAGTGGGCGTTGCAGGCCCACAGAAAAGCCAGAGCCCAACCCTGCTCCCAACAGGATCTGAATCTACTAGGTCTAAACCCAGGGCTCACATGAGGCCAAATGCCTAGCTCCGTGCTAGGCACAGGGCAGGCAAGCAGTGGTGTTGACTGCTTCCTGCCCTTCCTGCCTGCTGGGCCTCACTTCCTGCAGTACGACTCCACCTCTGGAGGCTGCTCCTTCACACCTAAGTATTAAAAGCCCTAGCTGGCTGGGTGCGTGGCTCACACCTGTAATCCTAGTGCTTTGGGAGGCTAAGACGGGAGGATTGCTGGAGGCCAGGAGTTTGAGACCAGCCTGGGCAACACAGCAAGACCTCATCTCTACAAAGAAATTTCAAAAAAACCATTGGTCAGAGCAGTGGCATGCACCTGTAGTCCCAGCTCCTCAGGAGGCTGAGGTGGGAGGATCACTTGAGCCCAGGAGGTTGAGGCTGCAGTAAGCCATGATTGTATCACTGCACACCAGCTGGGTGACAGAGCCAGATCCTGTCTCTATTAATTTTTTTTAAGGTCTGGCTAAGCACAAGTGTGTTAACTGGCTCAGCTATAACATTCCTCTACCATTGGCCCCCAGTCCTGAGCACAAGCAAGATCATATTCATAACCCTCCTCAGAGGCTTTCTCTGTATTATCCTGCATGTTCAGACATCACCATGCCCATTTTATAACTGAGGAAACTGAGGCTTTAGGAAGAAAAGTAGTATGTTAAGATCACACACGGCTAGTAGTAGATGGCTGAGCCCAGGATGCCTACCTAGGAGAGAATATTCAGGTAGAGGGAAGGAGAGCAAAGTTAGGGGTTCTGGGCCTTGGAGGGAAAGGAGGAGGTCACGGCGATGCCTTGGGAAGGCATCTGGTGGGGAGAAAGGAGGGGTGAGTACTCAGGGGCCCTTAGCCATGGAGCAGATGCTGGGTCATAAAGGGCCTGGCCCGCCCTAAGACGTGGCCCCTGCCTGAGAGCTTCAGGGGAACATGCGGGCCGAAGCGGGGTGTGAAAACTAGGAGGCCCCTGTGACATCTTGGTGCCACTGCTTGCCTCTCCTGCACTTGCGAGAGGCTCTGCTGATGACCCGGGCACCTCCTACGCTGCTCACTGAGAGGAGCACAGCACAGAGTGCACACACATGGGGGACATACAGAGGAAGAGGCTGGGAGAGGCCCCAAGTGGCCACGGTTTGGCAGAGGGGCTCTGCACCCAAAGACCTCCGGCCCCCTCACTAAATATGGCTACCACTTATTGAGCACCTGCTGTTTACTAGGCACAATCTCATTTCATCCCTTAAGCAGCTTCTAAGGGAAACATCCTTTGCCTGGTCACAGAGCCAAGGAGCTGCAGCTCACCACGGTCCGATGATTTATCGAGGATGACGCCACTGGTGGGTGTTGGAGTCAGGAATTCACCCAGGTCTGTCTGACCTCAAGGCAATCCTCTCCCCAACCCGCTGAGTGCCCTGGCCATCAAGTGCCTGGGTTTGCCCAAGGCCTGGAAGTCTTCCCTGAGGAAGGTTTGTCTGAGACTCTGCCACGTTTGACCTAGCTTGAGGACATGTCCCCCAGAGTTTAGCCTGAACCTCACAAGCTGTGATGGGGACAAATCATCCTTTCCTTCTTTGTCCATATGTGGTGGCTCCTTTAAGCAGACTCAAAATACAAAAATCCAGACTTAGAAACAATGTTTCCCTGTAAAACAGTGAGAAACGGAAAATATTTGCTTACCCAAAAGGCATCTTCATTTTGACAGCTATGAGATTCCCCCAGTGCATTCGGAAATAAGACTCAATTGACAAAAATTCATTTGACATTCAACTTTCCAGGAACACAACTATTGTCAATTTATAAGAGAAGAAAAACAGTTCTCTTTCCTGGCTTTCTTCCTGATACTGACATGCCAAAGAGAGTCAAGGTTTGCTGAAAAATGATTTACTCTACAAAAATGTCTGGCAACTTTGCTTACGATGTATCTTCATTGCAGTGTTGAAATAAACTTTCAGAATTTCTGCATCGCAAAGGCAAAAGAAGGAGGGAAAAATAGCAAACTTAAAAATGCTCTGACAAGATCAATGAAATATATTTTAGATGTTTCTTTCTTCTGGGGTCAGAACACTTAATGTTTTTCTTCCTACGGGTAATTTTTCAACTTGAAATTTTATTGTTGATTTTGCTGTAGGCTGTCTTGATGCACTGCTCCTTTTAAAAATCAAATTTATTTTAATTTTTACATCTTAAAGATGGCAAAAAGACCAGACTAGAATAAACTGGTTCTTTTCCTCTCTAAATTCAATCTCTTGGTCCCTACCCCCACCGCCTTATAACAGATACCTATAGAGGCTGGGCATTGGTGAGACACAAGCTCACTTTCCCTTGGGATTTTACTTATTTTATTTTATTTTTTAAATTTAATTTAATTTAATTTTTAGAAACAGGGTCTCGTTCTGTCACCCAGGCTAGAGTTCAGTGGTGCGATCATAGCTCACTGCAGCCTCAAACTCCTGGGCACCAGCGATCCTCCCACCTCAGTCTCTCAAAGCACTCGGATTACAGGCAGGAGCCACCGCACTTGACCCCCTGGGTTAATATTTTATTGGCTAATGAAGAACTACTCCGCTCAATTTGGGCTTAATATACAACATGACCATTTTCCTATGAAGGACTGAAATGCTTCTCCTTATCAGGCTAATATAGTATTTATTCACTAATTAATCTTTGATTAGATACTTGGCTATTTATTATGGCTTCCAATCTTGCCAATTAGTTAAATGGCTAAATCACAACTTCCTGCAGCGGGTCGCTGCTCCAGCTGGGCTGTGCCAGGGCTCTGGGCACTCCCAGGAGAGAGAGAACATCTTTCATATAAAATATTTCAGCTCGTTTCAGCTCCCATGAAACGAGGAAATGGGAAGGAGAGGAGAGAGAGCACTCAGCTTATGTAACTGCTTGCTGTGACTCCGAATCTAGATTAAAACCTGACTCTGCTGGTATCCATCCAGCTCAGCTTGGTCCCCAATCCCATCAAGCCAATCAAGGAGCCAAATAATTCCAGCGGAACCCTCTATTTCACCTGATTGTCTGGAGACCCAGAAAGGATGAACGGCAAGCACAAGCATCATATCTGAGATGTGCCTTCTGCTTTCTAAAGCACCTTCACGTGCTTTCTGTACTGGGCCCTCACCATAATGCTTCGGTGAGTGGTGGTGAAAAGGGAGACAAGGGAGGCAGTGAGGGCCTTCCAGTTACTGGCTCTTGTTTTAGCCAGCAGCATTGGCCCCAGATGGGAGTATTTGTAAAATGCAGAATGCGCTGGTCGTGGTGGTTCACACTTGCAATCCCAGTGCTTCAGGAGGCCAACAGAGGAGGGTGACTTCAGGCCAGGAGTTTGAGACTGGCCTGGGCAACATAGTGAGACCCAAATCTCTACAAGAAAAAAATTGTTTTTTTAAATTAGTCAGGTGTGGTTGCGCACAGCTGTAGTCCTAGCTACTCGGGAGGCTGAGGTGGGAGGATTGCTTGAGCCCGAGTTGGAGGCTGCAGTGAGCTATAATTGCATCACTGCATTCCATCCTGGATGATAGAATGCAACCCTATCTCAAAAGAAAAAAAAAAAAAAGAAAAGCAGAACGCTGGTCCCTATTCTAGACCTATGACTCAGAATCTGCATTTCCCAAGATTCCCAGGTGATTCATGTGCATATAAACATTGATAAGCATTGCTCTAGTATGCAGAGCTCAGAGACTATGTCTTATTCATCTCTGTATTCCCAACTGCAGTGTCAGCTAAGTAGCTGCCACTCAAGAAATGTTAGTTGACCAGATGATTGACAGGTAGATAGATAGATAGGTACAGGAACAATTGAATAAATAAATGAGATGCATTGAGAGATAGGACACAAAAATGTTATGTGACCAAAGTCACCAGGAGATGAACAGCTAGAATTCCGGTGATCTCCAGACTCATCCACTTTCCATTTTTCATTTGTCAGTGAAGAAAGTGGGCTGCAAAGCCCATAGGAGACCTCCCTTTTAAAAGGTGCTTGAGAGAAGAAAGATACGTAACAAAGCACCACACAGAGGCCATCGTCCTCCCTCCATCCACATTTTGGATCACTGGGTCATGTTTAGAGAGGATTTTTCACAGAGCAAGTCAATCAAAGAAGCCGCTTTCTATATAGAGGAACCCACAGAGCCACTGCGGGCTGTCTGTTGTGTCTGTTTTTCAACCACATTGGAAATCAAATCATTCTGAGAAAAAAGTCAGGAGAAAGGTCACTGCCTACCCCAGATAGCCGGCTCTCTGTTTCTATAAAAGTGGACACGAGAAGATTTGGATGATCTGAAGGTGGGGACTCTGCTGCGAGTGTGCTCTGCAGGCTGGAGACATCCTTCTCCTTTCCCCGGCATCAGCAAAAACACCGAATGCATTAACCCAAGGGGGTAGGACTTCACTCAGAACCTGCCCTTGCCAAGTGGAAAATCCTACAGCTCCTGGCTCCCTACCATCCAGTTCTGTCACATCCAATTCATCATCTAGTGTAGGCCGGGCCTGGAGACTGCAGTCCCTGTGGATTTAAAGCCGTGACATTCTGAATCTAGAGCTTCAAAGGGGCATGGTGAGATTGTCCACCCCGATCCCCTCAGCACGGGAAATTCTGATGTCAACAAGCCGGGACAAAGTTTCCTCCACCAGAAGTCCATGGATGAAATTCTCTTTGGGAGAAATCTGGTTTTTGTGCCTCTAAAGTGGAAGCCCCCAACCTTGCTTGAATCTGGACACGTTTGAGAAACTGATGAAAGAAATGGCTCCTCTCTCTTCCAGGGAAAATGCACTTGTGCACATTTTGCTTTCAATTTCAAGAGAACTTCTTGAGAGCTATTTGTAGAGTCCCTAAGGTCCAGAAATTCTAGGTTAATAATCCTTGATAGAAATGCAAACTCTAGGCCTTTGCTCTGGTCTTCTAAGGAGGACTGCACCTCAACTAATGTTAACACCAACAGGAGTTGTCTTAAATTCTCTGCCCGAATATGATTTAGAAATTAGAGAGGAGAGGCTTTATGCAGGACAGAAACTGCCTAGGATATTATAATTAGGAAAACCTGGATTCGAATCCCAGTTCTTCATTTAACAGCTGTTTCTTTAACAAAGCCACTTGAACTCTCTGAGTCTCAGTTTCTCATCTGAAAACTGGGAATGAAACTACCTCACAGGGTTTTCAGATAATGCATGAAAAGTGACTACAGGTTGAGTAACACTAATCCAAAAATCTGAAATCACAAAATACTCCAAAATTAGGAACATTTTGAGTGCCAACATGATGCTCAAAAAACAATGTTCATTGGAGCATTTCAGATTTTGGAACTTGGGGTTAGCGATGTTCAGTTGGTAAATATAAAATGCAAATATTCCAAAATCCAAAAAAAAAATTGAAATCCAAAACATTTCTGGTCCCAAGCATTCTGCATAAGGAACACTCAACCTTATCAACCACAACGGTCTTTCGCCTTGGTGCTTAACAGCCCTCTTTTTTTTTTTTTTTTTTTTTTTTTGAGACAGGGAATCACCCTGTTGCCCAGGCTGGAGTGCAGTGGCACCATCTCGGTTCACTGCAACCTCCACATCCTGGGTTCAGGCTTCCCTGCCTCAGTCTCCCAAGTAGCTGGTATTACAGATGCGCACCACCATGCCCGGCTAAATTTTGTGTTTTCAGTAGAGACAGGGTTTCACCATGTTGGTCAGGCTGGTCTCAAACTCCTGACCTCAAAATGATTCGCTGGCCTCAGCCTCCTAAAGTGCTGGGATTACAGGCATGAGCTACCACTCCTGGCATCTTTTTTTTTTTTTTCTCCCCTTTCCATTCATGAGAACTGAAGAAATTCTCTACTCTAAAGTACTTTGAACCCCTCTTTGACTCGTTTCTTGGTGTGAAGGCATTTTAATGGGCTCTGTCAAAAATCCATCTAGTGGCCGGGCGCGGTGGCTCATGCCTATAATCCCAGCACTTTGGGAGGCCGAGGCAGGTGGATCAACCGAGGTCAGGAGTTCAAGACCAGCCTGGGCAACATGGTGAAACCCCATCTCTACTAAAATTACAATTACAAAATTAGGCCAGGTGCAGTGGCTCACGCCTGTAATCCCAGCACTTTGGGAAGCCGAGGCAGGCGAATCACCTGAGGTTGGGAGTTCGAGACCAGCCTGACCAACATGGAGAAAGTCCGTCTCTACTAAAAATACAAAATTAGCCAGGCATGGTGGCACATGCCTGTAATCCCAGCTCCTTAGGAGGCTGAGGCAGGAGAATCACTTGAACCCGGGAGGCTGAGGTTGCCGTGAGCCAAGATCACACCATTGCACTCCAGCCTGGGCAACAAGAGCAAAACTCCATCTCAGAAAAAAAAAAAACGTTGGCCAGGTATGGTGGCGCATGCCTGTAATCCCAGCTACTAGAGAGGCTGAGGCAGGAGAATCACTTGAACCCGCAAGGTGGAGGTTGCAGTGAGACAAGATCATGCCACCGAACTCCAGCCTGGGCGACAGAGTGAGACTCCATCTCAAAAATAAATAAATAAATAAATAAATAAATATCCACCAAGGGGGCCAGGTATAGTAGCTCATGCCTGTAATCCCAGCACTTTGGGAGGCCATAGCAGGAGGATCACTTCAGCCCAGGAGTTTGAGGCCATCCTGGACAACATAGCAAGACCCCCCATCTCTACAAAATAGTTTTTAAAAATTATCCAGGTTGGTGGCATGTACCTGTAATCCCAGCTACTCAGGAGGCTGCAGCTGGAGGCTCACTTGAGCCCGGGAATTGGAGGCTGCAGTGAGCTATGACTGTGCCACTGCACTCCAGCCTGGGTGACAGCAAGACCCTGTCTCTAAAAAGATAAAACAGGCTTAGGCAGGAGAATCGCTTGCACTCAGGAGGCAGTGGTTGGAGTGAGCCAAGATTGCATCACCGCAATCCAGCCTGGGTGACGGAGTGACTCCATCTCAAAAAAAAAAAAAAAAAAGAAGAAGAAAAGAAAATTCACCTAGGCCAAGAGGGTGATGCCCAAATCATCTACCCAAGCACTGCTGAGCAATTCTCGCTACATGGGAAACACTGGGGGAGGCCCTGTGGGCTGTACCCCAAGCTGGGTGTCCACTGGAGAAATGAACAGAAACACAGAAGACAGTGATGACCTCGGGTGCAAACAGTCAGTGCCAAGGGAACTGCTCGGACGTGAGCACAGCCGCAGGGAGCCCACAGAGGGCTTGGTGGCCAAGAGCCTAGCTCAGGCACCAGGTAGATTAGGCCCGGATTCCGCTCCTTCTATGGGATCCCCTGTAAAATCCAGGACAAGTTTATCTTAGTCTCCTTGTCTAGAAAAAACAAAACAAAACCAAAACCAGCAACAATAAAACCAGCTTCACAGTTTGTTGTGTGGATTAAATGACATGCTTATGTAAAACACCTGGTATCAGGGTGACTGGCAGGGAGCTTAATAAATCCAGGCTGTTCTCATTACCTGTGTTTGGAATGGGGCTGAGGAGTGGCTCCCTAGAGGAGGGTGGATGACAGGCTCTGAGAATGGAGGGACTCAGCTCAGGAAGGCTGCAAGGAGGGAGGCCAGACCCAGGCGCAGAGGGGCGGCGCCCAGCCTCCCAGGACTATTAGTTGCTGACCCCACCAGGTTCAGCTTGGTGCCGCAGGAGAGCAGGGCCTCAGGAACAGGACGCTGAAAGGGGTCAAGGGAATCGGGTCCTGGGGATTTCCCGCCCAAAGAGCGCAGGCCCCCCACGGGGTCTCTGAGACCCCATGGTGCAGCAGGAAACCTAGGACAGGAGAGGAACAGGAGCACGGAAGGAGAGAAAGCCCCCTGGGCGGCAGGTGGGAGGACGATGGGGCCAACGGCACCTACGGGAAATTTCCCTGGGCTTGGCCCTCCAACAAAAGTTGAGTCTCTTAAATCCATATTGTTTTAGTTATTTTTTGTTTGTTTGTGTTTGTTTGTTTGTTTGTTTGTTTGTTTTTTGACACTCTCGCTCTGTCGCCCAGGCTGGAATGCTGTGACATGATCTTGGCTCACTGCAACCTCCACTTCCCGGGTTCAAGTGATTCTCTTGCTTCAGCGTCTTGAGTAGCTGGGATCACAGGCACACACAACCACGCCTGACTAATTTTTGTATTTTTAGTAGAGATGGGGTTTTGCCATGTTGGCCAGGCTGGTCTCGGACGTCAGGTGATCTGCCCACCTCAGCATCCCAAAGTGCTGAGATTACAGGCCTTTGTATCTGGGCTGCGCCCAGCCTTAGTGGCTACTTTTTTGACAGTTACAGACTCTGTGCTCAATAAACACTTATTGATTGATTGATTTCTTCCTCGGCTATGTTGCCAGGAATGAACCTATTTGTGCAGCCTGTTAAGCACGGGGTTATGAACTGCCTGTCTTCCCCCTTCTGAGGGACTGGAGCTTTAAAAGTCCAAGCAGGGGCTCCAGGCTGGCCGCAGCAACAACAGGTAGCTTGACAGATGACTCTGGCCCCAACCAGCTGGAAGAATTGATGTGTCTACAGTCCAGATTCTCTAGAAAATTGCCAGTTCTCTGTTGACCTCTGCCACCAAGGGCTTGATCTCACTAAAGAAAGGGAAATGGGGAGGTGGCCACAGTCAGAGAAAGCAACTGGAGCAAGGACATGGCACTCCTAAAACCTACCATCAGCAAACGAGACAAGGCAGACTACAGACTGAATCTGCTCAAATATTTATGGCATAAAAGAGGAAACCACTGGGGTGGGGGCTGGAGGGGGAGCCTGTGTGCTAGATGGACATTTAAAAATTCCGCTAAGTCTCCAAAGCCCAGAGGAGCTAGGTCATTAAAATCTGCAGGCTAAGAATAGCTCGAGATTTATCCCCCACGCTGGACAGTCCTGCTTGGCCCAGATGCGGCCTCCAAGCAAGCAGTGAGGTTTCACCTTGGCTTTGGCAGATTCCACTGCTGGGATTCACAGGCAAGAGAACCCCAAACTACAAAGAGAAGCTCGATCAGCCTTGCCCACAATGCGGAGCAGTCAAACAGTCAAGGCCAGATCTAACATCCTTGGTAAACACACAACCAGGCCAAGTTATGAGCCCCTGTGAATGCACTCATGAGAGATCCAGGTGCTAAGACGCTGTAGGCTGTGGTGGGAAGGCCAGCTCCAGTTGTGTGACCTGAGCGGGCTACTTAACCTCTCTGAACCTCAGGTTCCTCATCTGAAAAATGGGGGAAGGAAAGAACCTAACTCATGGGGTGCTGGGAGGATGAATACAGGCAAGTGTGCAGAGCTGAATTTGCCTTCCAACAAGAAGCAGTGTTGCTGGCATCAGCATCTGTCCCAAATATGGGGGAAAGCAATAAGTGAAGGACTTTACAAGTCAATAAGAACATTTCCCAGGAAGTGACCCTCTGAGGATTGCTGTGGGGGCCAAATGAAAAACCTCAAGGGGCCTCAGGGCCTGAGCGCCTCCCCTGCTGTGCCTGGAGCACCATCCAGGCTGCACTGCTACCAACAGAAGCCTGCAAAGAGCTGGCCAAATGTTCCCCAGCAGTTTATGAACAGAACTGCTGCTTCCAGAAAACTCCTCTGCCATTTTAACAACCTCGGAAATGCCTTAACCCTAGAAAAACTGGCCCAAGTGATCAAAATGCTAGCAAGGTGCCCTGAACCTATGGCCTCACAGAAGAATCAACAGGTGCCAGGCCGTTTGTGTGTGGCTGAGGATGAGGGCTGTCTGGGCGATGCGTGCTTGGAAAAGACAGGCCTGTGGATACCAGACTTTGGTGGAATTAACTCCGGACAAGGAGAGCAACACTAGGCACTGAATAAAGCCCTCCATCAAATTCAGGGGTCGCTGATGAGCATGTTTCCAGCATGCAATGTTTCACAATCTTGGGCACACTCCTGGAGAGTAGCATTTCCCATAGTGTGTTCTGTGGAAACGAGTTCTACCATATGCTCCATGACGAAAGGGTTCCTCAGTAAAAGGTGTTTGGGAACACTGCAGGACAGAACCCCCGATGAACATTTGCACTAATAAAGGCTTCGAAAGGGCCTGCGTGAAATTAACGCACAGCTTGTTTGAGCGTGGAACTGTAGTTTGGTTTTTGGTAGAACCCCGTAGAACACACTTTGGGTCCACCACTTCAGAACTCTGCTACTAAAGCAGCAGCCGTGGCTTGGGAGACCCCACTCTGCTGCTGATTCAGTGGTGAGTGCTCACTCGGTGCCTGTGTTCACTCATCTCCAGGGCTCTGTGCTCTGGGACTGAGCAGACCCTACTGAGTCCATCAGAGATGGCCAGGCCCACGCTAGGCACTGCGGCAGAAACGAGCGCAGGAGCGAACCCAAGCCCTCCGAGGAAATACCCATGGACAGGTATCTGGGAGGACCCAAGGCATAGGCAGTTTCTCAGCCTCTCCCTCTCCCCGCACCCCTGCGTTCCTTGCTGAATCTTACAGGAGACTCACATTGAACTTTCTGAGCACGCCTTCTTAGAAAACACACTCAGCCACTTTCATGTACAGCAGTGCCCACCTCCGCACGCCTCCTCTTGCACGCTCCTGCCTTAAAGCCACCATTTTCTTCCCTTCCCCAGAGGTCCCTCTCTGGATCAGAAGCAGATATGCCAAATTTTACAAATAGCACCAGGCCCTGCTCAGACGGGGTGAATCTAGGTGACTTGGAACTGGAACAAAATTTCGGGGAAATTGGCAAAATGTATTTAACCTCTTCCCTTTCCCTCTGGCCTCCCAAGGACCTGATTCCCAGGGACATTATTTCTGCTTGAGGCATAACAGAGCTAGATACAGATATACATGAACTGCCTAGTCCAGGGTGCAGCTCTCAGCTCTGGCATTGCTAGCTGGGAGGCTGAGGACGAGTTATTTAACCTTTCTAAGCTTTAGTTTCCTTATCTACAAAATGGTGTCTAGGAAAGCTATGCCTCAAGGCTGGAGTGAGGCTGAGCTGAAATGCAGGTGCATTGGAAGGCAGGGAGCACCTCCCAGCCCTGAACAGAGAGAGCAAACGGAGGAAACCACATGCTCCCAGCCTGCGCCCCAGGTGGACCTGCTGATTCATCTTCCCAGGTCAGACTGGAGAAGATAGAGGAGCACCTATTTGATGGGGGAAAGGACACACTCAACATTTTTAAAAGAATGAAAATATTTTATACCCAATTTTTGCAAGCCAAAAGGCTGGGGAAATGTTTGTTTATTTTCAAGTGAAAATTCCTTAAAATTAGGAAAAGGAGCAGAGGAAGGGGTTGAGAGAGGAGGCTCAGACAAAAAAAAAAAAAAAAAAAGGGAAAAACTAAACAAGTTCAAAAGGGGAAAAAAGAAAAACCACTGCAGGCCAGGTGCGGTGGCTCACACCTGTAATCCCAGCACTTTGAGAGGCTGAGGCAGGAGGATCACTTGAGGCCAGGAGTTCAGGACCAGCCTGGGCAACATGGCAAGACCCCTGTCTCTATAAAAAATTCTTTAAAAATTGGCTGGGTGGTGGCATGCACCAATAGTCCCAGGTATTCAGGAGGCTGAGGTAGGAGGATTGCTTGAGCCCAGGAGTTCCAGGCTGCAGTGAGCCATGATCGCACCACTGCACTCCAGCCTAGGTGACAGAGAAAGACCCTGTCTCTAAAAATAAAAAATAAAAAGTTTGACATAAAGAATTTTTTTGCAGTGGATTAAAAAGAGTATTATAGCCGGGCGCGGTGGCTCATGCCTGTAATCCCAGCACTTTGGGAGGCGGAGGCAGGCGGATCACGAGGTCAGGAGATTGAGACCATCCTGGCTAACACGGTGAAACCCCATCTCTACTAAAAATACAAAAAAATTAGCTGGGCGTTGTGGCGGGCGCCTGTAGTCCCAGCTACTCGGGAGGCTGAGGCAGGAGAATGGCGTGAACCCAGGAGGCAGAGTTTGCAGTGAGCCGAGATCGCACCACTGCACTCTAGCCTGGGCAATATAGCAAGACTCCATCTCATTAAAAAAAAAGAAAAAAAGTGTATTATAAGGAAATTCATTTTCATTATAGAGAAATTAGAAGGCACATTCAACAGAGAAAAATAAAAGGAAAATCACCATAATCTCACCAGCTAAAGGTAATTTCAAAACTGTGTGTACCTTGGCTGTTGTCTTGCTAGGCATCTTTGGCATGTAAATATTTTCTGGCTAAAATGAAGCCATATGCTTGGTAACTTACTTTCTCACTTATTAGTAGTATACAATAAACTCTAGCATTGTTGCTTTGG
This sequence comes from Homo sapiens, assembly GCF_000001405.40. Lineage (NCBI taxonomy): Eukaryota > Metazoa > Chordata > Mammalia > Primates > Hominidae > Homo > Homo sapiens. The sequence continues at coordinate 41,863,628 of NC_000008.11, forward strand.
GTTGGTTAAAGCCTAAGCTGGTTGGTGGATAAACCTTCTGCACATCACCCTTGCTGGTGAGGTATTATGAATCCCATTTTGCAGAGGGAGAAACTGAGGCCGAGAAAGCTGTCTCACTAATGTCATACAAGTTGAAAGAGGTTCTGTGCTGGGGCCGGGAACAGAGGCTCCCCTACCTCCCACAATAGCGAATGTGGTTTCTTTCAGGCAGTTGCCACGCATCCAGGGGCTTACCATGCTCTAAGGGCCAGTTTGTGGGTTCTTATTCTATGAAACAGGGGCAATGAATGAGGCTGCTGCACGTTCTGCGCTTTTGTTAATTCAAGGGTACCACTGGCCGGGCATGGTGGCTCACACCTGTAATCCCAGCACTTTGGGAGGCCGAGGCGGGTGGATCACGAGGTCAGGAGATCGAGATCCAGAGCATCCTGGCTAGCACGGTGAAACCCCGTCTCTACTAAAAATACAAAAAATTAGCCAGGCATGGCGGCAGGTGCCTGTAGTCCTAGCTACTCAGGAGGCTGAGGCAGAAGAATGGCATGAACCTGGGAGGTGGAGCTTGTAGTGAGCCGAGATCACGCCACTGCACTCCAGCCTGGGTGACAGAGTGAGACTCTGTCTCAAAAAAAAAAAAAAAAAAGGGTACCATTTCCTCCAAGAGGCCACATCAAATGGAAAATTATTTCTCCCATTGGGTTATATGTGAAAACTCTATAAGAATGTTTCTTTATTTAAATGCCTGGGAGACTCTTTTGATTGGCCGGTGGGATGTGGACAATCCCCTGAGCAGAGGCGAGCCAGCCTGTGAGTGCACCTCCTGCCCACCACGAGAGCTGCTGGCCGCGTGCTGAGTCCTCCCCACTCTCCCTCATCCCTGGCTCCTCCTTGCACATGAGATCCCCTCAACTGATAGCGCAGAATTTACTGACTGGTAACCAAACTCGGCTTCCTTGTAAACAACAGCAAACCACAGCTGCTTCTGCCAGTTACTGCATCATAAATAAAATAAATGGAAGAATTGGAGGGAAATTAAGCCCTGCAGAGAGATGAGTGCTTAGAGGGTGAGGCAGACGGGGAAAGGATAATTCAGACCCCTTACCAACCTAACCGTCGTCACTCATGGAACCACGGCTGAGTGGGTATGCGGAGCATCCAGAACCGAAGAAACTGATCGCCCCTCCCTCGGCTCCCTGACCAAAGCCATGTCCACATGAAGCCAAACACCTGGATGTTTAGAAAGCATATCTTCATAAGCATTTCACAGCCCAAACAACTCAGCTTCTCCTCTCAGGGGAGGTCTGTCTCAGGCTCAGAGCACTGACCAACCAGATCACACATGGCAAGAGGGGACCAGCCACAAACACGGCAACCCCTTCCAGAAGCCTTGAGGCTCCAGAAGGGGATCACCCCCATTCCTACCAGTCGCAAGGTGGTAGGGTCTGCGAGCATCCAGTGTGTGGCGCTGCACACACCCTCTGAGCTGAGGCCTCCCTGGCCACCCAAGGGCTCCAAGAGCTTGGGGTCCATGAGCTCCCACTGACTCACCCATCTCGCGAATTGGGATTCATGAGCACACGGCTGAGGAGGGACTTGAAACAAGTGTTTAAAGCTCATGGTCTCCTTGAAGCAGCACATTTTCAGGAACTGCATTTGCTGAGCCGGGCCTTCCTCCCATTTCTGTTCCTAGCAAGGTGTCCGGCTCCCACAGGAGACTCAGCAGCTCTCAGATGAACACACAGCTCAATGAACATGTGGGTGCCCACCATGCCTAACACAGGACTGAACTCACAGCTGGGGCTCAGTAGATACTGTGTGGGTGAGGAAGGAATGGCTTCCTCACACCCACTCTGTGCTCCGAGGCCTCCCAGATCTGCATCTCCAGCCCAGCCCTCCTCCAAATTCACGGGTCCCACTGGCTCAGGGCAGATGGCCCTGTGGCACCTGAAGCTGCACACGTGTGAATTGGAGCTGCTAACTCCCTCCCCTCCTCTGATTCTCTCCCCTCCTTTCCACACAATGCACATGCCACCATGCACTCAGCCAGCCTCACCAGGACCTGGGAGTCAGCCTAGATTCTTCCCTCTCCCTCCTCCCCCCAGCAGTCCCAGGTAGGGCCTCTGGAAGGTTCAGTCCGCTTCTTCCCATCCTCCTCCCACTGCTTTCCTGATTTTCCCCCAGGACTCGCCTCCTAATCGCCTCCATCCCCTCATCACCACTCTCTCTCTCTCCCCTATCCCTGCACCAGTCTTCAAAGCCACTATCCACAGTAATCTCAGAAAATCTCTCCAAGGTATGAATGTGACAGTGCCACTCCAATGCATTCCACACTCAATGGGTCTGCAGTGCCCCTGCTAACCCAGAGCTCCATGTCCAACTCTCGCCTCTCCACCATGACACTGGCCTCCGCCAGACCCTAGAGGAACTATGCACATACCCTTCAGTGGGGACGTATGGAGCCTGCCCTCCCTTCTCTTGGGGCCACCAGGGAGAACTTGCTTCCTCTTTTCTCTTAGGATATCATGCCTTCACCCTTTCCCAAAGGTAATTTTCTTTCTTTTTTTGGAGTGGGTGGTGGTTACAGGGACAGGGTCTTACTCTGTTACCCATGCTGAAGTGCAATGGCGTGATCACAGCTCATTGCGGCCTTGATCACCTGGGCTCAAGCGATTCTCCTATCTCGACTTCCCGGGTAGCTGAGACCACAGGTGTACACCACCAAACCTGGCTGATTTTATTTTTTATTTTTTGTAGAGACAGGGTCCCACTGTGTTGCCCAGGCTGGTCTTGAATTCCTGGCCTCAAGTAATCCTCCTGCCTTGGCCTCCCAAAGTGCTGAGATGACAGGCGTGAGCCACTGTGCCTGGATGCCTTAACCATTTTTAAGTGTACGGTTCAGGGACATTAAGTACATTCACATTGCTGTGCTACCATTACCACCATCCAGCCACAGAACTCTTTTCATCTTGCAAAGTGAAACTCTGTACCCTTTAAACACTAACTTCCCATTGCTTTCTCCCACTGGAAATCACTGTTCTACTTTCTGTCTCTGTGCATTTCACTACTCTAGGAATCGTACAGAGTTTGTCCTTTTGTGACTGGCTTATTTCACTCAGCACATCGTCCTCAAGGTTCACCCATGTGGCAGGTGTAGCAGTGTCCTTCCTGCTATTTAAGGCTGAATAACACTCCATGGTATGTATACGCTGCATTTTCTTTATCCACTCACCCATCAATGGACACTTGGATTGCTTCCACCTTTTGGCTGTTGTTAATAAGTCTGCAGCGAACATGGGTGTACAAATATCTGTTTGGGTCCCTGCTTTCAATTCCTTTGGATATATACCCAGAAATGGAATTGCTGGATCATATGGTGATTCTATTTTTAATTTTTTGAGGAACCTCCCTACAGTGTTCCATCTACCCTAGTATAAATTTTACATCCATCTGACCAGTTGGTTCTTAGTGTGGGGAGGTACAGACCCCAACGCTGGGAGAAGCAGCGAAGGTGCAAGTTGCTAGGACTCCAGTAGGAGGCCCTAGAAAGAGTCCTCTCAGGACAAGACCCCAAGAAGGATGAGTGTCAGTCCAGCACCCCAATCTCTGATGATGCCGCTTTTCCTCTCGTCTTGTGATGGGCTTGTTTCAGAGTGGAAGGGGTGAAACTGAGAGGCGGATGCAAAGTTCTGCAAAAGGAGGCAACATCAGCTCTCAAACAAGACACTCATGAGCCAAAGATGCTCATGCCCTGCTTCTCACAGTGCCTGGTTAATACCAAAATAATACAAATCTCCTAAAATGCACAAAATCTCTTAAAATGCCTAAGAAATGAAGCTTCTGCACAGAAGGGTCCTGGACCTGATAACAGCCCCAAGTGATGTCCACTCCAGCCACAGCAAATGACTCCCAGAGCTCAAGAGTCAAGCCCTGTTCCCTGCAGGCCTTTTCCCATGCCATTCCCTCTGCCCACCACATCCTTCCACCCGGCAGCACCCATGCCACACACACACCATCAGGCTAGGTGATACCCTCCTTTTTGCTTGAGCAGATCACACATCTCCATCAAGTCATGGCTTGGGTTTCTTCCCCATCACCCCTCTAAGCTGTCAGCTGTCTCCCCCACTGAAATGACAGTGTTCCTCATCTCTGTATCCCCAATACCTAGCACAGCACAAGGCACACAGTCAAAGCTCTGCAAATATTTTTGCACAGTTAAATAATATTTCTAAAGCAGGTGTTTGTTTGTTTGTTTTGAGACAGATTCTCTCTCTGTCGTCCAGGCTGGAGTACAGCGGTGCAATCTCAGCTCACTGCAACCTCCACCTCCCAGGTTCAAGCGATTCTCGTGCCTCAGCCTCCCAAGTAGCTGGGATTACAGGCGCCTGCCACCAACCCAGCTAATTTTTGTATTTTTAGTAAAGGCTGGGTTTCACCATGTTGGCCAAGCTGGTCTTGGACTCCTGACTTCAGGTGATCCACCAGCCTTGGCCTCCCGAAGTGCTGGAATTACAGGCATGAGCCATTGTACCCAGCCTGAAGCAGGTTTTAATGATAAAAGCATGATAACAGTATTAAGACAGGGTTTCTCAACCTCAGCACTATTGGGGCCATTTGGGGCCACATAATTCCTTGCTGTAGGGGGCCATCCTGCAAATTGAAGGGTGTTCGGTATCTCTGGCCTCTACCTACTAGGTGCTGGTTGCACCCTTCCTCCCAATTATGATACCTTACATGTTTCTAGAGTTTGCCAAATGTCCCCTGGGGCGGTGGGGAAGGGCAAAACCATTCCCAGTTCAGAACCACTGCACCAAGATGATGAGCAATTATTCAGGCGTGGTTTGTCCTCTCAGAGACCTTTTAAAAGTCCAAGGCCTAAATGCAGCTTCCAGACAATGTACGAAATCTCATCAGAAATGTTCACGGCATTTATTCTCATTTTGTAAATGATTTATAACTTTATATATCTTGTGAATAATTAAGAAATGTGCCCGGGAACCTCTTCCAGCAGATCTTCTGGTAGGAATCTTAAATCATGTGCCATAAGCTATCGACCCTGGTCTGATACATTATTTACAAAGCTCACTAAAGCCTGGGATGAGGAATCACTGCATCAAAACTATTCCCTTCAAAATCTTTTTTAAAAGAGCTTAGAAATTTTCAGAGGGGCGTGCAGAGAGCAAAGTTCCTGGAACAAATTTTATAACAGACACTCGAACTTTCGGATGGGAGACACTGCACCCAAGGCCTATTTAACAAAAGCAAAGGGAATGAAAAAGATGAGGCTCAGACGGGGAGAAGGAATGCGAACACCCAGGGTTCCAGCACCCAGCTAAAGCATGTCCTGATCATAAAGGGGAATATTTACGTAAAACCATTTCCTATTCGTTGGCAAGATTAAATGGGATGAGGAAAGCAAAGCACAGCCCTGATTCTGATGAGAAACTCAATAAACAATGGTCTTCTTCTCTAGGTGACTCTTTCTGGGCTAAGAAAGGAGGAAAAGATCAAAATCCAGAGTGGGAGGTGTCAGAAGACGAATTGTCCCTAATCCCTAAAACTGCGTGGTTGGACCCGATGGTCCCTTCCTTTCCATCTCTGATGTTCTGACTCAGGACTGGCAGGAGCCCGTTGCCCTCCTCAGGGTCTCAGGCAGGGAAGAGAGTGCTCCTTGAACTTCACTGGACAGAAGAATCATCAGGGATCTTGCTTAAAAATGCAGATTTGAGGACCCCATCCTCTGAGATCTTAATTCAGTCATTCTGAGGCACAACCCAGAGGCTGCATTTTAAAAGATGGGACCTGAAAATTAGCCTGGCGTGGTGGCTCTCGCCTGTTGTCCCAGGTACTTGGGAGGCTGAGGCAGGAGGACAGCTTGAGCCTGGGAGGCAGAGGCTGCAGTGAGCCATGATCGTACCACTGCATTCCAGCCTGGGTGACAGAGCGAGACCATCTAAAATTTAAAAAAAAGAAAGGAAAACCTGGGCCTTGAACACTGACCAGGGAAGACCAGGACCAGGACTGTGCTGAAAAATGCTGCCTTGTAGGAAAAGCACACTGTGAGAACTCACAAAGGCCTGTGCCTGCCGAGGCCTGGGGGTGCTTCTGGACATCCGCATGCTCCATAGGCCACGTCAGCTGACACCAGACTGCAATTTGCTGACCCAGGTTATAGGAAAAGCTGATGTTCAGTCAAAATGGTAACTGGGGCTTGCTTATATTTTCAATATTGTTACACATCCAAAAGCTCAATTATTTTGCAATAATGTTGGACTCTGAGTGCAATAAGTCTCAAACTTTAGTGCACAGATGACTTACTAAGAAGATCCCAAGAAGAAAGGATCTAAGATACAGATTCTTGAGTCCTACCCCTGGAGAATCCAATTCAGCAGGCTGAGAGGGCAGGCTCTGACATTTTAACCAGTGCCCTAGAGGCCTAAAACCATTTTAGGGATTCAGGCGGTTCAAGGACCCCTCTGCAAGTAACACCACCAACAGCCCTACCAACAGAGGGCCCCACCTCTGTGCCCCGAATGAAATGAAATGAGGAGGAGGCTGAGAGATCCAGCAGAGAACGCCAGTCTTTACCAAATGCCCGAGATTATGCATGTGAAGGTGAGGAGGATAAGCATGACCAGCCTAAGTTTTTGCTTAAAAAAAAAAAGAGGTTTCAATGGGCACAGTCTTTTTATGCAAGTCCACCCTCAGTCCCTTCTGAAAACAAGGCCGAGTCACCTTCTCCATCATTCACTCGTGTTCATTCATTCAGACGACATGCTCTGAGCTCTACTCATGACTCACACCCCAAGCAAGGTTCCAGGGACATGAGCGTCCCTCCATCCTAAAGCACTCCCTGAGCCTCAGCCCCTGTGACTGGGGATGTTTCACCCCACAATATCAAGGGGACTCTCTAAGCTCTAGCCCCATGGATCACGGAAGGAGCTGTATGAGAAATGTGAGGTTACTGGGCAAAGCTGCCAGAGGTCTGAGAACGTGTGGCCGGCGTGAGGGAACATTTGCTGGATGATGGGCCAAGGGAGGCCAACAAAATAAATGTTAGCCCACTCAAAGCTGAGCTGGAAGAGGCTGGCAGAAAGGGTGGGCCCGGCACACACGTTAGCCGAGTCCCTGGCTTTAGCTGACCAAGGTTTTGTCCTTGTTGGAGGCACTCTGGCCATGGCACCTGGGCTCCGCTTGGCACAGGAGCATGTGGACACGTGGTGCTGCTGGGGGTCATGGGTCGGAGCCTCTGCTTGGCGAACACTCCTTCTGGAATCAAGGATGAGCTGCTCCCCACCCCTCCTGGCTCTCGAATGGGCACGGGGACTGTCTGCCCACCTCCCATCCTGTTCTCTCAACAACCTCAACTCATGCTCCAGCAAGCCCTTTCCTCAGGGCTGGCCCTCTCTGCAGCCTCCGGGTCCCATGGAGCATGTCTATCTGCCCCTCACGGGCCACACCTTTGACTCTAAGAGGCCTCTGCTACTATGACCCACACCCCAGGAGCTTCTGGAGGGAACACTGCACAGGTCCAGGGTGCCTTCCCATCGCCCCTGCATTGTTCTCTGACGCATTTATGAGGCTGCATCTTCTCTCTCCCACTGACTGGAAGCTGCTGAAGGGTGGGGCTACCAATGGGCCTCCTAACCTCCGCAGAATCGAGGCAGCTGCTGGAGCTATAGTAGATGCTGTTTATTTATGTTTTAGAGACAGGGTCGCTGTGTCACCCAGGCTGGAGGGCAGCAGCATGATCACAGCTCACTGCAGCGTCAAACTCCTGGGTTCAAGCCATCCTCCCATCTCAGCCTTCCAAAGTGCCAGGATTGCAGATGTGAGCCACCACGTCCGGCCTATGGTGTCTTTATAAAAAGGGGAAATGCAGACACAGAGGCAGATGCAGGGAGAGCACCATACGAAGAAGATCGGGGGGCGATGTTTCCACCAGCCAAGAAGTGCAAAAGATTGCCCACAGACCACCAGGAGCCAGGAGAGGGGCCTGGACATGTGCTCTCCCACAGTCCACCAAAGGAGCCGACCCTGCTGACACCTTGTTCTTGGGCTTCCAGCCTCCATGAGAGGGAGACAATAAATGTCTGCTGGTCAAGGCACCCAGTCTGTGGGACTTTGTTATGCCAGCCCTAGCAAGCTAAGACGCCATGCATCTCAGCTCTGATAGAAAACCTGCGTGTGAAATACTTGAAATTCCACAGCAGTGGTAGCTGCTGCAGAGCAGAGGGCAAGGGCTTGCTTGCTCTGAACCCACCCAGCACAAGCAGACCTGAAAGCCCCTCCCAGGGATCTTGGCTGGAATGGAGCCCCCGGGATGGGGGAAGGGAGGGTCCGGGCCAGGCACCCACACTCCAGATGACAAGGCCGCAGCAGCCCTGGATGAGTTTATTATTTATTAGCTGCTGTCCTCACTTTGCTCAGTCTAACCCACTTCAGAGAGTGTTTAATATTTCAGAAACAGACGAGCCAGCATTGCCCAAGCTGATTCGTGGTCTTAGTCACACAAAACGCTTCCTCCAAAAGGGTGCTGCAAGATGACTTCTCATCTTGTGCAGAGGAGAGGAGCCGACCCCCTGTAGGCCTCAGCTCCCAAGTGGAGCTTAACTACAGCCGAAGAGCAGCGTCCCCACAGGTAAGGGGACTGAGTCCCAGTGAGCGTACACAGCACCCTCTGTCCAGCCGCCCACCCCAGGGCTGGATGTGCTCCACTTCCTGCCGGGCCCTAAGGCGAGGCCTCTGTGCAGCTATCCCATTAAATCCCCCAGTGCTGCTCTTTCCTCACTTCAGAGTCCAAAGAGTGCCAGGAGCCACAGAAGCAGTGCAGTGGAAGCCGGGGTTCGAATCTAGCCCCAATTCCAGACCCCCAGCTTCTCCTTACTAACTAAGCCACATTTCTGGAAGGTCATGCCCAGTGAAGGTGGCAGTGAGGGCAGAAGCCCCATGTCAGAGGCCTTGGAGCCGTGGGGAGCGCGTCCAGCCGCAGATGCATTGCCAGCTTCCCTAGGATGTGCCCCAATCGGTGAGTAGGGGGTGCTCACCTTACAATTCTCAGCCTGGATTACACCTTAAGGTTTAAAACAAGCTAAGAGGAGATACCTTCAGAAAGACTCAGTAACACCTTGGAAAGACAGAGGCCTGCCCAGGTCTCTCCCTGGAGTGACCTGTAGGAGGTCTGCTGGGGACCCTTCCAACCACACCCAAAGCCTCAGAGCACAGCCGCCCTCGCGAGCCACCCCACATCTGGCTTCCCACTGGGGAGTCTGTAGGGTCCAGGTCTCTGTTGACAAAGGCAGAGATTTTGAGGCAGAACAATGGCTAACATAATTTATAAAAACACAATATTAAATCCTCAATCCTCTTCAACGGAAAAGAAGTCTCTCCTGTGGGCACGCTGCAGAGGGGAAGGCTGAAGCCAGCCATGCTGAACGAGCCGTTCTCGTCTCCTGCTCATTCCACCTGAGCTCTCTCCCCATTACCGTTTATTTTCTTTGCAAAAAAGAAAAAAGTCACTATTCTATTTAAAAGATTTGATGGATTTAGTCTATAAAGAAACTACATAAAGTGACTACATTTTCTTCCCGATTGCCTCGAACCTTCATGCGATGTCATTATCTCTGTGTTTTGGGGACCTCCCCATAAGAATGGTTTTGAAGTCATATTTGGTCCATCACATCCTGACAGTGCCGCTTTCTCTTAGGGATGTCTCCTTCCCAGGCCTCACTTTCCTCACTTGCACACTGAAGATGGTGATGTTAGCATTGGTGAATGAGTTCCAACAGGCACATCCCATTCACAATCTCATTTAATCCTCACAATAAGCCTCCAAGTCACCCTATTATTAATCTTATCCCCATTTTGCAGACAAGAAACTGAGACTGAAAAGGGTTAACCAGGCTGTGGTTACAAGTGGTGGAGCCAGGAGTTGCAACCAAGCTAGGCTAGTCCAAATCCTCACTGGAATCACGATGCCTCCATAAGGATAAAATTAAACAGCACAGACCAGAGCCAAGCCCTCTGTAAGCTGGCACGTGTCAGGCTAAGGCTCACTGGTATTTTCAGGGGTCAGCAGGGGCTCCTGCCATATTGCACAGCTGTGGAGTGGAGCCTGGGCCTTGCCGGCTTCACAGCACTGGACCTCAGAGACCTTGGATGCTGCAGCCCCAGCTTCGCTACCCTGAGCACCTTGTGCCTTTGTTGGGGAAACCTGGTCACCAGCATGACTGCCTTATACGTTGAACCAAGGCTGGCAAACCTGTGGCCTTGGCTGGACAAGTTACTCCAGGAGCCAAACAGACCCAGCCAAGCTCAAACCAACACCCTCCCCCTACACACACAAACGCACATGCACACACAATGCACACATGCAGGCACACACAAGCATGCACACAGGTACACACACAAGCACACATGCACACACAGACACAAACACACGGGCTCCTAAGTACTAAGAGACCTGCGGACACACAACAGGGAAGGCTGGGGCCTTGAAAGGCAACAGTTCAGATGTTTGGATGTCCCGCAGGTAGGTAGGGAGTAGGGCAGCCGCACTTAGGGATGGACCAGGTATGGTGCCTGCACCCTGAACTGTCTCAGGGACACCCTTGTTGGACTGCAGCTACAACAAAAATAGAGCCTCCTATAGCCGCCTTCAGAGCAAGGCCCACAGCCACTAATCTGAAAGGCCTCGATTTCAGATCTTATATTTTTTTCTCATATCCATCATAATTGAATTTTGAAAAGTTGCACTGGGCCCAGGAAAAAGGCAGTGAGTTGGGAGTGAGAACCATTTAGCAAAGCACTCTTTTCTTAAAGTCTTGGCTGCACTTTCGGGTCGCCTGCCCGCAGCCCCCAACCTCCTCCACCCCATCCCCGCCCCGCAGGCCCTGCAATGACAGGTAAGCATCCACTTCTTTCAGAGTGTGTCGGAGAGCAGGGCATGGGGTGGAGATGAGTTCATTCCATCTTGCTGTCTTCCTCCAGACAAGGTGTGCTAACAAGGAGGTGACCGGAGTCCTTGTGGCCCTAGCTGATCTGTCACTAGGAAAGCCCTAGTCTGCCTCTGTCACAGCAGCCCAGCTCTTCAGCACTGGCTAAGAAAAAACATGACAACTGAGAATTGTGCTTTCTGGGTTCTGGCCTCCTTGTCTCCCACTGCTTCTCCTTCATGGTCATTCTTTGACTCTCAGTGAGTTCCTGCTTTTGATCTTCCCATTCCAAAGTTGGAAAAATACCCAAGGTCATTTCCACCATCACGACTGACCCTCCACTGAGCAACTCCTCCTGGCACTTGCAATATAACCCCACGGTCTGACTATGGAACAAAATGTGCTGTCCCCGCTGCAGCACCCTCAGGAGAGACTGGGTGGCAGTCTGTGGTGGTCCAGAGAGGACGGGCCCAGCAGGACCACCTGTCTCGGTCCATATATGGGGCTGGGATGGGAGAGGGGAGGGAGCAGAGCTGAGCTGGAAAGGGTACGGGATGACCGGGTTCCCCTCTTCCTGCCCTTTCTCTTCCTGAACTCCAAGCCCTCCTGTCCTGTTCCTCCAAGTCCTGGTCACCCAGATGCGGGGGCTCCTGCACCTCTTGTCCCCCACAGGAGACCCTAAAGACTCTGCAGCTTCTTGGCACCGGGAGCCAGCAGCACCAGGTCCCAGTTTAGAGGCTGGCAGCAGCAGGCATGTTGAAGAACTGGAGGCAGGAGGAGGCAGGGGATCAGTGCAAAGAATGGGTCAGCATGGATGGAGGCGGGTATACCCAACACTGGGCCTCCACAAGTTCTTGAGAAAGTCACCACCGGCCTGCCAAGAGGAGCTACAAGGGACTCTCCCAGGTGATACCTGATGGAACCTGGGCTTGACCCTAGATCCATCCAACTCCAAACTACTGGCTCTTCCCAGTGGGCAGCCCAACTCCAATACCAAGGCTCGGCAGACAGGCACATCTGTGCAGTATTAAGTGGCTGCTTCCCATGGCCATTCGTTTCTCCTCCTGTGCCAGGGATGCGTGAGTGATGATGGAATGAATCTGGGTTAGCCGGTCCCTCTTCCCAAGCAGCTGGGAAGCCTCCTTGCTGCTCGTAGAAGAACACGCTTTGCAGGGGGAGGACAAACTCCCACTTAACACCACTGCACTGTGGGCGCCATTTTTCCCCGGACAGCCACATCTTGCTTTTTTCCTCTTGGCAGTGTTTTGTAGATGATCTAGTGTTACACGGCGCAGGGACTGGGAAGCAGCCGGCACGAGAAAGGAACCTGAGCACACCCACTTTGCCTTCATTTCTCCGGCTGCATCCGAGGCTCCCCAGAGGGGCCGGCGCGCGCCCGGGCGCACACTCGCACACCTGCCCGCGCGCACACACCCGCGCCTGGCCCCGCGCGCGCACGTCCCGCGACCTCGCAGGTTCGCGGCCCGCAACCGGCAGGGCAGGAGCTTCCACCAATCCCCTCGCCTCACGCCTCCTGCCCAAATATAGAAACCGACTTCCTTGTCCTAGAGCTCGGAGCGGCGGCCGCCCTCCCTCGCTGGGCTCCCGAGGCGGCGCTCCCCAGGCGGGCGCGGGGACGGCCCTGTCTGGCCTCACCAGCACGTGGGGCGCTGCCTGCGCTCCAGCCGCGGCACCCTGGCACCCTGGCACCCTGGCACCGACCGCCCGGTCGTCTCTCTCCCGGTCGCGCAGCCCCTCGGCCAGCGGGCCTTGTCCCCACCCAGGTTCTCTGGCCGCGACTCAGCAGCGGCGCCTCGCCCCGGAACAGGCCCCACCCGGAGAGGGGCTGACACTGATCGTGCCCCCTGGGGGCTGGGGCGCATTCAAGGTAACCTTGAAACCTCACAGGCACATGGAGAGGTCAAGGAGGAACTGATGACCTGTCTTACAGATAAGAAAGCCGAGGCTAAGTGAGTAGTCCCAGGTTCGCACAGCCAGTATGTGATACCTAGCCGACCCCAGCCAGGCTTGTCCAAGTCGGAAACGTACGCGCTGTCCTTCACACCTCTAAAGGGCTCTGGTTTCCAGCCTGAAGGCTGGAAAATGCACAAGGAAGGGAATGCCTAAAATCCCCTGACCCGATCCTAATCGCACGTGTCATGTTTATTAAGACAGGGAGATGAAGATGAAAGGTTTGTTGGGGAATGGTAACCCCTCATCTGGCTGCACCACTTTTAACTTTTTGGAGCAGTTCTGCAGACATTATCTCATGTATTCTTACCATGTGTGAGGGGATCAGATGGATTTGGTAGAATTTGTTCGTTTTAATAAAGGCCATTTGATCAATGTAAAGCCAAAAGGGATTTCATGGAAAAACTCATATTTTCAAATTTGCTACTCAGGATAACTTCTGTGACCATCTTCAAAATAAATAAATAAATAAATAAGACTTTATGGGCTGAGCACAGTGGCTCACATCTGTAATCCCAGTGCTTTGGGAGGCCGAGGCGGGAGGATTGCTTGAGGCTGGCAGTTCAAGACCAGACTGGGCCACATAGTGAGACCCAGTCATTAGAAAAAATAATAATTAAAAATATGTGTTATGGAACTTCCACACTGTCATAGAAGGGACCTGGGAAAGAAATCACCATCCCACAGCGCAGGTGAAAAGGGTGGGACCCGCTGGAGAAGCACACATCCTGGTCCAGACCATGGCCTCCTAACTACCAGTCTTATGCTCCAGGCTGGGGAAAGGAGCAGGCTCATGGTGGCCAGCAGGCTGCTGATGGTGGGAGATGTGTGTTGGAGATGCAGACAACAGCCCTCCTTTCCAGCTGAGACCCTGGGCGAGTTGCTGAATTCCTCCAGGGTCTCCACTACACCATCTAGGAAGTGACACTCACAGTGCCCCAGCTGCAAGACTGTGGTGCCGATCCATTATTTTGATGGATATACACTTATGGAGAACCAACTGTGTGCCAAGCACTCCTCCAGATTTTGGAAATCCAGTTTAGGAGACAGAAAAAGCCACTGCTCTCACAGAATTTATTTTTTAGTGGAGGAAGAGAGAGACAGACAATAAAACAGAAATAAATAGGACCATTTCAGATAGTGAAGAAAATGAAACAAAATGATGCGATAGAGCAGGTGGGTGGGAGCCAGGCGGGGGCGAAGTGGTCGCTGGAGAGCAGTCGTCTGGGCAGTCCTCTCTGAGGAAGCGACATCTGAGCTAAGGACAACAAAAAGGAGTAGACTAGCTTCGTTCATGGCTGCAGAGAAGACAGGGACAGCTTGAAGCACAAAGGCCTGAAGACAGAAGCCAGGTAGACGTGCCTGAGGAACAGAGCTAAGGCGAGTAGGGCTGTGGCCGTGTGAGGGAGGACAGGGACAGGAGGTTGGGACCTGGGCAGGAACGCTGGGCACACAGCCTAGCGCCCAGCAGAAGGTCAGTGACTAGGCTATTGCAATTCCTGGAAAACAGTCAACTGAAAGCATGTGCATGAACATTCTGGAAGGCGGCAGAGTCCACAGCGGTACCAGACACCCACTCTTCTCAAACCCATTATGCGACTTACCAAACAATCCCAAATGTCATTGGCAACAATAACCAAAACTAATAGAGAATTGAGTCTGCACCAATTCTGGAGAGTTGGGGTGGCTCTTCCTAGCTACCCTACCGGGAAGACAGTACCCGAAGGTTTACTCTGCATCCAGCCTGGTGCCCCCACCCTGGGCAGGGGACGATCACACCCCTACATCTTCAAGCTCACCTCTGATATATGGATCATCCCCTGCCTGCACAGGGACTAAGTCCAGAGGCAAAGGTGGAAGGAACAGGAGTAGCCGGCTGACCTGGCCTCACCAGAAACCACATGGAAATTACACCTTCAGACAGGTTCAGGGGGAGCTGTTTATAAAAAGAAGCTCCTCTGGACATCCCAGAAGCCATGGTCAAGATCAAATCGCACTCAAGGTTAATTGGATAGAAAAATACAAGTGCTAGCCCATGAAAACGATTTTACAGCCAGGACTGGCTATTTAATTTGCATGGCCCAGGACAAAATGAAAATGTGGAACCCCTCGTTAAAAAGTAATGAGTAATTTTAACACAGAACAGAGCATTGAAACATGCACAGGACCCTTTTAAGGGCAGGACCTCATGCAACTGGACAGGTTGTCCACCGATAAAGCCAGCCTTGCCTACATGTCAAAAAAATAAAAGAGGGGCCAGGCGTGGTGGTTCATGCCTATAATCTCAGCACTTTGGGAGGCCGAGGCAGGCGGATCACTTGAGGTCAGGAGTTTGAGACCAGCCTGGCCAACATGGTGAAACCCCATCTTTACTAAAAACACAAAAATTAGCCAGGCATGGTGGTAGACGCCTGTAATCCCAGCTACTCAGGGAGGCTGAGGCAGGAGAATCGCTTGAACCTGGGAGGTGGAAGTTGCAGTGAGCCGAGATTGCGCCACTGCACTCCAGCCTGGGTGACACAGTGAGACTCAGCCTCAAAAATAAAAAATAAAAATTGAAAAATTAAAAAAAATGCAGGACAATGTGTTTAAAATATAGCCCAGTGGAAGAGAAGCCATAGAGAAATCAGACATGTGTTCCTGTCCCAGCTCTGCCTCTAGAGAGCCGTGACCTGGGGAATGTAAGTTAATCAGTGGGGACCCCAGCTTCCCAGTCCAGAAAATCAGGGATCACCTCCTCGGGGGTTGCTGCCCTCCTGCGTTTGTTGTGAGAGATCGAATGAGATAATGAAGGTGGCATCTAGGTCAGGAGGCATTACACCAATATAAGGGATTACTATTATTCACCAAGACCTGCCAGAGCACCTGGATTTCTCGAGAACATTGACATTCCCCAGCAATTAAGTCAAATTAACATAATTCAAACAAAACATCTAATTTTAGCTATGTGTAACGATTCCCTCTCAACAGAACAGACACTGCTGCCTCTCATTCAAGGAGTGCAATGCCAGAGAGATGTAGGAAGGAGACCAAACAATTCTGCCACAGGCCTTTTACCCAGGCACGCACCAGATTGTTCCTATTTCCACAACTGAAAGAGGTGCCGCTGGACAGATTCTCTTTCATCCAGCCGTCCTGCTGGCCTGGTTCATTGGAGCTTCCCCCGGCGAGTGAGAAGGACCAACAACCAGCGCAGCCCGCTCAGACCTTGGTCAAAGCAACACTCCCCTGGAGTGGGAATCAGAAGCCCCAGGGCTCCTCTCACAGACCAGTCCTATGGCCTCAGTTCTCCTGTCCATAAGAGAGGGGGAATAATGCCTCTTCTGCCTCCCTCTCTCAAAAGATTGTTTAAGGTGTTAATAATGATTATTCCATGTGTCTGCATTTAGTGCAAATTACCAGATTCATTCATTCAACCAACGAGTCGTGGGAATGCAAAGGGAACCAAGGTGCTGCCTCTGTGCAGTCCAGCAAGAACAACAAGCATTTAACCCAGGGGGTGGCAAACTGTACTCAAGGGCCAGGTCTAGCCCGCTGCCCATTTTTTGCATAGCACGGGAGCTGAGAATGATTTTTACATTTTTAAGTGGTTAGGAGAAAGAAGAAAAACATTTTGTAATGCATGAAAATTAAATGAAATTCAAATTTCAGTGTCCATAAATAAAGTTTTATTGGAATATGGCCATGCTCGTTTGTTTGTGTATTGCCTGTGGTTGCTTTCACGCTCCGCCGGCGGAGCTGAGTATTTGCAACAGAGACTGAAATATTTACTGCCAGGTCCTGCACAGTAAAAGTTTGCCAATCTCTGAAGCAAAGCCATGAGTGAGATTATCAGTGTTAATGGAACACGGAAGAGGGAACAATTATTTCTGTTTAATAAAGTTGGGGAAGGCATTCCAGGAGTGATTTTTTTCTTCTGGACTTTAATGCTCAGCTGTGAACCCCGGGAAAGCAGCTGCCCTCACCCCAGGTCTCAGTTTCCTCATTTGCAGGATGAGTAGGTTGTCTTTGAACTAAGGGCCTGTCCCACCGATATGTCCTGCAATACTGCATGTGCCCCCAGGGCCAGTTCTTTGCAGGGGGGCTGGTGTGGGCATCCACCAAACCCCGCAAACACCTGAGCTGCGCGAGGCACACAAAGAGCACTAATTAGGGCACTGGGACGAGGAGCAGTTTGGAATAATCTATCCAGGACACATTTCCTTGCACCAGGTCCCAGAGAAGGCTCAGGCTTCTGCATCCAAACTCAAGCTCCCTGGCAGGCTTCTCCCCCGGCAGAGGCGCCTGGTGGGTCCTGAATAATTTAGCACTCTGCACCAGCAGTGCAGATGGCCACCTCCCATTATCGCAGGCTCTGCACTTTGCTGCCTTACTTGGTAGGGCCAAGGGCCATTTCCAAGTGGAACAAAAGAACAGCATCCCTCTTGTCTTCTCAGAGTTCCTCTCAGCATATTGTGCTCCAAGAGCCATTGCTCATAAGGGCTGGGATTTCTTGCCAGAGTACAGAGAGTTGGGCCTGGAGATCTGGTTCTAGTGCTTGCTTGGCCACTAAAAATAGCTCTGTGATCTGGACAAGCCATTTCCTTTCTCCAGATGGCAGTTTCCTCATGAAGGGGATGGGGTGTGAGATTCACAAGGTCCCTTCCAAGAGGCTGTGTCTTCTAGTCTAGTCCAGACTAGAAGCTGGACTAGAAGCTCTTTGTTCTACATGTGAGAAAACAGAGGCCCAGAGACACACAGTTATTTCCCCAAGGTCACTCAGCCACTTCCGAGAGGCAGAGTCAAGACCAGCAGCTTTAGTTCCTAATGTTCCCATTCTAAGGCACTGCCCATACCCTGGTGTGTGGTATGTACAGATCTATGTCTATGTCTATATCTATATCTATGTCTATGTGTGTCTTTGTCTGTATCTGTATCTATGGGATTGGTTCTGTTTCGGGAATACATGCCTTCTGTACTCAGGGGGTTTGGATGCTAGTACAAGGTGGGGATGCTATTTTATCTTACTGTCAAGGGAACTGGTATATAACATTCCCATCAAGCTCTAGGCTCTGTGTTACATGCTTTCAAAACATTCTTTCTGTTTAGCCTTCTGCCTCTCACTTTTTTCCTCTTAGGTACTTATTTCATTTTATTTAATCCTCACAATCACCCTGGAAGCAGTAAGCCAAGGATGTTAAAATCAGGCGGCTGGGACAAACCCCAGCTCTGGCTCTCATTAGACATGTGACGTGAGCAAGGGACTTCACCTTCCTGAGCCTCCCAAGGTCCTCACCTGTAAAACACCGTTCCCACGCACCTGCCTGGCTTGTGAGGGCCGAGTGGGCTTGAGTGGGGAGCATAGCCAACACAGATGGTCCTTGCCTTCCCTGTCTCCTTTCATGGAGAGAAGATCAGCCACAGGTCACGGGGCCTGGCTCTTTTCCTGCTAGTAGCTGGGTGGGCAGTTGATAGACGAGAAAATGACATGAATTTCAAACCACAAACCCTACATCTGTCACCGCCTGCTTGTTATAAATCGGGACTTTGGAGAGGGACTGTTGAAGGCTTCCCCCCGCCTCTGCCACTGCGCAGTGGTGTGAAATGCACTTAATCTTCCTGAGCCTTAGTTTTCTCCCATGTGAAATGGGAAACATGATACCTGCTTCTCCACAGGGTTGCTGGGAAGATCAATGACATAATGCCCTGGGAAGCGCCTGGTGAGCCACTGAGCTCCATGTAACACCACGGGACACCATCCACACGGTGCAGGCCCCACGCCCTGGGGCTCCTGGAAGCCTGAGTTTCCAGGGTTCATCGCCCCGTACATGCAGCCACAGTAGAGGGTTCCAGCTCAACAGCAGCCCAAACCTGACCATCACCTTCCTGGGGGAGTTCCCTCTCTCCTCTCCCCAGCCCCAGCTGAGCAGCCACTAGAGAAAAATGCAAAAGGTGTTCAGCACCTGGAGCTTCCATGACAACCAGTGAGGAATGCATCCCAGGGTGTTGGAGATGGGCACTGGGAGGGACTGAAATTGAAAAGGAACTCCAGCCAGGGTGAACCGGGAGACTGATCTCTCCTGAGAATCCCGAGTCCTTGGAAACTCAGAAACGGAAGAAACTGGAACTTACCAAAAATATCAAATTCACCACTACAAGCCAAGCCTCCAAAAAGCAGGCCTGTCTGACCCTGGTTTCATGCACCCCACAGAACATCGCCAGTGCTCTGGGCTGTGGGATTGCCTTAGTTGCTTTCCAGGAAAACAGGCAGCCAGGGCTGCTTAGCCCCCTCTCCCTCTGGAGTCAGGGCCTCCACGCTCCTACAAGCTCCACAGAGGAAGATGGCTGTGCCCGTGACCTTGAAAGCAACTTGGCGCTGTGTGACAGAGCCAGTCACCTTACATTGAAAACAGACACCATTCTGCCCCCTGCATTCCCTGTTCACCTGAGGCAGGTGCTCTCCGCCCTCCCCAAAGTCACTCTTTTGGCCAACAGAAAGGGCACCTCCTCCCTGGCCTCAGCCAGAGGTTTATAGAGTCACAGGGTTGCCTGATTACACAGGCTCAGCGAGAGACAGAGTCTTCAAAAACACATATCCAAAGGGCCAGCTCTGTTAACAAAGAGCACAGCCCACACTCCCACAGCGTGTGTGGCCCCGGGCACTTCATCAGCATAGATTCCTCCCCATATCAACCCACAACATGGTCAGCATGGGGGCAATGAGATGCCAGGTGGAATGGGGTACTAATGAGGTGGATGGCCTTTTGCATGTCCGTTCACACTCATATGCCTTGCAGTCTGGTGCCACCACTCATCCAGATTTCCCTTCAAGCTACCTTAGGCCCATGTAAGCCAGTTGGCATCTGGAACCATTCTGCCCTGTGGCCTTGTAAACCCACATAATCAGAGCATAACAGGTACCGAGAAGGATCTCATGTTTGTTTGTTTGTTTGTTTGTTTGTTTGTTTGTTTTGAGACAGAGTCTCATTCTGTTGCCCAGGCTAAAGTTCATGGCACAATCATAGTTCACTGCAGCCTCAACCTCCTGGGTTCAAGTGATCCTCCCACCTCAACCTCCTAAGTAGCTGGGAATACAGGCACGCACCACCACACCTGGCTAATTTTTAAATTTTTTGTAGAGATGGGGTCTTCCTGTGTGGCCCAGGCTGGTCTTGAACTCCTGGGCTGAAGGGATCTTCCCACCTCAGCCACCCAAAGAGCTGGGATTACAGGCATGAGCTACAGCACCTGGCTTCCCAGAAGGGTCTTAAGAGTCCTCTAAACTAAATACAGAGGCTCAGAAGCAGGAGAGCCTCTGTGTCCAAAGCTACACAGGACAGTCAAGAGGACTGGAACTAAGCACAGCTCTGTTGTCGAGGGCAGGTTCTCTTCATCCACAGCAGCACAGTTAATGTTCATAAATCAGAGGGAGTGGCACTGGAGGGGCAGAGGCTCCAACAACTCAGATTGTTCTCCGGCCCAGGGAACTGGGAGATGCCAGGGAATGCATTGGTTCCATTTCCTCACGGAGTTGCTCTAGGACTTCACTAAAGGTGCCACTACGGCTGAGCGCAGTGGCTCACACCTTAATCCCAGCACTTTGGGAGGCCGAGGCAGACAGATTTCTTGAGACCAGGAGTTTAAGACCAGCCTGGGTAATATGGTGAAACCCTGTCTCCACAAAAATAAAACATGAGCCGGGCATGGTGGCATGTGCCTGTAATCCCAGCTACTTGGGAGGATGAGGCAGGAGAATCACTTGAACCTGGGAGGCAGAGGTTTCAGTGAGCCAAGAACACGCCATTGCACTCCAGCCTGGGCAACAGAGTGAGAATCTGTCTCAAATAAATAAATGAATAAATAATAAAGGCACCACTGCATTAAAGGGTCTGGGAAACTGCCTCAGCTAACATACAGTGGCAGAGTGGGAAGGGATCTGGTCACCACTGCATCCAGCGTCCCTCAGGACAGGCACTTCTTCCATAGTATCTCAGACCCAGACTCAGGAAAGCTTCCTGGAGGAGGTGAAGCTTAAAGGATGAGTAGAGGCCGAGCACCGCGGCTCGCATCTGTAATCCCAGAGCTTTCAGAGTCCGAGGCAGGAGGATCACTTGAGCCCAGGAGTTGGAGACCAGCCTGGGCAACATAGTGAGACTCTGTCTCTACAAGAAATAAAAAAATACCCAGTTTGGTGGTGCGTGTCTGTAGTCCTAGCTACTCAGAGGCTGTGTTGGGAGGATCGTTTGAGCCCAGGAGTTCAAGGCTGCAATAAACTGTGATTATGCCACTGCACTCCAGCCTGGGAGACAGGGTGAGACCTTGTCTCAAAATAAATAAACAAACAAACAAGGGATGAGGGGGAATCAGACTGAGTTCCGGAGAGGGAGCACCCTGCGCAAGGTGTGGGTCAAGGGAGCCCAGCAAATCCTAGGAGCACGGGGAGGCTTGGGGAGGGGTGAGGCACAGTGGTCGGGGAAGGGTCTGACTTCATCCTCAAGGCAGGGGAAAGCAACGGAAGGGTTTTCGGAAGGGAAGTGACAACTATCACATTTGTGTTTGAAAAAAAAAAAGGGGCTCTCGCTGCAAGATAAAGACCGTATTGGAAGGGCAAGACTAGAGGAAGCAGGGATGCAATGGAGACTCCAGCAGCAGTGAGGATGGTGAGTTCACTGGAGTTAGCCTTAAAAGTTCTTCCTGAGAAATCTGGTGATGGTGCTCGGTACAGAATCATAAAGTTTTTCCGTCTGTGTCTTGTAAGTCCTGTGTGGGGCAGTATTGACATCTGGGTTAAAAGTGCTAACATTCAACCACACCAGCTGTAGTCCAGGTGTCCTTCAAATGCAGATCTGTTCAAGAATGAAGTGATACATGTGACTGGCAAGAAGACAATATTTTTTTGAAAAGACAAATGGTTTGACTATGGTTTGCTTTGCCTAAAGCAGATACCATAGTTAAGTGCAACAGCTCAAGAACTTGGTAAAACACCACGATTTCCAGACATTGCTCCATGTCGGCGGACAGGCCCTGGGTCCCTTGCATTGTGTGCTATCCCAAATCAGAGGAGACTACTGGCTGGATCCATCACACACCTGTCCCTTCCCAAGGCTTCACAGGCTAAACAAGCTGTGGAAGGGCCTTCCCTGCCCACTGGCACTGTGTAACCTCAGATCAGCAGGGAAACAGTCTCCTCTCCAGAGTGTGGTCAATGGTAGCAACCAAAGCAGCTCTTGCAAATGGCATTACAATGAACTGGCCAAATCTCTATGCCGCAGGAGAATCTAGTGTCTCCATAAATTCAGTGCAACTCTATGGATGTTTCAGACTTTGAAGTTTGCCTGACTTGGGCTGTTTCTGATTCTTCACTCTGAGTTTCAGATCAGGTTCACATTTCTCCAAATTCTTTACTAACTCATTTAAGAAACTGGCAGCAATACTAGCTGAGTACTACCAACCTTGGCATTTGACCTGATGGCCATCTCCAGAAAGGCTAACACTGCATTTAAATTAATAAATACAAGGTGAGAATTTAGCCAGGTGGGACAGGACGTTCATCTTTTAAGTCTCATTCGGGATTAAAGAGGAAAACTCCAAGGCCCACATTTTTTAAGTCTTCATCTATTTACCCATTCAGGGCTCAGGTGCAGACATGTGTTTCTCTCTGCCACCCACCCCTAGGTCCACAGCCTGCTAATGCTCATGTCTTGGATTTTATGGGCAGCCCCAAGGTGGATATGGGTGGGAGCTGAGGCATTGTCCTGCCATTTACCAAGTGCTTATATGCCAGGTACTTTCCATATATTAAGTCCTTCAATCCTCCCAACAGCCCTGCATGGCTGTGGGGTGGGTATTATTCTCTCCACCTTACAATTGACAAAATTGAGACTCAGGGAGCACTATTGAGCAACTTGCTCAAAGCCAGCCAGTAAACATCTGACTCCATCTCACTCCACAGGCCACAGCTCTTCATTACTGCTTCCTGACGCATGCTAAAGCTCTGCTGATGCTCTGGCCCCCTTGCCCAAGGGTACACTGGAATAGTATGGGACAGGGGAGCCCAACCTCATCTAGGACACTGGAGGCAATGTTTCAACTGCGTTCTGACGGAGGACTTGACATTGATGTTGGAGGCCAAGGATGTGGCACACAGGAAGATCTAAAAGCAAGTGAAGGCACACATTTCCAAGTATCAGTGTACAGCCCAGTGCAGGATGCAGGAAAGACAGCAATAAGACAGGAGAGGCAGCTAGGGAGTAGATTCAGGGGGTGGAAGGGAGGAAGCCTGGTTAACCAGCCTGGACTTCATTCTAAGGGCAATTAGGAAGCCACTGAAGGACTGAAAGAAGGGAGTGTCAGGATCTGATTTGCATTTTTGGAAGATCCCCCTGGCTGCAGAAGGGAGTATTAGGCCCAACACACATACATTTTCAAGTTGGTTTACAATGGAAGTCTTCATATGCCAAGACCCAACTGCCTGGGCTCTTGGGGGCCACGCTTCAGCTCCACTTTGAGCCAGTACATTCCGTTACCTACTTGGCTCTAGTCCACAGCACCTTGGAATCCCTTACTGAGGGTGTGGCATCAGCTATACATTCCAGATTTCATCTCCAGAAGACACACAGTCAGAGAAAGCCCTGCTACCCTCTTAGACAGGTGGGGCGTCCTCTGCTTTTTCTTTCTGTGTCTCGACAACTTGTTTATTTTTAACATTTTTTTCCTTTCTTCTTTTCTTTCCTTTCCTTTTTTTTTTTTTTTTTTTTTTTAGAGACAGAGTCTCATTCTGTCACCCAAGCTGGAGTGCTGTGGTACCATCATAGCTCACTGCAGTCTTGAACTCCCCTGGGCTCAAGTGAATCTCCTGCCACAGCCTCCTGAGTAGGTGGGACTACAGGCATGCCACCACACCTGGCTAATTTTCTTAAATTTTCTTAGTTTTTGTAGAGACAGGGTCTTGCTGTGTTGCCCAGGCTGGTCTTGAGCTCCTAGCCTCAAGCAATTCTCCTGCCTCGGCCTCCCAAAATGCTGGGATTACAGGCGTGAGCCACTGTGCCCAGCTTATTTTGAACAATTATTAAAAATACAGAAAAGGATAAAAAAGAAAATTCAATCACCCGGAAACACACATGACAAAGATGACCACTGCTCACATAGTGTGTATTTCTCTGATGACATGTTACTTGGCTACTCTGGCCCTGAGTCTTCCTGGTCTATTCCACGTATATTATATATACAAGTGTATATTGTGTCAATTTAAAGTGAACATAACACAACAACTGAAGCATATTCCTATTTTCAATTAAAAGAATATTCTTAAAAACATTTTAAGCATGTTTTTGGTGAATGTAAAATACGTCACCACATGGGTGATGGCACCAAAGTCCTGTCTTTAAGAGTGGATGGGTCCTGCTCCCTGAGCCCACCTCCAGCCAGTGGGGCTGGCTTCTGGGTGGGACCATCAGCATCCTTAGCTGTCCTAACACCCTGTCAGCTTGGTCATGTGTGTGTCGTACTTAAAGCCAATGCTTAGAAGCTTTGTGTTCCAGGGCCTAGCTGGAGGGCACAGACTTGAGCTGACTGCCAGCTCCTCCCACTGCAAGCCCCGCAGCTGCCCCTGCTATCGAAGATGTTTTCTATGAGCTCTCTCCCTCTATCAGGTGAGAGCCCCAGGAAGCCACCTATGCCACATGCCAAGAAGGACTCACCATCTTCCTCCTAACCCGTCCCCCTCCTCTTTCCCAAGCTCAGTGGAAGTCATCAACTAACTGCCCAAATGCCAAATCAAGAAGGGGCCCCTGTTGGCATCTGATCATAGGTACACACGTATACACACGCTTACATATGTACATTTGTATGCAAATGTGATACCGCACATTGGAAACTACTCAGACCACCCGACTTCTTAGGGGCAGGCGACAGAACCATGGGGATGCAAGAGCCAGGAGAGAGCTGCGGAGCAAGAGCCAGCCAGGCTCATCCATTCACACCACCCTCATCGTATCATCTCCGTGTCCGGCTCCTGGCAGGCGCTTCTGGGATAGGCCTGGGAAGCATCCACATAAAAAGCTAAAGGCCCAGATAACAGGAAAAACAGACAATCATGGCAGCAATGCCACCCCTCTGTATTGACTAGTGTCTGCACATTATGAAGTGATTATATAGAGAAGATGTTGACTTGATGATGTGGTGAACAGAGAATCTCCAAACTGAAGTTAAGGGGAAAGTTAACCTGTTAAGAGACAGACTAGCCAGAAACAAAGCAGAAACCCCAGGACTCCGTTTTCACCTGCTCTTTCATTTGCACTCTGTGTTAACCTCAGGGCCCGGCGACGGAGTCCTCAGCTCCAAGACATTCTGAGGGGCCTCGGACACCCACATTCCCACTGGAACCGGAGGCCACAGGCTTTGCCCTAAGCTCTCCATCCTCTGCCTGAGGTTACTTCCAACTCTGGCAGCTTTCCCACTAATTTATAAGTCCTTCACTTCAAAGAAGGAAAACTATCTTCAGTTTTTAAATTTTTTGTGGAGACTGGGTCTCACCATGTTGCCCAGGTTGGTCTTGAACTCCTAGCCTTAAGTGATCCTCCCATCTCGGCTCCCAAAGTGGTGGGATTACTGGCATGAGTCACTGTGCCCAGACAGGGAAGGAAAGATAGCTTCAGCTTTGACTCTTCTCTCAGTGCCTAGCATAGCTTTGAATATCCTAAGGGCACAACCAATACCTGGGGGAAGTAGCCTAGTGCTGTGGGCTGTTAATAAGCTTTGGAGTCAGGTGCATCTGGGTTGGAGCCCAGTTCTGGGGTTATCAACCTATTGGGCGACAGAGTGTGACAATGCATGTCATGCACGAGGAACACTGGAGACCCTCATAAGTGCAGGCACCTCCCTTGATAAAGAAAGAAGTTTTTTTGCAAATATCATTGTCAATGCTCGCCAATGGATGCAAAAGCAATTGGACATGTACTATTTCCTTGGTAAAAACACAGGGAAATCTTTGAGAAGAAGAGTCCAGTCACATTGGAAGCAAATGAGAAGGAAAGAATGGTGCTCTCTTTTTTTAATTGGCTGGCCATTACATCTTTGCTTTCACTTTGAGTGTCTCCAATGCAAGTTTTCCTTTCTTGGAGAATGTGCTGTGCTTTGTGCACCCAAGATCCAGAGAGTCTCCGCCAGAGGAATCCGGTCTCCCCACAACACCACACATTCCATTATCTGTGACAGTTCACACCCAGATTTACTACCTGTGGATCTAACAGCCATAGGAGTCTCAGCAAAGTTAGGAAGCCCTTTTATGTTCCCCTCTGATATACAGCACTGGTGCCACACAAGACTTCAATAAAGCTTGCAAGTATCTAAGCCCACCTGGAAGTTATTGACGAACCCATGCAGATTACTGCGCAGGTCTGCAATAAAAATCCTGTCCAAATAGAAAATTCATTTTTTTTCCTGAAAATGAAATGAAGATATGATTTAAAGTATCCTTTTCTCATTTCCCAGTACTGAAAGAATAACAAGCTGGCCTTCCCCGGCAAACCTCAAGACTTCACAATACCATTGGAAGGCCAGGAATGAACTTTGGTAAAGGATTTATTAGAAAGAATAACTTTATGAACAATCATTATTTTATTAGCTATACTCCATTAAATATATGGGAGTTTTAAAATTTACAAAGCACATTCTCATTTATTATCTCATTTGATCTTCATCCCTATTTTACAGATGAGAAAACTGAGGCTGGAGGAAATTCAGAGGCTTGTTCATGCACACGTAGCTGATACATGCAAGAGCTCAAACTGGAACCTGGGCAGCCGACTCCATGCCAGTGTTCTGTAGGAGGTGGAGTTTTGAGCTTCTCAAGAACCAGAAATGGAGATAGAGAGCCAGGCAAAGTTGATCTGCCTTTCTCAAAAAAACAAACACTGGCTGGGTGGGGGCACAATGGCTCAAGCCTGTAATCCCAGCACTTTGGGAGGCCGAGGCAGGCGGATCACTTGAGGTCAGGAGTTCGAGACCAGCCTGGCCAACATGGTGAAATGCCGTCTCTACTAAAAACACAAAAATTAGCCAGGCATGGTGACACGCGCCTGTAGTCCCAGCTACTCTGGAGGCTGAGGCAGGAGAATCACCTGAACCCAGGAGGCGGAGGTTGCAGTGAGCTGAGGTTGTAGCACTATACTCCAGCCTGGGTGACAGAGCGAGACTCCGTCTCAAAAAAAAAAAAAAAAAGAAAAAAGAAAAAAAGAAAAGAAGAAAAAAACAGTGACAATAGATTTTATTTCAGTCAGAAGAATTCAAGGTGGGGGAAACAATAGATTTACTTGGTACCAATTCTTTAGGGCCAACTCTCTCAAAATCAAAAAGAACAACTAAGAAAAAAAACCTGTACTAGTTAAATGTAGCTTTTCAACCAATTCAAGCCATAGATATCTAGTGAATGGTTATGTACAAAGGCTCAAGTGTTGGCTTCAAAGTGCTTACAATTTAGTAGAAGAGATAAAACAAGAACTTCTGCATGTGCATGTGTGTATGCGTGGAAGGTGCAGAGAGAGCAATGGGGTGGGGGTAAGGAGGGGACAGATATGAAAGGTTTCTTGCAGGCGACAGTGTTGGGCTTTGACATTGAAGGAGGAAGGAATCAATAACAGGATCACCTATTCAAAGGTGTTGCCAAAGCAGACACAGGGGCAAGCTAACACCGATGAAGAGCGCCTGTACATAGGACACACTCGCCACTACGTGCTCATTTTTATTGTGAAAATAGGGAAGAAACCTCAGATGAGTTTGTTTTTTTTTTTTAAGTGTTGCCACATTGAGAGGAGAGGAGCAGAACTGGTGAGCCAGCAGCCTTTGCTGGGGTGAGCAAAAGAAACGGGGAGACACTGGAGGCCAGCTCGTGTCCCCTGCCCAGGGAGGTGACTTGCTCCAGGCTCTGAATTTCAGCTGCTGCTGCACCTGCTCTGAGACAGTCCAGCACTAGATGGTTTGCACATCACTTGCTCCTCACAGTCACCCTTCACAGAGGTGGAGCAGCAGCCAAAATTCAGAGTGTAACATCTTCTCAGCCCTCAAGACCCTGCTCTCCTGGTCTAGCCTATGGCTGGGAAGTGAGGAGAGATCCTGGGAACAGCCCCCACCACTGCTACCTCTGCAGCAGGGAGGGAGGAGCTGAACTGAAAAAATGGACAGGAGGCAGGCTGGGAAAATTCCCACATCTTCAGCCCCTGCCGGCGCCTCCCAGAGCTCCAGAGAGGCAGGCCCACCTTCATTTATGGAGGCTCCCGAGGTACTACAATAAGAAGAAATGCCAAAGCAGGGATACCAAAGTTGTGATATGTTTTAAAGTCTTGCAACAAAGAAACAAATGCTCTAATAATTCACATGCAATACAACATAAGTATGCTAATCAAAAGCCAAATTGAGGCTTTACATATAAATATCCATTAATGCCACAACATACATTAGTGAAATGGTTTAGCAACAGGACCCAGATTAAAGATGTGTGATGAGCACTGTTCTCTTTCAATTTTGTCGGCAATCTCTTGGATTGAATTTACAAAACCTTTTGGAGATAACAGCAGAAGTTGAAATTTGAGGCCCTTTGCAAATGAAAGTCATGGGCCAACATGATTCTAATGCTTAACTTTCCTCCCTCCATCCCACTTTCCCCCCTCCATCCCACTTTCCCCACCTCCAGACCCACCAAGCCTCCTTGTCAACCCTCCAGTCTCACGCAGGTGCCCCCCCACCCCAAATCTCCCCTGTGATTCCAATCACTGGATCAACAAAAAACCCCTCTCCTGTCCAGGAGCAGGGCCTCCTCCTGCTGAGAGAGGAAGGCTGCAGGCTCTTCGGTTACTGCTGCATAGACTGGAAAGACTGACGGAGCTGCCTGCACAGCTAAGTGGCAGAGGCCACTCTCCAGGCCTGGGCTTTCTTTTCTTTCTTCCTGCACTCTTCCTCCATCCCTCCTTGTGAGTGCCTGGCTCCTTGGGACCCTGTGCAAACACTGTTGTTGTTACAAATGTCTAAAATCACTTGACATTTAGTGTAGCAGAGACCCTGCAAGGAACTAACTACATGCTCAGTGGTGGAATCCACTGCACCAAAAGATTAGATGGTTCCACTGCCTCCCTACAAATCTCTATTGCTTTGCAAATGATTAGAAGAGAAAACAAATCAGGCTTTTTCCAGATGCCCCCAAAAGACAGTCAGTCAAAGGGTGTATCATTCACCGGAACACATGCCTGCAACCAAGACAACATCTGGGCAAGCAGAGATTAATATTATATTAATTCACTCATTCAACCATTCACTCCACAAACATCCACTGCCTGCCGCTTGAGTCAGGTACTGAGCTAGGTGTCAGGTACACAGCTATGAATAGGACATGGTCTTTTCTTTCACCATCAGACGATGAAGTAGGTGAACATAACTAGGGACAAGGAGAGAGCTGAGTAAACACTACCCTGGGGTCTCACCGTGTTGCAGGTATCCGGCTTAGTGTGAACCTGTCACTCAGGGCCAAGGCGTCAGCGCTCCTCTCCCTATCCACTCTTCCTTCCTTGAATTCTGCCCTCTTCTATCCTCTGCTTCACTTTTCCTCCCATCTTCCTGTCCTCTTCTCCTCCTACCCTCAAGCTCTGGGTAAACATAAAAAGCACACACATTCTTATGCCTCAGGCTCCCCCAGCCCTCAAAAGCTGTCATCCTTCATGCAAATGCCTGCTTTACACATGCTTTGCAATGTATTTCCATTCCAACCTTCAAAAGCAGGGGGACTTATCAGTAAATATCATAAACGCTGGATTTTTTTAAGCTGCAGCTACAACAGCAAGTGGCTGACAAGGTTGGCTCTGCACATGCACAGCACTGAATGAAGCCCCATGAGAAGCAGGCATTGTTAGAGCTCCAGAGTGTAGCTCAGTTCCCTGCGTCGAGGTGGCTTCTATCTGTGTCAGTCAGTGCGTCACAACACCAGCCTCCTCCACCCCCCGCACACAGCACCCCTTAGCAAGCACCTTCCCACACAATATCATCAACTGTAAAAACTGCAACCATCGCCAAAGTTACAACCATGGTTATTTCTACAAACGGGAGGGATGCGGTTCTGCTCAGTCAGTCCCTGGTAAGTAGGTTACCCGCGGGACAAACACCTTTCCTTTGAGTTAATTCAGAATGCCCTTGGCTCAGCTATCCATCCACACAAGAGGCCAATGTCCTGGAGTAACATGTTTGTCTGCATGTATGGAATTCCTTCTGCATGCTGGTATAAGAAACGGAAACTGGGTCCACACACTCTGTAGTCTGTGTGAGCAGCTGTAAAGTCCTCAGCTGCCTGATTTTAATACATTTCACCTTGAAAAATTATCTCCTTCATGAAAAATGGCTTAGTTAGACTTCACCTTATATGAACCTTTGAGTTAGCCCTAGGCCCTCTGCCTCACCAGGCCCCTTGTAAGCTTTCTTCAAATGCTCCTTTCTGCACTGCCTCCCTCACCTTTCCCTCTAGAGCTTTCCACCTGCTTGTGATTTTCAATTTTGCTATAAATTTTAACTCTATTCTCTGAGATGACCCTCAAGACCATCCCAATGGCTGAGAAAACTCACAGCCCTTACAAAATACGAACAAAGCATCCCTACATCCCACCCCATACCATCTCCCCTGCACCCAAAGAATCAGTCCTAAGAGTATGCGTCACTGCTATCACTTTAAATGAAAATTTTCTTATCATTATATTAATCATAGCACCCAGGATACTGCATAAAATAATGAAAATCTGAATGGAAGATTTTTGAATGCTACTGACGCAGTATGCTGCGACCGGCTAGTAAAACAAGATAACACCATTTGGGGGGAGGAATATATTAAATATTATCATCTACCACCAAAAGAAAAAAAAAGAAATGAGGTTTACTACAAATGTAAAGATTAAGAGCAAAGAAGCAAAAAGAATATTGAAATCACCGCTTTCACATGTGTGTATTATACATATTTGGAATTCAGAGTTATATTAAAGGGAATTTTCACAGAATGGAAAAGAATCACAGGAGAGGGGGTGGGAGAGGGTTTTTTGACTATTTTCAAAAAATGATATATGGTGTCGGGAGTGTCAAGGAGGAAGGCTGCGAGAGAGAGGTGGATGAGAACACTGAGTGAGCAGCTCGGAGAGGAGCGCCTTGGCTTCCAAAGCAGGAGGCAGGAATGGAAACACAGAGCACTCCTTCCCGAGAAGAAGTTCACATTCACGCCAAGAAAGTGGGTGAGCATCGCAGCGTAGAGCCAGACTTCCCCTGCCTGACTCACAAGACGGGCTCTGGTATTTTAGACCCCAGCAGAGGGACCTGCGGAGATTCTCTCTCGGTGGCACCAACCCAAACTCTGATTCATCATCGGTTTGAAAAAGGCCCCTTTTCGGTCCTCTAAAGGGGTGGTGCCTTTGTGAAACTACTATTTACACACAAGATGGCAATCCCTCAAGGGAGGTGGGGACGTCAGTTTCTGAAGGGTACAGGAAAGCCTAGAGAGTGTTGGTTACTTCCTTTGAAATCAGAGAGCATCTCTAGGAAGAGGATGGATGTTGGTCTGCTGACCAACTGTCAAGGGGTGTGTGACCCACAGACAGCCTGCTCCCCAACACTCTGCTGTCAGCTGCAGGCTCCAAACTTCTTTCTCGGAATGAGACAGTTTCAGGGAAAGAAAACGTGTTTCCTTCTCAACCAAGGCCAGAGCCTCTCCCTGGAAGCCTGAGGGGCCCCACTCCTTGCTGGGGAGCCGTGCAGGCTGGGCCCCACATCGACTTCTTCGGGTGAAAATAGCTCTCCTGAATCCAGAGTTCAGCATCTCCGATTCCCAGAATTACACCCACGTACTCTTGGCCTCCTCCGTGGCTCTAAGGTGCCCTGACTTCTGTCACCGTCCTTTCACCATCAAAGGTGTTTCTGACCTAAGGTGCTTCTCAAGGTGCTTTGATCAGGGGTAAGAGGACCCCAGACCCCAAAAGGGCTAAAAACAGCAACAGTTGCCCCTGGAGGTCTGGGTCTTTGCGGGCCTATTTTGTCTCGGCACCCCGACACAGAAATACCCGGGATGTCTGCCCATGGGCAGAGCTGGTCTCTGACCAGGCCTTTGGGCCAGGCTGGAGCACCCGTGCCTGGCTTCCAAAGGAACTTCCCCTCCCTGGCATGGATGGCTCATCTTGAGTGACCTGAGCATAAGATGTTGCAAATACCCCGGGTAGAGGAGAAGGCGCCTTCTTTTCTGCTACCAGATCCGGAGGGTCAGGAAAGGTGCTCCCTGAGAAGGGTCAAGGAAGGGCAGGAGCCCGACTCTCGTTCAGAGACACCTGGGAAAGACGCTCTCTTCGTCAGAGTGGGTCACCTAGGGAGAAGCCGGGCAGAGCTGCCCCCCCCCGGCCCGCTCCCCGGAGCCTGCAGCCGCGTTTACCCAAACCAGCTCTCCTGGAAAGCCAGCGGGTGCGGCGCGCCCGAGCAGGGCAGCCCACCACCCGCAGCCGGCAGCCAAGGCCGGGAAAGTTGGTCCTAGAGCAGCGCGGGCCTGCCGGGTGCTGTCCAAGGTGCTGAAAGGTCTCTGCGGGCAGCTGGCGGGAGGATTCTGCGCGCCCTCAGCCTCCCGGCCACCCGCTCTGCCCTTCCAGCCTGCCGCCCTGTCCCCTTCCCGGCCGCGCAGAAGCCTCCGTCCCTCCTCTACGCCCACCGAGCCTTCCCCGCTCGGGTGCCGCCAACTCCGCCGCACCGGGCGCCGCGCCCCACCGCGTCCCGGGCCGCCCGACCCCTGCCCCCAGCAGCCACTTGCAGGTGCCGCGGTCGCTGGGCTTTCACCGCCGCCCCCTCCTACCTTCTTCTTTCGGTCACGGGAGCGGTTTCTCCGCTTCCTGTTGGATTCCTCCTTCTCCTTCTGCTCCTGGAGGGCCTGCGCCTCGATGTCTTTGATTTTCTTCAGCTGTTTGGCCGCTTGAGCCATGGCGGGTCACGGCGCTCCCGTCCCCGCCTCCTGGACCCCTAGCGCTCAGCGATCCCCGAGGCGACACCCCCTAAGAAGGGGAAGGGGGTCTCTGCTCCACAGAGGGGACAGCGTTCGTGGCGCCCCGAGGGCCGGCTGCTGCGGGGTCGCGGGAAGGCGAAGGCAGTTCCGGACGCGGAGGGCGAGGGGCGGCTGCCCGCGGCCCGGGATGGCGCTGCCGCCGCGGCCGGAGCTCGCTTGCCGGCGCCCGGGACGGGCTCTGGGCAGGGCCCGCCGCCTCCCTCCCTCCGCCTCCCTCCCTCTCCTGCGGCGGCGGCGGCGGCGAAGCGGGGGGGCGGGGGCGGGGAGGCGGCTCGTACTGCGGCGGCGGCGGGCGGTGAGCGGCCGCGGAAGGGGCGGATTCGGGCGCTCAGCGCGGGAAGGCCCGGGGGCCCGGCCGGCGCGGCGAGGCTGGGCGCACTGGGCGTCCGCACGGGGTCATGGCGAGCGCCGAGCTTCCGCCTTTGCAGAGCCCCGCGCCGTCGGGCGGCGGGAACAAAGCGGCCGCTCTACCCCGGACCCCGCTGCGGGCCGCAGGGCCAAGCCGGGGGAAGAGGGGAGGCTGCGGCGGGCGGCGCGCCCCGCGCCCGGGCGACCCGGCGGACCAGCGCGCCTGGCGGCGGCGAGCGCGGCGACATCGCGGGAGCGGAGGCTCGGCCTAGAGGGCGGGCGGCAGAGGGCAAGGACCGGGCTTGGGGAGCCCCCGGGCGGTGGCCGCTGAGGGCCCGGACGCGCTACTCCCGAGCCCGGGGTGCGGTTCCTCCCCGGGCGCCCTCGGCGTGGGGCGCGCGCCTCCGGGGCTCCCTGGGGAAGAGCCGGTTCCCCGCGCCGCACGCTGGGAGCTTGATTTGCCCCTTTCAGACCATGTGGGCCTTTCATTTGCATATTTCCGAATTATAGATGAAAACGTATCCAGGATCAAGTGAATTGTTTTCCTTTGAGTCCTCTTGGGACAGAAAAGGAAGTAGGTCCCCGCTCCAGCCCCGCCCGTCCCCCATCCCCGGCGCTCCCGCGCACGCCTCCCTGGGGACGCCGCCTGCGCCCGTGCCCCGCGGGGAAGAGCTGCACTTGGGTCCGCAGCGCCAGCCCAGCCTGCGGCAGGCGGAGGGGGCCTAGGGCTCAGCCAACCACCCCGTCACGCCGCACAGGAGCCAGCCGGGGTCCCCGGCTCGGGAGCTGCCGCCCACCCACTCCCTCTCCATCCCGTGGGACGAGCACTTCTTCCACAAACGGCTAAGGAGGGAGTTGTGAAAAACAATATTTGAGACTTGGAGAAGAGTTATTATGAAATAGTCTGCCTCCTTCTGCCTCCCCTAAGCTGAGGGCTTGCTGTAGACATTTACCCAGCCAGGCTAGAGCCGAGAAAGGAGGCGTCTACCAAGCTGCAGAGAACGACGTCCTGGGCCTGCGAGCTGGGCCCCACGCAGTGCAAACTTGGGAGCAACTGGGCCTTGCCTCTAACCCCCTGCAGCCTGCAAGCGCTGCCTCACAGGACCTCCCCCCGCCGCCCCCCCCAACCCTGTCTTTGCCCTTCCATCCCCCTCTCCACCTGCACTCCTCTGGCAAAAGCCTTGTTTTGAAGACGATTTCCCAGGGCTGGGTCCTTGACTGAGGTCTCACTCTAGACGCAGTGCGAGCCACAAATTCCAATTCCATATGGAATTTAAATTTGCAAGTAGCCATATCTTTAGAAAAAAAAACTGGTAAAATTAATTTTAATAATATATTTTAATTCAATATATTCAAAATATTTCAACATGCAATGGATTTATTATGAATAGGACATTTTACATTCTTTTACTAAGTTCAACATTCAGTGTGTATTTCACACTTACATCACATCTAAATTCAGACCCTGCACATTTTAATTGCTTAATAGTTACATTTGACTAGTGGTAACTCTATTACACAGCACAGCTCTAGACTGTCTCCCTAGGCCAACTCACCCCCTGGCCGGGGCTGTAATCAACCTACCGACAACACACATAATTAATCTCCAGCACAGCACTATTCCTTGAGCACAGGCCCCAGGGCCACTGTTCCCCTGGGCCTCCTCACAGTCATGCCTCCATTCCCTCTGGCCATCCGCCTGTCCACCCTCCACTGCAGGATGGACTGCACATCACAGATGTGGCTATTGTCACTTCTCCACTTAGCATCCTTCCTTTTTGCTCCTGAAGATCAGAATCTGTTACACCGCCTATGAGGACCTGAATGATCAGGCCCTTCCTACCCACTGACTCATCTCACTCAGGTCTGTGCTGGTCCCTGTGCTCCAGCCTCAGCAGGCTTTGAGCAGGTCCATGTTGTCCCTCTACCAGGCTGCTGTGTCCTTGATGGCCCCTGCACAGACTGCCCTGTGTCCACTCCACCCCCATCCCCAGTCTAGCTAACTCCAACTCACTTATCAGATTTCACTGCGGTCTTCACTTCCCCCGGGGCCCCAGACTGGCTCTGTCCTCTTGCAGTAACATCATATGTGCCTCCTTCGTGACACATGTAATTTTACATTAGTGTGATTGATTGGATTCATGCATAGCTCTCCCACTAGACTTGAAGCTCCGTAAGGGAAGGGGTAGTGTCTGGTTTTGCTCACTATTGTATCTGCAGCACTTGCATAGTGCCTGACAGATAGTAGGGGCTCGATAAACATGTGTTGAGGAAATCCACAGGTCTACTGTGTCCTGGTTTAAGGAATAATCATAAAAAATAGCAGCATTTCCATTGCACCAAGCATTATCACCATTTTACAGATAGGAAAGATGAGGCACAGAAAGGCTGAGTAACTTATTCAAGGTCACACAGCTAGTAAATAGTGGAGCTGCCTGTAATCCCAGTGCTTTGGGAGGCTGAGGCTGGAGGATCACTTGAGCCCAGGAGTTCAAGACCAGCTTAGGCAACAAAGTGAGACCCTATCTCTACAAAAAATAAAATTAAAACAATTAGCCAGGGATGGTGGCTTATGAGTATTGTCCCAGCTACTCAGGAAGCTGAGGTGGGAGGATCACTTAAGCCCAGGAGTTTGAGGCTGCAGTGAGCTATGTTTGCACCACTGCACTCCATCCTGGGTGACAGAGCGAGACCCTGTCTCTAAAAATAAAATAAAATAAAATAAAATAAAATAAAATAAAATAAAATAAAATAAAATAAAATAAAAAATAGCAGAACCAGAACTTGAATCCTGAGGGGCTAGCTGTGGAGTCTTAACCATTGCACCATACTAAATCACTCTATTTCCTTATCTATAAACAAGAATCTGATATTACCTCCTTCGAAGGATTGTCAGGAGGACCAGGAGAGAAAGAACGTGAAATGTTTCAGGAAAACATCAAGTGCTGTACAGAGTGTCAGTTTCTTCATGGACTAGTTGGTGTCTAAGTCCTCTTCAGCCCCAGGACCCTGATTCCTCCTGTAGATCTAAATCTTTATAGAAGCCTTTTGAAGGTTAGAAAAAAAAATTATCTCTCTGACTCAAAGGGAATATATTATCCTTAAGGAACAGCAGACAGCACTTGGTAGATAGGAAAGTCCTGCCTGAGTCCCCCTCAAATCAACACTTAGGGTGGTGGCTGTGGCCCTGAATATTCAACAATCTCAGTTAGGGTACAATGAGAGTCCTGTTCATGTCCCTGGTCTACTTGTGAGGTAGCTCCCCTGTTATCCTATTATATATTAGGAAGATTTCAGGCTGAGAAAGAGAAAGTGGGAATGTAGTGTTGAAGCTGTGGTCTGAAGCCTTTAACAGGCTGATCTGGACACCGTGAGAGTGATAAGGAAATGGTGGGTGCTCTAGCTGAGTTCCTACTGAAATGAGGGACCAGGGAACACTAGCATCTCAGCAGCCAGAGGAGCTTCCTCACTCCTGTTCAGAGGAAAGATGATGCAACCCTTCTCCACACTCCCCATTGCAACAGACCATCATCATTATCATCACTAGCATCATCGCCATCATCATCATCCTCATCATCATCATCATCCTCATCATCATCACCATCACCAGCATCATCACCATCATCATCATCATTCCCATCATCATCATCATCACCATCACCAGCATCACCATCACCAGCATCACCATCATCACCATCATCACCATCACTAGCATCATCATCATCCCCATCATCATCATCCCCATCATCATCACCAGCATCACCATCACCAGCATCATTATCATCATCATCATCACCATCAGCAGCAGCAGCATCACAATCACCACTCACTGACCAGATTCTTTGCTGTGCTCCAAGCACTGCTGATCATATAACCAAACATTGATTTCTCATAACAAAAGCATTGATGGCCCTGTTTTCCATATGAGGAAGCCAAGGCTGTGCTATAGTTTGGATGTTTGTCTTCTCCGAACCTCTGTTGAAATTTGATCCCCAAAGCTGGAAGTGAGGCCTAATGAGAGGTCTTTGGGCCGCGGAGGTGGCTCCCTTATGAAGGGACAATTAATGCCCTCCCTTGCGGGTGAGTGAGTTTTCACTCCTAGTTCCCACTAGAAATGGTTGTTAGGAAGAGCCAGGCCCCTCCCCTCTCTCTTGCTTCCTCTCTCGCTGTATGATCTCTTCACACGCCAGCTCTTCTTCCCCTCCCACCATGACTGGAAGCAGCCTGAGGCCTTCCCCAGATGCAGATGTTGGCATCACACTTTCTGTAGAACTGTGAGCCAAATAAACATTTTTTCTTTATAAATGACCCAGCCTCAGGTATTCCTTTATAGCAACATGAACAGACCAAGACAGGCCGTCTGTGTTTAAGTGACTTCCCCCAGGTCACATTCTGATGGAGCGGAGTCAGAATTCAGGCCCAAGCTGCCTAATGCAAGGCCTGACCTAAAAGGAACCATCAGGTGACCGATTTTGACAGTGACTCAGCCAGTTCTCCTGAGTGTAGAAGTATTAGTAACCTGAGTTAGACACATAAAATAATATCCCCAGGCAGGCAACCAAAGGGCCAACCTATTCCTCCAAAGTGATAGAAACAGAACCCACAGTGACCCACACACAGCATCAAGAGACAAGACAAAAGACTGCCCCACTGTGGTCCCCAGAGAGCCACCTCCTCTACTGCAGCCACACCCCTCACTGAGGTGTCCCTGCTGGGTTCCCACCATTCATTCTCAGGCTCTTCTCGTCATTTCTTGGGAGCCACATAATCCGGCACACACCCACAAAGGGGGTCACTACCCCATGGGTGAGGACAGTTGGTCACTCAGCATGCAGGGAAGTGGTGTGGGGAGTGAGTCCGAACTCTAGCACAGGAGACAGCCCCAGTTCTTCATTTTTTTATATAGGGATGCTTATTACTCAAGGAAATTCTGTATTTCAGTGGGGCCTTTTTATTTAGCTGCTAAGTGAAGGGGAATGGAGTCCATTTTTATATCTTTGCTGCTTTCTTCCCTAAGATTTCCATCTGGTTCCCAGTCCCATCCTGAGTGTATGCATTTATGCAACTAGACCAACTTGTGTTTTTAAAAGAAACATTATTAATAATTAATAAAGCTTCCCAAGATAAAAGCTGCCTCTTGAACTAAATAATATAAATAGCTAAAACATAATGAGAGCACTGGGCATTCTTCTAAGCGTATTTAACCCTAAGAACAACTCCATGAGGCAGATGCCATTGTCATCACCATTTTACAGTTAAGAAACTGAGGCACAGAGAGAATGAATAACTTGATCAAGATCAATGGCTACTAAGCCATGGACCTCAGATTTGAAACAA
This sequence comes from Homo sapiens, assembly GCF_000001405.40. Classification (NCBI taxonomy): domain Eukaryota; kingdom Metazoa; phylum Chordata; class Mammalia; order Primates; family Hominidae; genus Homo; species Homo sapiens. The sequence continues at coordinate 41,902,247 of NC_000008.11, forward strand.
AACAGTCAATCTTTAGAGACTGTACTTTTACTGCTACTTAGGACAAACATCCTAAATTGAGCGTGGGCCTGGAAGGTTCTGTCCATGTACCATTAATCCCTTTTAGGAAAGAAGGAGCCAACCAGTGTCTACCAGTCCTGACTCCTCTGAGGGCAGATGGCTGTGGGGTCTCAGCCATCCAGTCCAGTGCCATACCCTATAGGTGTTCAGGTCAAGTTTGATTCAGAAGAGGTTATCCAGGAGCCACGAATATAGAGGATAAAACAGAAAGACAAATGGAAAATTAGAATTGCAGAGTGAGAAGGAACTGCCTGGCATTTCCCAACCAATGGGAGGCTTCTTCTGCTCACTCTCACATTCCCAGACCAGATCACTCCGCAGGAGAGCTGCTGTCCGTTTCCCACTGGGTTCAAGCCGTCTCCCCGGGTGTGTGCACACCAGCCCTGCTCTGCCATCCAGCGCTACTACACTGAAATTATTCAAGCCCTGCTTCTGTGTGATAGCCCTTCAAATATTTGAGGAGAGCTTTCACTCCTCCCTATGCTTGACCAAGATAATGTCAGGAGTTCATAGTAAAGGTGAATATTGAGCTCACAGATTCCTAATTTCCTGTCCAAGGTTTACCGATGACAGCAATCTGTCCTTTTCATAATTGCATTTTCCAGGGTGGAATTTGAAGAGATAAAAGAGCCTATAAGTCAAGGTGTTCAGAGAAAACAGCAAAGCAGGAAGAGGATTTACATCCAGATTCGTAGAAAATGCTGGAGTAAGGCTGGGCGTGGTGGCTCCTGCCTCTAATCCCAGCATTTTGAGAGGCCGAGGCGGGTGGATCACCTAAGGTCAGGAGTTTGAGACCAGCCTGACTAACATCGTGAAACCCCATCTCTACTAAAAAAATACAAAAATTAGCTGGGTGTGATGGTGCATGCCTGTAATCCCAGCTACTTGGGAGGCTGAGGCAGGAGAATCGCTTGAACCCAGGAGGCAGAGGTTGCGATGATCCAAGATGGTACCACTGCGCTCCAGCCTGGGTGACAGACAGAGACTCTGTCTCAAAAAAAAAAAAAAAAAGAATGAGAGAGAAGGAAGGGAGAGGAGGGGAGGGGAGGGGAGAGGAGGGGAGGGGAGAGGAGGGGAGAGGAGGGGAGAGGAGGGGAGGGGAGGGGAGGGGAAGGGAGGGGAGGGGAGGGGAGGGGACGCTGACTTGAAAGTTCAGCGTTGGCTGGCTGGGTCCTCAGGCCTGCGTGTGGGTGAGGCCCCTACTGCTCCCTCCTCTGCACTCTCCCACCCAAGGTGGCCACCACCTCACTCCTCCGTGGTGACAGTGCCTTCCACTCCGGAGGGGAAATGGAAACCCTGGGCTGCATGTGCTCAGTGCCCTCCCTTCTGCACCATTGAAATGTGTCTGCATCCACCCCTTGTTGACGTCTTTGGACCCCACTCCTTCTCACCTCCTCAGAAAAACCGGGCTGCCAGAGAGCTCTGCTCTCACTGCGTCCCCATGGTGTGCCTGTCACCAGCTCCTCCAGCCTGTTACTTCCGGGTGCAGCCCTACTGCACTCCAAATTCTCTTGCCACCACGGAACCTACGGACGCACTTGGATCTGACTCCCTGGACCTTTTGACCTGGTGGTGTATCTCCCCGGTTCCTGAGACCCCACTCTCCCTGCTCTCCTCCCAGCTCCTGAATGCTTTCTACAGGACTCACTAATAAAAACTTCTGCCTGGGCTCTTTTTCAGTTTATACCTTCTTCCTCTATGATCTTAGCCTTGGCTTCCACTACCACCCACATGCCTGGATCTATAACTCCAGCTTTGACCTCTCTCAGAAGACTGAGGCAAGAAGTCTGCCCAGTGTACCATCAGAAGTCACCTCCTGGCTCCTCAATCCCCAGTTAACCCAGGCAGAAACCTGGGCTTCCCAGAGAGCCCCCCTTCCTCTCCTTTACAGCCCCCAGTCTTCTTACTCACTAGATTTCAGAGGCTTTCTTCAAAACCAGTTCTCAAATTTGCACATGCACTCACATCACCTAAGGATCTTATGAAAATTCGGACTCTGATTCAACTGCTATGGATAGATTGCAGCCACGGCTCATGGTCCTCTCCCCTGCGTGTATACTATTTATTTATTTTAATTTAATTTAATTAATTTCTTTTTTAGATGGAGTCTTGCTCTGTTGCCCAGGCTGGAGTGCAGTGGCTCAATCTTTGCTCACTGCAACCTCTGCCTTCTGGGTTCAAGCGATTCTTCTGCCTCAGCCTCCCCAGTAGCTGGGATTACAGGTACCCACCATCACACTGGACTAATTTTTGTATTTTTAGTAGAGATGGAGTTTCACCATGTTGGCCAGGTTGGTCTTGAGCTCCTGACCTCAGGTGATCTGCCTGCCTCAGCTCCCAAAGTGCTGGGATTACATGCGTGAGCCACCATACCCAGCCCATGTATACAATTTACACACGTGCCTCTGTGAGCACCCCCAGCCCAAGCCCACATTTCCAGCTCCCCATGTGCTCTCTCTTACCTCCCCTGTCAGTGCCCCTCCAAAAAAGGCAACCTTTTTTGGTTTTGACCTTTAGCACACTGGCAACCAGCCCATCCTGATGCCATCCAGAGCCCACCAAGAGTCACCTCATTAGAACAAAAGATGCTCCGATCACCTAGGAACTCCCAAGGGATTAGGAGCTCTGTGTCAGGAACCAGGGTCAAAGGGCAAATATTAGAACAAAAGATTCTTCCAGCACCCCTTTCTACAGCAGTATTAGGAGCTGTATGTCAGAAACCAGAGCCAGATAACAATGTACATATTTCTTATTATTTCGCAGTGGTATTTTCCTAATCCCACTCCACCCATGAGCTCCTCCACATTCCCTTTCCATGCCAGTTTCCTTCCAGTCGCTTCTGAGGGACGTCCCTCCCCACCAGGGTGAGTCTGCAGGCCCGGCCTTACATAGAGCCATCATTGGTGCCTAAGTCCCATCTTCCAAGCCACGTGTCTGTGCTGCACATGGACACTGGCGTCCACCGGCTCACCTCAGACATCACTCCCCTCTCGCTCCACGGCCACTGCCCCTCCCCCGGGCCCTCCACTGTTGTCCCCTGGGCTTTGGCTGTCACCCACTGAAACCGTGCCCCAGAGCTTAGAAAAAAAAACCTAATGACTAATAGAAATGCTTGAGTTTTCAGGATAGCAGATAAGAAAAGACAACTTCCGGAAACACTGAAACTCCCTCTGCTTATGAGATTTTAAAACCGGCTGCAATTGGTTGGAACCAATATGGCCAACTAAGTCTGCACAGAGCCCGCCTGCTAATTGTCATAGCCTGAATTTCTACTGCATATGTCACACTAACTTCCCCAGAATTTGCACATGGGACCCATGAGGAGGCATGAAGAGACAACTGCACGGGTGCAAGAACTTTCCAGACCTCCTTTTTCAAAACTCCACCAATCACCTACTAATCCCAGAATCCACTCCTAAACCTTTTCTAATAAAATTCCTGCCTTAAAGCCAGCACAGGGAGACAGATGTGAGCTGGACTCCTGTCTCCTTGTTAGCCCACCAGCAATCAAAACTTTCTTTTCTCAAAAGCCCAGTGTCAGAGCACTGGCTTCTTGCACGTTGGGCTGAGAGTCTCCTTTGTTTGGTAACCCCATCAGCCAAACCCCCTGTCTCTGTGTGTCACTGTAGGGCGGCCGCCTCACCTCCTAAACCTCCCCACACACCTCACCCCTTGCTGTGGCAGCCTGTCAGGGAGTCGGGGGGAGGACAACGGAGATGTCTCCCAGGCGTGGAGGCTGGAAGTCAAGGTCAAGGTCACTCCTCACCACTGCAAGGGAGCATCTGTCCCAGGCCTCCCTGCTTGCTCCTCATGGCTCAGGTGCTCCTTGGCTTGGAGATGGAAGCCTGTGTCTTCTCCCTGCATCTCCCCATCAGATTCCCTTGATGCGTCTGTCCCTGTGTCCAAATGTCCCCTTAAAAGGACACCAGTCACATTGGATGAAGGCCCACATTAATGACATCTCAATTTGATCAACAAAGACACTTTTTCCAAATTATATGTTACACACCGAGTTAAGTGACTGGTTCCAAGGTGATGGTCTCAGGTTCTGGGAGTTGGGACTGTAGCATTTTTGGGAGGGCCACAATTCAACCCCTCACGCTCTCTTCTCCCCTGAATTAAGCCTTCAGCAACAAGCTTCCTCTCCCCGCCAATAGAGTAAAGAGTCCCTGGGGTGGGTGTCGAGGCTCCTGGCTCAGCCCCTCCCTGGCTTCTAGTCTCATCCCCCGATGCCCTCATGCCAGCCGGGGAAGAGGCCTTGCTGACCCCAACCCAGCCATGTATGAAGCTCCACATGCATCAACTCAGACCCCCTCCCTCCCCTGCAGGTCTCCCTGTCCTCCAAGGGTCATGGGCTGCAGAGCCATCCCCAAATGGCCCTGCTGGAACCCAGAACCCATCGGGCAGATGCCCCCTTCTGTGAGGACACCCATCGCAAGTCAGTCTTGTGCCTGCCCCCCTCCCTCGGTGCCCTTCAGTCTTGCCTGTCATTCACCAATCACTCCTGGAGCCCCTGCCAGGTGCCAGGCACCAACTGGGCTCTGAGTTTGTTGTCCCACTCAACCGCCACAGCCAGCGGGTCTCAGGAGGCACGCTGCAGAGCACAGTTGAGCGGCCAGCCCTGATGTCGCCTGAGCACTCTCCTTGGGACTTGGCCCTGCTGGACTGTCTGTGCACAGGATGGACAGGAGTCACAGAACCCCCATCCCAGCCCAGGGCCCAGTGGGGACTACAGCAGCTCAGGTCGGGAGGAGGGAGATGAGTCAGCCTAGGAGCCGAGGCACTTAGGCTCAGATTCAGTCCCCAGAACCAGGTCACGCGGCCAGCTGGAGGGAGTGGGGTGTGGAGTGGGGTCGGGAGGGGCTGACACCTCCACTCCTTGGTCTCCAGGACCCAGAGCACCTAGCACAGTGCTCCAGGGTAGGCACCAGTGCGTGTGCACTGCACAGAGAGTCTGCAGAGGCGAGACAGGGAAAGGAGCCATGCACCTAGTCCATCTCCTCACTTAACAATTCCCTCCCGTCTCCTAAAACCTCTATAATCCCAGCACTTTGGAGGCCAATTCGGAGGATGGCTTGAGGCCAGGAGTTCCAGACCAGCCTGGACAATATAGCAAGACCACATTGCTCCAAAAAATTGAAAGCAAAACAAAAAAAACCTTTGCTGTTTTCACTTCTTCTCCCAATTTTTAGCCTTAGCTGCCTCTGATTCCTTGCCTCCTGCTCTCTCACCCTCATCAGGCCTCCACCCATGGCTGCAGAGGCCATGTTCAGTCCTATCTGACTCAGCCCATCAGCAGCGTTCAACAGAGCTGGTCACTGGCCGCTCCCCCATCTCCAGCACAGCGCACCCTTGGTGCCTGAGACCCACCTTGGCTGGTTCTCCTGTGACCTTTCCGGCTGCTCCTTCTCACTCCCTGCCTTTGAGTACTGGGCATCCCAGGGCACTGTCCCCGCACCCCGTTCCTTCCTGCACCTACTCTCAATGCTCTCACCATCTGGTGGTTTAGACACATCCATCAGCTGGCCACTCCCACCTGCACATCTTCATGCCGCACCCTCCCTGAAGTTCAGTGGCCAGCTACCGTCTTCACACCTGCACCTGGATTTCCAACCCACTTCTCTGACCTAACACGCCCAGAGCTGAGTCTTACCTCTGGCTCCTCCCACTATCTCATGTATCCTAGGCCACGCCAGCTTCATGCCTCCAGTTGCTCAGAGCAAAACACAGTTCTCCTAACTCTTCTCTCATATCCCACATGTGATCTGTCAGCCAGTCCCACTAACTCCACCTTCCAATTGCATCCGGAACTCAGCCCTCTGCCCTGCCCTTGTTCACACCACCATCCTGTCTCTCTTGAAGTGTAGACAACCCACTAACTCATTCCTGTTTCCCCCTTGTCTACATGATGCCTGTTCCAATTAGCAGCCAGAGTGATTCTGCTCAAATTAGATGAAACCGTGTCTCACTCCTCTGTTCAAAACCCTCCAACACTTGCCCATCTCAGAGTAAAAGCCAAAGCTGCCCCTGCCACCTCCTGGCTCTCTAACCCACCTGCTGCCCTGCTGGCTGTCTGGGCACCTCCTGCCTCAGGGCCTTTGCACCTGCTGTCTGCTGCCCCACACCCTCTGCCTGGCACATTCCCTCACTTCCCTCTGAGCATCACCCAAAAGTTAACTTTCTGTTTTCTTTTTTCTTTTTTTTTTTTTTTTTTTTGAGATGGAGTCTTGCTCTGTCACCCAGACTCCAGTCTGCAAGGCCGCGATCTTGGCTCACTGCAACCGCCACCTCCCGGGTTCAAGCCATTCTCCTATCTCAGTCTCCAGAGTAGCTGGGACTACAAGCACCTGCCATCACGCCCAGCTAATGTTTGTATATTTAGTAGAGACTGGGTTTTGCCATGTTAGCCACACTGGTCTCAAACTCCTGACCTCAGGTGATCTGCCCGCTTCGGCCTTCCAAAGTGCTGGGATTGCAGGCATGAACCACCGCGCCCGGCCCCAAAAGTTAGCTTTCACAGCGAGCTCTTTCTATTGGTCTGCTTGGGCTTCCATAACAAAGTACCACAGCCCGGGTGCCTGAAACCTCAGACGTCCGTTTTCTCACAATTCTGGGTGTGAGAAATCTGGGATCAAGGTGTCAGCAGGGCTGGCTTCCCCTGAGGCCTCCCCCTCTTTGGCTTGCAGAGGCTGTCTCCTCCCTGTGCCTCCCCGTGGCCTTTCCCCTGTGCATACAGGTCCTAATCTTGTCTCATAGGACACCAGTCCTATTGCATTAGGACCTACCCTAATAATGCCATTTAATCGAATCACCTCCTTAAAGGCCTTGTGTGCAAATACAGTCACATTCTGACGGGTAGGGGTGAGGATCTCGACATGTATTTTTGGGGGGGCAGTTCGCATGTAACAGCCTCCCTTACCCCTGCCCCATTACCTTCCATCTGGCGTGCCTCAGCTCCCCTTCCCACTTGGGTTTTGCTCCTCCAGCACTCATCACTGTCTGTCTGTCACACTGCGCATTTTAATTATGCATAGAATTCCTGGCCTGTGTCCCCTGCTGCAGTATGAGCCCCAGGAGGGTAGGGAGTCTTGTCTGTTTCACTTTCTGCCTTATCCGCCGTGCCTTTAACAGAGCCTGGTAAGGCAGCCACTATCTTAATATAACATAATTAACATCTATAGTTAATGTATATTGACTTGATAAATTAAAGCCACAGCTGTTTTTGCAAGGCCTCTGGAGCATCCTGATGTTCCTATTTTTTTCTTTATTCTTCTGGAAGATTTTTCTGTGAGCTCTGAACATGGACTCATCCTTGGAAACACTCATCACGGTCATTCATGCCACGCTTTTGCTCGTTCATTTGCAGGCTGCTTCCTCCCTGTCACTTTCTTCCTCCTCCCAACTGCGAAACAGCCTTTTCATTTCTTAACCATTTGTGGCTCCAGAAGGCAAATCGTTTTCTTCCCTCCTGCCCTTCTGTTTGGTATTTAAAAACACACCCTGAGAGGCATAAATGCAGATTTTTTTTTTCCTCCAGTGAATTTTCTGTAACCATGGGCCTCGCTTTAAGAAGACTCAACAGATAACAAGTGTAAATGCCGAAAACATCAACGAAAGGCAGAGGGCCAAAGGGAAGGGTGATGGTTTTACTAAAAGGTCTTTTTTCTTTATTTTTAAAAATTCAATGTGCATTTCCTTAGTGGTGGTTTTCCTTTTGTGCTCATAAAATGTGATTTGACTTACAAATTGTAATTCCTGTAATACCATTTAGAGCATTTATACTACATCAAGGTAGATACAGCTGTCCTGGCATTTCTTTGGTAAAATGCTTACAAATACTTTGGGCTTTTCTTGACCTTCTCATTTTTCCCTCCCAGAGTTTCCGATTGCCGCTATGGGCTCCTAGCTTTGCCCTCAAGGGCTGGTGTGAGCCCCGAGCGGCCAAGTGGTGGCTCCAGGGAAGGGGAGAAGTCAGGGGAGGGAGGAATCTTCCTCCCAGATCAGCCCACAGAAACCCCTGTGCCCATCACACACGCCTGAGCTCCCAGTCCCCTGGGTGTCCCTCGCAGCTTCCTTCGAGTCCAGCTGTGACAGAGGGAAAGGGAAAGACACACCACAGAAGGGGGTTCCAAAGACTTCACAGCCAGGCCCCCTCATTTCTCAGTGAGAAGGAGCAGAATGAAAGTGCACGCAGAGGGCAAGGAGGTGGTGCAGGCCCAGAGAATTTAAGAGACGGCACAGGCATGCAGAGGCAGAGGTACCATCCTTCATCCGTGTGCTGACTGAACACATCTGTTGCATAGCCCGGTGCACAGAAACGTGTCGGGGGTGGGGGAATTCAGCATCTATGCTGCCACCAGTTGCTTAACAGGAAAAAACCCAGGAGGTTACAGGAAAAAGTGAAAAGTGGTTTGCATTAGCCTATAGGCATAATGACACATCCCTGAAATGGAGTACTATGAAGCCTTTAAGAGAACAAGGTGGGCAGGCACTGTAGCTCACACCTGTAATCACAGTACTTAGGGAGGCCAAGGCGAGGCAGGAGGATGGCTTGAGCCCAAGAGTTCAAGACCAGCCTGGGCAATATAGGGAGACCTTTTCTTAAAAAAAAAGAAAAGAAAAATTAGCTGGGCATGGTGGCACACCCCTGTAGTCCCAGCTACTCAGGAGGCTGAGGTGGGGGGATTGCTTGAGCCTGGGAGGTGGAGGTTGCAATGAGCTGTGATCATACCACTGCACTGTAGCCTGGGTGACAGAGTGAGACTGTCTCAAAAAGGAGAAAAAAAAAGAACAAGATGATTCCATAGAATAGGTGATATAAATCAGATGAAGAAAGTAGTCTTTCATCTGTGTACTCAAACACAAGAGGAGAGCTAGGTGGCACGGACGTACTCATAGACAGCCGTGTCTGTCTCTGCTGAGATAACACGTGGGAACTGTCTGCCATGGGGAAGGGAACAGAGGAGTTGGGGCAGAGAGAGGAATTAAACTTTCCATTGTATGTATGTCCTGTATGCAGTTCTGATTCTCTGACATGTGAATGTCTTACTTTTTTTCTGGAGACGGAGTTTCGCTCTTGTCACCCAGATCAGAGTACAATGGCGCGACCTCAGCTCACTGCAACCTCTGCCTCCTGGGTTCAAGCGATTCTCCTACCTCAGCCTGCCAGGTAGCTGGGATTACAGGTGCCTGCCACCATGCCCAGCTAATTTTTGTACTTTTAGTAGAGACGGGGTTTCACCATGTTAGCCAGGTTGGTCTTGAACGCCTGACTTCAGGCGATCCACCCACCTTGGCCTCCCAAAGTGCTGGGATTACAGGCATGAGCCACCGCACCCAGCCCAACAACAGAATGTTAAGGCTCTTCTTTGGCTGCTCTGTGTGCTCTGACATCTCTCTCCTGGAGAGTCTTGGTTACCTCCTGGCAGAACCACCGAGGAGGACTCCTGCCAGTGAGAGCCTAGTTTCCTTTCCACTGCTCCTTATTTATCCTTCCTGCAGGCGCTGTGAGCTCTCAAGCTCCCCTGATCCCTCACTTGACCCTGCTCTCAGGGGGCCCAACCCACCTTCCTGCTAGCCACGAACCCTTTAGACCCCCAGCCCCACGATGAGGGCTGTCTCTTAGAAATGATTATGAATAAACTGGTTCCTGGCACTCCTTTGTTGGCTCTCCTTCTTCACTTAAAAAAAATATATATAGCAACCTATATATAACACAAATATTTACCGTTTTCACTATTTTTAGATGCACAGTTCAGGGGCATTAACTACATTCACATTGTTGTGCAACTATCAAAACCATCCACCTCCAGAACCTTCTCCTCTTGCCAAACTGCAGCTCTGTTCCTGTTAATGGTAACTCCCAGCCTGGCGCGGTGGCTCATGCCTGTAATCCCAGCACTTTGGGAGGCCGAGGTGGGAGGATCATGAGGTCAGGAGTTTGAGACCAGCCTGGCCAACATAGTGAAACCCCGTCTCTACTAAAAATACAAAAATTAGCCCAGCGTGGTGGCATGTACCTGTAGTCCCAGCTACTCAGAAGGCTGAGACAGGAGAATCGCTTGAACCCGGGAGGTGGAGGTTGTGGTGAGCCGAGATCGCGCCACTGCACTCCAAACAAAAAAAAAAAATAGTAACTCCCCATTCCGCCCTCCCTGCAGCCCCTGGTAACCACTCTCCAGGGGTGCCTAAGTTGGTGCAAAAGTAATTGAGGTTTAGGACCATGAATTTTAAATCATTATAACTAGGCTCAAACACATTATTAATCAAAATAGGAACCATTACAATCAACACATTTTTGCCAATGAGAAATAAGTTTGTTTACTCCTGTAGCGTAAAAATCCATGCTTTGGGATTCGACAAACTCTTGGAAAGCATTTTCTGCCTCCTGCTGGTTGTGGAAGCATTTTCCCTGCAAAAAGTTGTTGAGATGCTTGAAGTAGTGGTAGTTGGTTGGCGAGAGGTCAGGTGAATGTGGTAGATGAGGCAAAACTTCGCAGCCCAATTCGTTTACTTCGGAAGCATTGGTTGTGTGATGTGCAGTCGGTTGGGCATTGTCAGAGAAGAATCGAGCCCTTTCTGTGGACCACTGCTGGCTGCAGGCGTTGCAATTTTCGGTGCATCTCATAGATTTGCCAAGCATACTTCTCAGGTGTAATGGTTTTGCCGGGATTCAGAAAGCTGCAGTGGATCAGACCAGCAGCTGACCGCCAAACAGTGGCCAGGACCCTTTTTTGGTGCAAGTTTGGCTTTGGGAAGTGCTTTGGAGCTTCTTCTTTGTCCAACCACTTAGCTGGTCATCACCAGTTGTATAAAATCCACTTTTCATGGCATGTCACAATTCAATCTCGAAATGGTTCCTTGTTGTTGAGTAGAATATGAGAAGACGACACTTCAAAATGACAAATTTGTTTTTTTTTTAATTTTGCTCAGCTCATGAGGCACCCACTTACCGAGCTTTTTTACCTTTCCAATTTGCTTCAAATGCCAAAGGACCATAGAATCGTCGATGTTGAGTTCTTTGGCAACCTCTCCTGTGGTTGTAAGAGGATCAGCTTAGATGATGGCTCTCAGTTGGTCGTTGTCATCTTTCGATGGCCGGCCACTACACTCCTCATCTTCAGGGCTCTCGTCTCCTTTGTAAAACTTCCTGAACCACCATTGCACTGTACGTTTGTTAGCAGTTCCTGGGACAAATGCATTGTTGATGTTGAGAGTTGTCTCTGCTGCTTTATGACCCATTTTGAACTTGAATAAGAAAATCACTCAAATTTGCTTTTTGTCTAACATCATTTCCATAGTCTAAAATAAATATAGAATAAACAGCAGTAATGTCATTAGCAAAAAAAAGTAAGAAACGCACATTAAAATGATGTGTAACATAACCACATTGATTTAAGAATGTATTCCAATGTCAAATGGCAAATTTCAACAATGTAAAAACCACAATTACTTTTGCGCCAAACTTTCTGTCTCTTGAATTTGCCTATTCCAGGTACCTCTTATAAGTGGAATCGTGCAACATTTGTCTTTTTGTGACTGGCTTCTTTCACTTAGCATAATGTCTCCAAGGTGCATCTCTGTTGCAGCATGTGTCAGAATACCCTTCCTTTTTAAGGCTGAATAATATTCCATTGTGTGGATTGACCATATTCTGTGGTCTGTTCCTCTGTCTGTGGATACTTGTGTTGATTTCGCCTTTGGCCATTGTGAAGTAGCCTGCTAGGAACATGGGTGGACAAATGTCTGTGTGAGCCCCTGCTTTCATTCCTTTTGGATATATGCCCAGAAGTGGAATTGTTGGATCATATGGTAATTCTGTTTAATTTTTTGAGAAACTGCCCCACTGCTTTCCACAGCAGTCATTCAATTTTGCATTCCTACCAACAGAGCACAAGGGCTCCAGTTACACTACATCCTCGCCAATACTTACTGTTTTCTGTTTTTTGATAATAGTAAGCCTAATGGGTATGAGGTCATACCTCAATGTGCTTTTGGTTCATATTTCCCTAAAGATTAGCGATATTGAGCATTTTTTTCATGTCTTTATTGGTTTTTTGTATATCCTATTTGGGGAAATATCTATTCAAGTCCTTCATCCAATTTCTCTCTCTCTTCCCTTTTTTTTTTTTTTTTTTTTTTTGAGATAGGGTCTAGCTCTGTCACCCAGGCTGGAGTGCAGTGGCATGACTGAGGCTCACTGCAACCTCTGCCTCCCAGGTTCAAGCAATCCTCCCCCCTCAGCCCCCCAAGTAGCGGGGACTATAGGCACACGCCACCACCGCTGGATAATTTTTGTATTTTTTGTAGAGACAGGGTTTCACCATGTTGCCCGGACTGGTCTCAAACTCCTGGGCTCGAGTGATCCACCCACCTCAGCCTCCCAAAGTGCTGGGATTATAGGCATGAACCACCACGCCTGGCCACACCCGATTTCTAATTGAGTTGTTTGGTTTTTTGTCATTGAGTTGTAAGATTCTTTGTATATTCTAGATATTAATCATTTCTCCAAAATGAAACTTGCAAATGTTTTCTTCCATTGTGTGAGTCTCCTTCTCTCTCTGTTGATAGTGTCCTTTGATGCACAAAACGTTTTTAATCTTGATGAAGTTCAATTTGTCTATTTTCTCTTTTGTTGTGTGAGCTTTTGGTGTCATGTCTGGGAAATCACTGCCAAATTCAGTGTCATGAAACTTTTCCCCAATAAGGGCTTTGTAGAGTTCGCTTTCACATTTTGTTTTGTGATCCATTTTGAGTTTCGCGTGTGCGTGTGTGTGTGTGTGTGTGTGGTGTGAAACAAGATGTGGCTTCATTCTGCATGTGGATATCCAGTTTTCTCAGCATTATTTGTTGAAAAGACTGTCCTTTCCCTGCTGAATGACCTTGGCATCCTTGTTGAGAATCAGTTGCCCGTCTTCACATGAGGGTTTATTTCTGATCTCTTTCTTCTGTTCCATCAGTCTATATGTCTGTCTTTATGCTGGGACCACACTCTCTTGTTAGTGTAGGCTTGTAGGAGATTTTCCTTCCCTTCCATCTTGTCCCCTTTCCCTGACTTGGAGATATCCAGGTCTCTCCTGCTGTCCATGCCCCTCAGCCTCCACCCTCCCCCCATAATCCTATTTATCACCCAGAGCCCCAAGGTAAGACCTTTCTCCCTTATCTGCACCCATTAAAATGCATCTACTTTGCCTATTTCCCTCAAGTTCACATGACTGATCCAGTGCCGAGTTTATGCTAAGGTGTTGGTGGTAGCCCATGGCTTCATGCACTCACCCTTTTATGTGCCTCTCCCGGGTCACTCAGCCCAAACAGGCCTAGTCTGCTGGCCACCGCCAGGCTTTCTTCCAGGTATCGGTCTCAGACTCCTGCCCCACCTCACTCCACTCCACCCTCACCACTGCTTCAAAGGCCGTCTCAGATCTTGACCCCATCTTCCCCCCAAACCTGCAATTCCCCTTCAGTTGCCATCTCTGCCACACCCACCCACCCGAATGCAAACTCTTTAATTTGGTATTGCGCTGGTATTATACTCAAAATATAACCAGAGCCCTGACCTTCCTTTCACCTCCGTCATGGCTTCCCCGTCCCAGCCACCATCAAGTCTCACCCAGGTCACCGCAGTAGCCTCTTTGCTGCTCCCGCGTTTCCACCCTGGCCCTCCACACCACAGCACGAGTGACCCTCTTCAGATGTAGGACAGACGATAACACTCCTCCACTCAAAATCCCCCAACACATCCCCTCCCCCTGCCAAGGCGTTTCCAATGACTTAGTGACTGCCACTGTGAAACTGCATAGGAGCCACCTGACACTCAGCAGCTGGCACAGGTGTTTAGTGGGCCATCCAGGGGCCTGCAGACAGATGGTGTGACCACCAGGCAGGGCTCAGGAGGTGCCTCATCTACATGGGATCTGTCCCTTTGTAACTGGCCCTTTCATTCCTTGTGCCCTCAAGGTGCATCCACGGTGCAGGGTGTGCAGCATCCCCCTCCTCTTAAAGGGTGAGTCATATCCCGTGGTGTGAATAGACCACATCTGTTCATCCATTCATCTGTTCATGAACACTTGGGTTGTTTCCATCTTTGGGGTATTATGAATAATGCTATTGGGGTGTATGAATATCACTTGTTTTTTAAAAAATTAAATTTGATTAGGTATAATTTATATGCAGTAAAATGTATCCATTTTCATGTGCAGTTTGCTAGGTGTCAACTAGATACAGAATGTTTCCATTGCCCCGGAAATTTCCTGTGCCCTTTGCAGTTAATCTCTCCCCCAATCCCCAGCAACCCCTTCTGCTCTCCGTCACCGTAGGTCAGTTTTGCGTTGTTTTTTGTTTTTTGTTTTTTTTTAGACAGAGTCTCACTTTGTCCCCCAGGCTGGAGTGCAGTGGCAATGATCTTAGCTCACTGCAACCTCCACCTCCCGTGTTCAAGTGATTCTTGTGCCTCAGCCTCCCAAGTTGCTGGGAGTACAGGCACGCCCAGCAGTTTTGCCTTTTCTAAAGCTTTATATAAGTGGAATGATATAGAAAGCACTCTTTCAAATCTGGCTTCTTTTGTTCAGCAAAGGGTTTTGGGATTCACTCATATTGTTGTGTATGTCCTTTATTGGACAGTTACTGTTCCATTGTATGGCTATACCATGTGTGTCCACTCAACAGCTAATGGACATCTGGGTTCTTTCCAGTGTTGGTCATTTGTGACTCAAGCTGCTACAGACATTTGTGCAGAAGTCTTTGGGGGAACATATGCTTCTGTTTCTCTTGGGTAAATACCCAGGAGTGGACCTGCTGGGATGGATGTGGGAAGTGTATGTTTAACTTTTTAAGAAATGGCCAGAGCACTGCTTTTCAATGTGGTTTACTCTCTTACACTGCCATCAGCGATACATGAGAGTACACATTTCTCCATGTCCTGATCAACACTTAATATGGCCACTTTTTAGTCTTTTCCATTCTAATTGTGGGAAACAGTATCTCACTGCAGTTGTAATTTGTATTTCCTTACTAATGATACTAAACATCTTTTCACGTATTAGTGGTCATCCGTATATCTTCTTTGGTAAAGTGTCTGTTCAAATCTCCTAACCATTTTTAAAAATTAGATTGTTTATACTATCAAGTTGAAAGAGTTCCTTACGTATCTGGACACCAGTCCTTTGTCAGATATACATATTGTAAATATGTATATCTCCCACCCTGTGGCCAAACTTTTCATTTTTTAGTGGTGTCTTTCAAAGAGCAGTTTTTTTTTTAATGGAATTCAATTTATCATTTTTTTTCTTTAATGGATTGTGTTTTTCGGTGTCCTAGGTATTCTTTTTTTGGCTTCTTTTGCACATTATACTTCAGATTCATTCATTGCATGTAACTGTAGTTCTTTAAATTTCATTGGCGTGTAGAATTCGGCATGTACATACTGCAAATAACCATTCTATTGTGACGGTATGTGGACTGTTTTGGGCCGCTGCAAATTATGTATGCTGTTATGAACATTCTTGTACATGTACCCTGAGACACATGGACTTGTATTTCTCTAAGTTTGTAACTTACTGTGGAATTGCTGAGGGACGGAACATGCATAACTTCAACTGTACCAGATAACGCCAAGAAGCTTTCAAAAGTAGTTAAACTAATTTATACTCCCATAGTAGTTTATAAGTTGCTTCATGTTCTTATTAATACTTTATATTTCTTTTCTTTTCCTTTTTCTTTTTTTTTTTTTTTTTTTGAGATGGAGTTTCTCTCTGTTGCTTAGGCTGGAATGCAGTAGTGCCATCTCAGCTCACTGCAACGTCCACCTCCCGGGTTCAGGTGATTCTCCCACCTCAGCCTCCCAAGTAGCTGGGATTACAGGCGTGCGCCACCACGCCTGGCTAATTTTTGTATTTTTAATAGAGATGAGGTTTCACCATGTTGGTCAGGCTTGTCTCAAACTCCTGACCTCAAGTGATCCACCTGCCTCCACCTCCCAAAGTTCTGGGATTGTAGGTGTGAGCCGCCACGCCCAGCCAATACTTTATATTTTCAATCCTTTCAATGTTAATCTAGTGGGTGCATAGTGGCCATTCATCTTTGGCTCTTTTTTTCTTTTTTTTGACTATATACATTTTTCATTAAGGCCATAAATTTCCCTCTAAATACTTCTTTAGCCTTTCAATATCTTCAAAAGTAGAGAGAATAGTATCATGAAACCCCATGTACTCACTAGCCAATTTCAACATTTATCAGCTCATTGTTAATATTATTTCCTTTAGACCAATGCTGGATTATTTTGAAGCAAATTCCAGACACAATATCCTTGCATCAATACTTATTTCAGCTTTTTTTTGTTTGTCTGTTTTGAGATGGAGTCTCGCTGTGTCACCCAGGCTGGAGTGCAGTGGTGTGATCTCGGCTGACTGCAACCTCCACCTCCCAGGTTCAAGCAATTCTGCTGCCTCAGCCTCCCAAGTAGCTGGGGCTACAGGCATGTGCCACCACACCCGCTAATTTTTTGTATTTTTAGTAGAGACAGGGTTTCACTGTGTTAGCCAGAATGGTCTCAATCTCCTGACCTCGTGGCCCACCCGCCTCGGCCTCCCAAAGTGCTGGGATTACAGGCATGAGCCAGCGCGCCCAGCCTTATTTCAGGATTTAACTGTAAATAAAATGACCTTTCAAAAAATAAAGACAATATCACTATTTCACACCTTAAAGTTGAAAATCCTCAACATCATCAAATCTTCAGTGTTCAAACTGCTACCTCATAAAAGTTGTAATTTCTCAGAATCAGGATGCATTTCATTCACATATTTCTTAAATCTCTTAATCTTCACCCTCCATGCCCTCCTCTCCTATTATTCCTTGTAATTGATCTGTCATTTATCCTGTGAAGTTTCTCATGGTCTAGATGTGGTTGCTTCCATCCCTGTGGTGGTGTTTACCATGTGCCTCTGTCCCTTGTGTTTTCTGTAAACTGATAAATTGAAGCACATTTAGAACCAGCATGGTTTTCTGACAAGGGTATTTTCATAGGTGGTATGAAAAGGCACACAATATCCCAGGTGTTTCTTTTTGAGATGCTAGTGGCATTTGATAATCTTTGCCTAGATCCATTATTTCATACGGGTTGCAAATAATTCAGCTCAAAATATTTTCTAATTTCTTTTTTTTTTTTTTTTTTTTGAGATGGAGTCTTGCTCTGTCGCCAGGCTGGAGTGCAGTGGCGCGATCTCGGCTCACTGCAACCTCCGCCTCCCAGGTTCAAGCACTTATCCTGCCTCACCCTCCCAAGCAGCTGGGACTACAGATGTGTGCCACCACGCCCAGCTAATTTTTAGTAGAGAGGGGATTTCACCATGTTGGCCAGGATGGTCCTGATCTCTTGAACTCGTGTTCTGCCCGCCTCAGCCTACCAAAGTGCTGGGATTACAGGTGTCAGCCACTGCGCCCAGGCATGTTTTTTAATTTCTAGTCTTCTTTGGCTCATTAATTATCTAAAAGCATTTCTTAATTTCTAAATATCTGGGAATTTTCCAGTTTTTTTTTTTTTTTTTTTTTTTTGAGATGGAGTTTCGCTCTTGTTGCCCAGGCTAGAGTGCAATGGCACAATCTGAGCTCACTGAAACCTTTGCCTCCCAGGTTCAAGTGATTCTCCTGCCTCAGCCTCCCAAGTAGCTGGGATTACAGGCATGTGCCACCATGCCCGGCTAATTTTGTATTTTTAGTAGAGATGGGGTTTCACCATGTTGGCCAGGCTGGTCTTGAACTCCTGACCTCAGGTGATCCATCCGCCTCGGCCTCCCAAAGTGCTAGGATTACATGTGTGAGCCACTGCGCCTGGCCTTTTTAAATAGATTTCTAGCACATTCACATTATAGTCAGAAGACTTACTCTGTGTGATTTCAATCTTTTCATATTTGTTGAAATATGTTTTATTGCTGTATGTATGGTCAATTTTTAAAGATATTGCATATTTTGTTATGTTTTATATTTGTCCATTAGGACAATTTTACTACACCTGTTCAATTCTTTTATATCATGATTGATTTGTCTGCTATTCTGTCATACACCTAGAAGAGTCAGCAAAATCTCCCACTATGTACTTTCCAATATACCAGCAATAAACAAGTAGAATTCAAAATTAAAAACATATCACTATTTACATTAGCATCCCCCCAACTGAAATACTTAGTTCTTAATCTAACAAAATATGTACAAGATCCATATGAGGAAAACTTCAAAACGCTGATGAAAAAAAGAAGAAATAAATAAATTGAGAGATATTCATTTCATAGAAGGAAAGACTCAATATTGTCAAGATGTCAGTTCTTCCCAACTTGATCTATAGACTCAATGCAATCCCAATTAAAATCCCAGCAAGGTATTTTGTGGATTATTGAAAAACTGATCCTAAAGTGTACAGGCAAAAGACCCAAATAACCAACCCAATATTGAAAGAGAAAAACAAAATTGGAGGATTGACACCATCTGACTTCAAGACTTGCTATAAAGCAACAATATAAGGACAGTGTGTGGCCAGGCATGGTGGCTCACGCCTGTAATCCCAGCAGTTTGGGAGGCCGAGGTGGGCAGATCACTTGAGGTCAGGAGTTTGAGACCAGCCTGGCCAACATGGTGAAATCCCATCTCTACTAAAAATACAAAAATTAGCCAAGTGCAGTGGTGGGAACCTGTAATCCCAGCTACCCAGGAGGCTGAGGCAGGAGAATCACTTGAGCCCAGGAGGCGAAAGTTGCAGTGAGCTGAGATCGCACCACTGCACTCCAGCCTGGGCAACAGAGTGAGACACCATCTCAAAAAAAGACAGTGTGATATTGGTGAAAGGATAGTAAAATAGATCAATGAAACAGAATAAAGAGACCAGAAATAGACCTACATACATATAGTCAACTGATCTTTGACAAAGGGGCAAAGGCAGTACCATGAAGTAAGGATAGTATTTTCAACAAATGGTGCTGGAACAACTGGACATCCGCATGCAAAAAAAAAAGAATCTAGACACAGACCTGATACTGTTCACAAAAATTAACTTGAAATGGATCACAGACCTAAATGCAAAACTATGGAATTACTAGAACAGGAGAAAACATAGATGACCTTGGGTATAGCAATGACTTTTTAGATACAACATTGAAGGCACAATTCATGAAAGAAATAATTGATAAGCTGGACTTCATTAAAGTTCAAAACTTTTGTCTGCAAAAGACAATTCTCACAAGAGAATGAGAAGACAAGCCACAGACTGGGAGAACATATTTGCAAATAACACATCTGATAAAGGAATCCAAAATACATAAAGAACTCTTAAAAGTCAATGATGGGCCAGGCACGGTGGCTCACGCCTGTAATCCCAGCACTTTGGGAGGCTGAGGCAAATGGATCACAAGGTCAAGAGTTCAAGACCAGCCTAGCCAACATAGGGAAACCCCGTCTCTACTAAAAATACAAAAATTAGCCAGGCATGGTGGCACACACCTGTAGTCCCAGCTACTTGGGAGGCTGAGGCAGGAGAATCACTTGAATCCAGGAAGTGGAGGTTGTGGTGAGCCGAGATTGTGCCACTGCACTCCAGCCTGGCAATAGAGCGAGATTCCGTCTCAAAAAAAAGAGTAAATGATGTGGCTGGGTGCGGTGGCTCACGCCTCTAATCCTAGCACTTTGGGAGGCCGAAGTGGGCAGATCATTTGAGGTGAGGAGTTCAAGACCAGCCTGGCCAACATGGTGAAACCCCACCTCTACTAAAAATATAAAAAATTAGCTGGGCATGGTAACCTGTACCTGTAATCCCAACTATTTGGGAAGCTGAGGCAGGAGAATTGCTTGAACGGGGAGGCAGAGGTTGTGGTGAGTCGAGATCATGCCACCGCACTCCAGCCCGGCGACAGAGCAAGACTCTGTCTCAAAAAATAACTAAAATAAAATAAAATAAAAATAAAAATAAATAAAAAATGTCAATGATGAGAAAATGAACAACCCAATATAAAAATGGGCAAAAGACCCGAACAGACATTTTGCCAAGGAAGATATACAGGTGGCAAATAAGCATGTGAAAAGATGCTCCACATCATATGTCATCAAGGAAATGCCAATTAAAACAACAATGAAACATGACTACACACCTATTAGAATGACCAAAATCCAGTGATGTCTCAGTGAAAAAAAAAAAATTACCAAAATCCAAAACATTGACAACACCAAATATTGGTAACGATGTGGAGCAACAGGAACTCTCATTCATTGCTGGTGGAAATGCAAAATAGTACAGTCACTTTAGAAGACAGTTTGGTAATTTCTTACAAAAGTAAATATTCTCTTACCATATAATCCAGCAATTGCCCTTCTTGGTATTCATATAAATGAATTCAAAACTTGTCTCCACACAAAAACTTGCAAACAGACATTTATCAGCTCTGTTCACAATAGCCAGCATTGGCAGGGACCAGATGTCCTTTTGTAGATGAATGGATAAACTGGTACATCCAGACCATGGAATATTATTTAGCACTAACAAGACATGAGCTGTCAGGCTATGAAAAGACATGGAAGAAACTTAAATGCATATTATTACTAAGTGAAAGAAGCCAATCTGAAAGGTCACATGCTGTATGATTCCAATTATATGACATTCTGAAAAAGACAAATCTATGAAAACAGTAATAAGATTAGGGGTTGCCAAGGAATAGTGGGGAGGGATGACTAGGCAGAAAATTTTTAGGGGAGTCAAACTATTCTGTATGATGGTGGACACGTCATCATACATTTGGGGAAAGCCACAGAATGTACAACACGAAGACTGAGCTCTAATGTCAACTACAGACTTTGGGTGATAATGATGTATCAATGTAGATCAATTGTAACAAATGTACCACTGTGGAGGAGGATGTCAATAATCGGGGAGGCTGTACATGTGTGGGGACAAGGAACATTTTGTACTTTCTACTCAATTTTGCTGTAAACCTAAAACTGGTCTAGTAAATCAAGTACATTAATTTTTTTTAAGAAAACCTCCCTCTATGATTTTTCTCTCATTATAGTTTTGCCCATTTTTGCTTTATATATTTTAGGATCACATTAATAAGGCCATATGAATTTAGAATTTTTATACCTTCCTGATGAATTAAAACTTTTACCATTTTTAACCCTCTTTATTTTGGTAATCCTTTTTGCCTTAAATTCTATTTTGTCTCATATTAATATACCTATACTAATGCTTTCTTTTGTTAGTGATTTCCTAACATAGTTTTTCTATTTTTTTAACTTATGTTTTTCTTATGTTTTTGATGTTTCTCTTATCAACAGCATATAAGGTTTTTAAGCTTTATTTTTCTAATAATCTGTGTCATTTAAATGGAATATTTAGTCCATTTACAAATCACTTAATTACTGATATATTTGGGTTTAAGTCTATTTATAATGTCTTTTCTATTTACTTGTGTCTTTTCTCTCCTTTGTTCCCTTCTTTCAGATTATTTTTCACATTTTATCATTCCATTTTCTCCTTGTATTATTTTGGAATTACACACTGTTTCTGTTCTTTTAGTGATTACCCTGGAAATTAAAATATGCATCTTTCAAAAAAAGTATCTTTAATTTCTCAGTAATATTAATCAAGACATTGAAAGACGTTGAAGCACTTTAACTCCATTTATCCCTTCCTAATTGATATGAAATTGTCTTGTGTTTAAGTGTATGCAATGCATGTGTGTATGAGAGAAAAAAATCATGCCTTTCCAATAATGCAGAAAAAGTGTTTGATAAAATTCAACATCCTTTTATGATAAAAACTCTTAGGAAACTAGGAATTGAATGGATATTCCTTCATGTGATTAAGGGTATGCCTGCTCTAATGACTTCAACACTGTACTGAGCCAGTGCCGTAAGACCAAAAAAAGAAAAAATGATATAATGTTCGGTGAATGGAAGAATCAATACTGTTGTCAATTTTCATTAAATTGATTTTTAGAATAAATGCAATCAAAATAAAATGTCATTATGATCATTTAGGAATCTAATACGTTAATTCTAAAAATATATGGACATGCACAAAGCCTAGAAGGGTCAATCACTTCTGAGAAGAAAAACAACTTAGGAGGAGGACTTGCTTTACTTAATATGAAGATTTATTTTGTAGCTACAGTAATCAAACCAGAATAGACATAGAGATCAATGAAGCA
The DNA here is from genome assembly GCF_000001405.40 of Homo sapiens. Classification (NCBI taxonomy): domain Eukaryota; kingdom Metazoa; phylum Chordata; class Mammalia; order Primates; family Hominidae; genus Homo; species Homo sapiens. The sequence goes on from NC_000008.11 coordinate 41,924,488, forward strand.
GAATAAATCGTCCAGAAATAGGCTGATGCGTATATGGACACTTGACATAGAGCAGTGGAGAAAGAAATAGTGCTGTCAGAACCGTGTCTCCACATGGGGAAAAGATGAAACTGGTCCCTACCTCATGCCATGAACAAAAATCAATTTCAGATACTTTAAAGATTTAACAATGTAAGCAAAATAAGCTGTTAGAAACTAGAGAATATCAGATAAAACCATTATAATCTCAGAGTAGGGAAAGATTTCCCAACCCACACAGAAAAAAGCACTACCCATAAAGGAAGATACTACTGAACTTGGAACACACTAAAAACTTATGTTCATCAAAAGATACCCTTAAAGTGAAAGGGCAAGTCCCAGAATGGCAGAAGATACGTGTGACATAAGTAACTGACCAAAGACTCTTATTCAAAGTATATAAAGTACTCCTATAAATCAATAAGAAAAAGGCAATTCAATAACGATCCAGGCACAAGACTTAAACACACTCTTCACAAATGAGGAATCTCAAATAGCCACTAAGCATATGAAAAGGTACTCAACTTCATTAGTAATCAGAGAAATGCAAAAGAAAATCACAGAGATTCCACTACACACACACCAGACTGGCAGAAATTGAAATATTTGAAAATATCAAGTATTGACAAGAATGTGGAATAACAAGAACTTTCATACACGGCTAATGGGGGCCAACAACAAGAAACGGAATGGTTACTTTTGAGTCTGGCGTTAGGTGGTACAGCTGGAGTTACACCTGCCTGATCATCCAGCAATTCACCTTTTAGGAGCATACCTATGAGCAATGTCTGCAAATGTGCACCAGATGTATGTGGGATTAAACACAGCAGTATCATTGGTAATAAACCAAACTGAAACCTACATATTTGTCAACTTTAGAATGTATACATTTTTTGTAGTCATATAATATTATACAGCAGTGAAAATAAATGAACTACAGCAACGTCCAACTTCATAAACAAATCTCACGAACATGTTGAGGGAAGCCAGATGCAAACTGTATGATTCCATTTCTGTAAGCTTCAAAACAAGATAGAGTGAAGCTATGATGCTTAAGAATGCACACCTAGGTAGTAAGATACAAGAAAAAGATTTACCGCCTAAGCCTGGATGGTGATCATTTCCGCTTGGGAGGGTAGACTGTGCTTAGGAAGGGCCCTCCAAGCCACAGTGGAGGGACTACTGAGCTGCAGTTCTATTTTGCAGCCTGATTTATTTTTAGAGAGGTATTCACTTTAGACAAATGCATTCAGCTATATGTGTTTTATTGACTTTTCTGTATGTGCTTTATTTTCACAATAACAAGGGGTTTAAAAAAGATGTAAGGGAACCAAGTCCATCTTATTGCATGGGCATTTTCATGTCTTCGTGTGACACCTGAGGCTGCAGAGGAAAGCAGTTTAGATGGCAGTCCGCTGGCAGCAAGGCAGACCCCACGGAGCGGGGAGTTGCCTGATAGCAGCAGCACTGCAACCTGAGATCCCTGTGCTGAGACTCAGCAAAGGTGAGTGGCAGTAGCTGGCTTGAGTCTGCTTTGCTTTGTATTCCTCTGTTCTTTTAATTGAACTACTTCCCTGACCTTTTAAAGTTGTTCTTGCAATAATACATATTATTCAGCTTTCAGATTTACAGCTTTCAATCATCCTTTGAGAATGTCAGGTTAGTTCTAGTTAATTTTAGCTGTTTTCTCTAAACAGGAGGTAAGACAAACTTCTTTGAAATCATGTAATTATCCCATTTGCAAGAAGTCCTTGCCTTTATTAGTAAAGCCTTAATCACTGTCTCTTTGTCAATGTTTTCATTTTCTTTGGAAAACTATGATCAAATTCAATCATTTTGATGTAATTGACTACAACTGCTTTATTAACCTTCATTTACAAAGAAAACTATAGCATTTGGAAAGGCTGAGGTGGGAGGATCACTTGAGCCCACGAGGTCAAGGCTGCAGTGAGCTGTGATAGCGCCACTGCACTCCAGCCTAGGTGACAGAGTCAGACTAGCTCAAGAAAAAAAAAAAGAAAAAAAGAAAAAAATTAAATCAAGCAATTTTACTAAATGTAACAAATCAATTAAACCAGTGAAACTTGCTTGTACATGGGACAGAGCCTCAGTCCTAGCAAGGAAATTGTGTATGAATGTTTTTACTTTGTTCACAACAGACTTTACACTTAGAATACCAATTTAAAGGTTTTATATAAAACTTTTAAAATATTAAGATTCTGGGGCTCAAAAAGCTCTTTAAGGCCAATTTTAATGAGAGATGATTTGAATGGCTCATGTCTTCCAACATTAAGCAGATGTCCATTTTTCAATGCATATTAATAGAAATTCCAATTAAATGCACCAGCTCTAAAGTGAAATGTTGGTGTGCACTTGAAGCACAGGCAACAGCTGACCTCAGTTCATCATGTTTACCTTGCTGGCTCATCTTTGTGCATGTATAAATTAAGAACAGTTAAAAATGAACTCACCATCCCAGAGAACACATTCACTACTTCTTTTTTGAAATGGCTTAAATGTGACTTTCAGAAATGTCTATTTAGTAAAAAGTTAAATGTTAGAACATTTTTTCCTTGAAATAACAAGAATGTGTATTTCACACTCACAAAATTTGTTCATAATAGCCACAGGAAAACATTCCCTATGACTATCTCTGTCCAGGGCCTTAAAAGACCTCAAAAACCAAAGTCCATCATATCCCAGGCTTTCCTTATTTTAGGCAAAAATGACAGCTGCCACCTTTTTGAGGCCTTATGCAATTGGTATACCAGTATGTAGGCTCCTTACTAACATAGCTAAAAATCTCCATGAAGCCCAATCTGTAGCTGTCACTCTGGAAAGAAAATCTATGGGTCTAAGTTGTGTTACGTAACCACACCAATTTACCTAACAAACCCATCCTGCCCACTAACAGAAACTTTTTAACAAAAATGGGTTGGGTTTTGTTCTGGGGACTGTAGGCTTTTACTTGGATGACCATGCTCAAGAATTCCAGACATGGCCAGGCATGGTGGCTCATGCCTGTAATCCTAGCACTTTGGGAGGCCGAGGCAGGCAATTACAAGGTCAGGAGATTGAGACCATCCTGGCTAACATGGTGAAATCCCGCCTCTACTAAAAACACAAAAAATTAGCCGGGCCTGGCGGCGGGCGCCTGTAGTCCCAGCTACTCGGGAGGCTGAGGCAGAATGGCATAAATCCGAGAGGCGGAGCTTGCAGTGAGCCAAGATCGTGCCACTGCACTCCAGCCTGGGCGACAAGAGCGAGACTCCATCTCAAAAAAAAAAAAAAAAAAAAAGAATTCCAGACACTTGTCAACACTAAAAATGTTACTCTAAATGATATTTTGAGTTTACAGGAATCATTCATTTGAATTTTTAGGTTTCTTGAATATCACATCAATAAGTAGAGCTCCTTTCCCCCACCACTCATCATAAGGATCCTGCATACTCTGTTCTGCCAAAGATAGCATTTTTTGTTTCTTTCACTATTCCTTTCAATTACCATCACCATTGACCCACATCTTGTACATTATGAAAAGACTAGAGGAAGGAATATGACGAAAATCACCACACTGCCTGAGCTGTGATTTGGATAATCTGAAATAATAATTTTCACCTAAAGAGCTGGAACTGTGAGGCTGCCAAGACTGGTGTTTAGGGAGTTCATACAGGTGTCACCATGCTACAAAGGAAGCCAGGCACCACCTAAAGTGCCCAGAAAGGCTTTAAAAGAATGTGATTCCTGGTGCTCTAGTTTCTGAAAGTTCGACGACAGGTTGGTGGACTAGGGTTCTCAGTATCACACACATTGAGTGTGTCATCCTCCCCAATCTACTGTCAGCAGGAGGTGGAGAGACAACAAAGAAATAGGAGCACCTCCCCTACTCCGAACAACTCATTTGTTCCTTGGCTATACATGGGATTATATAATTCAAATAATACTTAAATGCAATATAAATATATTTATGTATGTTTTTTGAAAGTCTAGAATAGTCTTTGGCCACATTATCTCTTATATTGAAAAAACATAATTGGTTTATGTTGAAATCACTTAAAGCAAATACTCTTCAGTGGCAAAGGCAAGAATGTTTTCAAGACAATCCACTAGTAATTGCATAGCACAGTGACACAGCCTGTGTCCAAATAATGGTTATATAAGCCAGCCAAGAAATCAACGGACATACATCATTCCTTTTGAGATGACATGACTATACTGTCTAAACTTTAAACAGCATGAAATTCAGAACAAATGTCTGCTATAGGTAGTATCATGTACAGTTCCTCAATTCCTCAGTGTGAAGGGGCAGAGGAAGTGTGGAGGCCGCTAAAACTTGAACCTGCCTCACTGCCTACCACCAGAAACTAAGGCCAATTTCCCAAAGTGAAATCAAATTTTCTGGACTCTGCCTCCTGTCCACAATTCTAAATGATGAGAGGCAAACACAACCCAAGAGACCACCAAAAAGTAATCAGCATTCAGGGCCTTGAATTCTGGCAAAAGGAGAATGACGAATCTTCCTAGATTACCCAATTAGGTAAAATGAAATGAAAAAAAACCCACAACGCTTTTAAAAATACTGTTACATTATAAAATAAGATCTATAAAAATTACTCCTCCCATTTATCACAAGTCTAGGAGCTACTTGTTATTGCAATTGCTTTTTTTTAGGGGAGTGGGGGGGACGGGAATTAAAATCCCTTTAGGAGGTTTTTATATGAATGCCCCTACAAAATCCAAAGTAGGGTTACCGTGCCATGTTCCTTGGAAATGGAAAACCCATCCATATTGTTGGCATTTAAACACAGACATAAATGAAAACTGGAATTTCAAAGCAAAGGCCATGGACTTGTACTCCTATAATAAAGAGGAAAATGAAAAGACTAATGTTTATAGGTCTCTGGGTGTAGAACAAGAATTGAAGAGTTCTGACATACTGGGAAGGGAGAAAAATTCCACATGCAAGACAGACATCCAAAATGGCTCAACATAATTTATTTTTTATGTTAAAATGTACAGAGTTCTTTTGAAAGTACTTGCTAGAAAGGGGAAAAAAAGGTATTACATACAAGGAGAGGAAGGGAGGCCGGCTGGCCCAGGAGCGCGTGACATGGAGAGATACAAAGGCATCTAGGCACCCCTTCCCCTTAGCTTACAAGTCACCATGAACAAAGTACAAAGAGGTTACAAAACAGGAAAAGCAAATATAAACAGACAGGATAGACGTGGCTTCCTTTGTACATGCGGCTTTTAGAGGCATCTGGAGCTCTATTCACACACGCTAGAGATCTCTTTAAAGAGAATTTATCTTTCTTAAAATAGTTTTTAATATTCTACAACAAAGATAAAAAATTTTAAAGATGGAATGAAATGAAAAAGCTCTTATTTTAAAAGGCATCAAAGTCACTAACAGTGAGTTTTTAAATTTCTTTTTTAGAAGATTACCCAAGTTATCTTGCTAAAAATACATTTTTTTTAAACAGAAGTGAAAAAATGACAGGTACCAATATTACTGTGTTGGATAATTTCTTTTATAATATAGAAAAGAACTTTTTTTTTCTACAATAGTTCTACAGTCACAAAGAGGCTTGTGGAAAAGGGAGCTGCCCGATTGAATTTTTTATAAAGAAACAAACAAAACCAAACACAACCGCAAACCAACAGAAACTGATTTCACGGCCCTCATTTCAACAGCTTCTCCTTCTGCCTTGACCCACCCTCCTCCCAATATACCTCCCTCCCGACCCACCCCGTCCCCACCCCAACCAGGAAGCAATGACACAGCTGAAGATGTAGGGCGATGGCAGCACAGTGCACTTTCTACATAGATGACTGGGAACTGGAATAGTATATACAGAGAAACTGGGTCCTACACAGCCTTGCACATGCTCAGAGCTGAGAGCGGGAAGATGTGGAATTCTGCGTTTCTACCTAGCACGCTTGAGAAAGTCAATTAAAGTGTATTAAAAAAACCAACAAACCTGTGCATTTGAAAAAAGTTAATGCCTAATTAGTACTTTAAAAATTTATCTATATAAAATGTACAAATAAAGGAGAGAATTTAATGCTTACAGATATTTCTCTAAGCAGTACTTCCCCCTTTTGGATATTTGACTGCACATACCAAGTGGTATAATAGTTTCCATCTTCTAATGATGGAATATATATATATATATATGTGTGTGTGTGTGTGTGTGTGTGTGTGTATATATATATATATATATTTTTTTTTTTTTTTTTTTTTTTTTTACCTATCCCTGGAGCAAGTAATAGGAAGAGAATGGGCAAACTGGTTGCACGAGAGAAAAGAGAATGGAGTTGGGAGCAACACATGAACTTGCGTTATAACATTCTGCTGTCCAGATCTGCCCTACTGTGCTGGTGGTCGGTCTGTCCCTCTTCTCATTAGCCACTCACAGGAGAGGTGCTTGTGCACTCTGATTCACAGGGGATGAACTCAGGATCTCAAAAGACATACAAAAACTAGAGGTATGTATCACTTAAATAGCTACGAAACTCACACCGTGATCTCCCTTCTGACACACATCTGCGCCATCTCTTCCAACATAAAATAAACTGTTTCAATGGTTTGTCAGTTATTTTTCAAATCACTAAAATGTACAGTCATCCACCAACAATTTAAGAAAGAACCTAAGAGGCAAATCACTGGGGACTGCTATTTGAGTTTTATCAGTCAAAGGCTCAAGCATCAAGACCCTCAGTTAGCATTTCAAAGTACATACTAGAAACAAGAGGCTGGGTGGCGTGTGTGTGCGTTATGGCTGATTCACCAGGTGGTAAAAAAACAAGAGGTTAATCTCCTCTTTTTGATTGTTAATTGACCATCTCTATTCCTCCAAAGGCTGGATTTGGATTGCAAACAGCTTTTCTCTGAGATTCTGCTGTTAATTGAGACTTACAGTATTTTTGTGTCTCTGAGTGCTGAGTGGGAATATTTTAAAAAAGAAGAAAAAAATTATATTACACTTGATTCAAGAACAACAAAGATTTCAATGAAGTCCGTCTATAAAGAAACATTCTTGGGGAAGGGTTTCAAGAGGTGTGTGTGTGTGAGGAGTGGAGGGGATTTTAAAAGGAGAAGCATTTTCCTGCCTCACTTTATTAATAATAATAATAATAATATTAACAATAATAATAAGTTTAAGGAGCTTGGGTTGTTCTCCATGTCCCCATCCGAGTCTCCCCTAAGTGCCTCCTGCTGGAATGAAGTAGGAAATGAAAGGTTGGGTTTGGAGGAAAGGGTCTGGTTAACCCTTGAGATGTATATAACATTTAAAAATGACAACATTGGGAGCTGCAAACAGTGAGGGGAAACATACATTTTAAAATAAAGATAATTCACTTTTACACAAATTCTGTCCATGTGGTATGTAAAGAAAGTAAGGCTCTTTTTAATTATGAAAAGATTTTGTGCATGTTTCCCCATCCCCAAATCCATTTTTAGATGAGTTCTACTGTAAAATGTTCAAGATTGTGAAGAAAACCAAAACCCAGAACAAAATGAACCCAAAAAAAGAGAAGATCAGGTTTTCTAAAAAATAAAATAAACCAAAGAAAAATTCCTCTAAATCTACAGCAATATTTTAACTGGAAAAAGGTCCATTTTTCTCTGGTTTGTCAGTATAAAAGGTTCCTTTATTTATATATATTTAAGTTTTTGATTGCAAGTTCATCTTGCTCATCTTCTCATGTAAGGTCCGTTGAGTGACTGCTTGGGCACGCCAGCAGCGTTCATGTAGCTGTGATGGGAGGGGCCTGTGTACATCATGTTCCCATGAGGGTTAGGCTGCATAGGCTGCTGGGTATAGGCCTGGCTCCCCATCATTCCCATCTGCATCTGCATAGGATACTGTGCTGTCTGGTTCATGTAGGCAGGGTTACTATGGTAACTGCTGTTCATCATGGGCTGTGTCATTCGATAGCTGTTCATGGCATTCAAGGTGTTCATATTCATGGAATTGACATTATAGGCGGGAGTAGGCATCAGATTAACCCCCATGTTCATGCCACGCTGAACAGCCAGTGCGCGAGGGCCAGCCTGCATGGCAACTGCCGATGGGCTACGGCCATACAGCTGCTGCTGGTGAGCAGCCGCAGAGGGCAGTGGCGCAGACTTGGAGCGGATGGAAATGTGCCCCTTCACTGGCATTTGCCCTTGCAATCTCTGCGTGTGAGGAATGCCAATGTTGGTGGCAGACATGTTGCACTGAAGCAGAGGAGATGTGAGGTTCATGGTAGTGGATGCCAAGTTTGGGGGTGGCGTCATGGTGGCTTGTGCTTGAGGAGTCCCAGCTAAGGGATGAGATGGAGCCAGCTGAGCCAGTCCTGTATTGGACAGAGAAACACTGGTTGCATAGGAAGTCACAGCAGGAGAATGGCTATAAGGCATGGCATGAGGGTCCATAATGGTGTTGGTCAGCTGCTGCAGCTTGGCTAGGCTGAAGGTGGCTGATGGTTGAGAGTAGCTGCCGGCACCAAAATCCCCTGGAATCCTCTCATAGATACTTATGTTCCCAGTGCTTCCAGATTCTGGTATCTCCATGATCATAGGAGCTGGGGTGAAACTGTTATTCATACTACACTGTGACAGCGGGGGCTGCTGCTGGGGAGGGGGTGGGGGTGGAGGCTGCTGGGGCTGAGGCTGCGGCTGCTGTTGCGGCTGCTGCTGGGGTGGTGGAGGCTGTGGTGCTGGTTGTGGTTGTGGCGGCGGCGGCTGTGGCTGCTGTGGAGGCGGTGGTGGCGGCTGCTGCTGCTGGTTACTGGGAGGCCTCTCCACCACGCAGCTCTGAGGTGACTTGATGCTGCAGTTGGCAGCAGGCTGGACGCTGCTCTGCTGCATCATGCTGCAGCTGCTGCCCATGCTGGCCATCTGCTGAGTGACCACACAGCTGCTCTGGGTGAGGCTGCTGGAGGACGACAGCCCACCGTAGGAGCAGCTGCTCTGGGAAGAGCTGTTCCCACAGATGCTGCCGCCCATCGTGGAGTCGTAACTGCTTGGGTTCTCATAGTTTTCAGTGGTGCTCTCAATGCTGCCCAGGTCACTGAAGCCGCTGTCCACCACCTGCTGAGAGTGGTCTGATACGGAAGGCACATCCATCATGGGGCTGGTCTCCATGTTCTGCATAGAGGGTGCGGACAGGGATCCTTGTTCTGGGCTGATCTGGGTGTAGCCACTCTCAAGGGCAGGCACGTTGGGACTGCTGACCGAACGGACTGACTGGCTGGGGTGAGACTGAACGGAGGAGATAGGGCTATTATGTTCTGACGCATGACAGTCTTCAACCATGGACATCTGAGGGTCCTCGTCAGCCTGGGTGTAACTCTGCAGGGTCTGACACGCCGCAAGAGTTTCCTCACAGTCCTGGTAGGCGCCCTCATGCTCACTGCTTTCTTCTTGAGTCAAAGACTGCACTGCCTGTACAGTTTCCAGATCCAGCTCACTATGAGGAATCTCTTCCTCCTCTTTTAATTCGATTAACTCTTCCTTAGTGTGGGAGTCTTCTTCGTGGTCGTCCTCAGACCCAGCCATCTGCTCTGACACCACGGACGTGTCATGGGAAGGCTGCTCCTCTTCGGAATCCAGCTCGGTTTCCTCTTTATCCTTTATCTTTTCCCTACTCTTCTGCATATTAGCATCTAAAAAAGACTCTTGAACACCAGGCTCCTCCTTGACATCTTCCCTCGTGGGCTGTTCCTCTAGCTCCTTTTTCTTTGTGGACTCCAGGTGGCCATCATCCTCATCATCAGCGTCGTGGTCGTCATTCTGGGCAGTCTCTGCAGCTGCATCTTCCTCCTCCTCTGGCTCTGGCTCCTCTAATTCCTGCTGCTCCTCCTCTGACTGCCTCTGCTCCTCTGAGACACGGGGCTTCTCTTCTTCCTCCTCCACCTCAGGCTCCTTGGTTTCGGTCTCAGGACTATTGCTGCTGTCTGCTGGAGAGGCTGCTGGGACTTCACTGCTGGCTGCATCCTCTTCCTCACCCTCTTCAGCCTCTTCTGCCTCTGCTTGCATCTCCTCCTCCTCCTTCCTCTCCTCGGGTAGGGGCATGTCTTCTTTTGGCTCAACAGTTTCTTCACTCTCCTGGATCTTGGGTTTACGTCCAGCTTTAGGAATGGAAACGATGGGCTCAATGACGCATGCTTGAGTAGAAACTGGCATGATTTCCCGACTCAACTTAAATCCTGGTTTTCGACCAGGTCTTTTCTTCCAGTGGATTGGTTTGCGGCTCTTGCCTTTGGGCCATCCCTTTTTCTTTTTCAAAGGTGTGGATGTATCTGGCTCAAGAGGAGAATTCTTCACATCACGTTTTCGCAAAAGAGATACTGGCTTTAAGATAGGAGTGTCTATACAGGAAGGAAAAAAAACAAAGACAGGTTACAAGGTCTTACATTTTCTAGTTCCTTCTTCCAAGACTAGCATATACAATAGAAATGACTTTATTAATCATTACTTTTATAAACTCCTGATTGTCTTCATTTTAAAGTTAAGAACCTAGAGGATAAAACTAATTAGTGACATATTCTAAGTCACACAGTGAATTGGCAGAACTATGAAAGAATCCTGGTCAACATTATGTTATCAGACACTAGTCAGAACCAATTCAAGACTACCATCATCAGCTGCATGTCTGTGGGAAGTTACTCTACATTTCAGTTTCATCATCTGTAAAATGGAGATGAACTTTATAAAGAGGCAAATAAGTAGTAAGCAGTACTTTTATCAAGTTGTCTCTACTAAAAGTTACAAATTAGCTTATTTCCTCTTTTTTTTTCTGCTTGTGATTTACTTTATCTCTCGGATTTTCTTACTTTCCACAAATCATCACTTCAGGTAGTATGATGAGCCAATTACTCTAGGCCATGACTGAGCCATCGTATGTGAACAGTTGTTCAATTAATGTTGTGTTTGTATGGGAATAGCTGCAAAGCATTTATTTAGTCCTAGACAAAAACTGACATTTAGACTTAGACAAACAAGAAAAAATTAAAGCACCAATTACATTCATTAGAAATAAATTTTATATTATTAGCATTTTAAAAAAACTATGGTAAACTATACGTAACATAAAACTTAAAATTTTAACCATTTATAAGTGTTAAGTTCAGTGGCATTAAGTACACTCACATTGCCTATTAATTTTTAAAGAATAAGAATACCAAGACAAGAACATGATGCAGTGGGGGCACGGCTAAAAAGGCACAGTTAGTAGTAGTAACTTGAAAGTCAACAAAGGAAATGGCTGCATCAGCAAAAATCTAAGTCCATGGGAACTTAATCAGGGGTACTATTTTAGTGTACAATGATCTAAGACAGAATATAAAGTGCTAAATTTACAAAATAAATTTTTAGTTTCCTAGTTATGTTATTTCAAAACATAGCAAGTTAAACTCTGTAGAATCATTCATGATAGAGCAAAGAACACATTCATCTTATCACTATATTAAAAGTATTTGTTGGCCAGGCAGGGTGGCTCACACCTGTAATCCCAGCACTTTGGGAGTCCAAGGCGGGTGGATCACTTGAGGTCAGGAGTTTGAGACCAGCCTGGCCAACATGGTGAAACCCCGTCTCTACTAAAAATACAAAAATTAGCCAGGCATGGTGGCGTGCACCTATAATCCCAACTACTTGGGATGCTGAGGCACGAGAATCGCTTGAACCCGGAGGTGGAGGTTGCAGTGAGCTGAGACTGTGCCACTGCACTCCCACCTGGGTGACAGAGGGAGACTCCATCTCAAAAAAATAAAAAATAAAAAATAAAAAAGTATTTGTTATATAGAAAATATGAGAATGGAGAAAATGTAAGTTTATCTTCTAGACTTGAAACTGACTGAATTTTTAAAAGAATTAAAAAGTTCAACCAGTTAATGCATAAAAGCTAAAGGTTTATGTACCAAGACTGGACAAGTAGATTTCTTCAAATTTGCCCAACAAAGTAAAAATGCTCATTCTGAGCCCATGCGAGATAAACACACTGCAGATGCAGGCAGCATGAGACACTGGCAAAACTTTAGGCTAGGGTGAAAAAGACTTGTTTCTGACCTGGCTCATATATATGAGACCTAGTTTCAGTGTCTCTAGAGAAGAAATGACAACTAGGCTGCTTTAAAAGTAAATAGTTGGATTTGTATCTATACTATAAAATTTATTTTGAGTTATTGTTACCATTTGTGAGAAATTTACTACTAGTTGGGTAAGACACATTAGAGATACAATTCAGGAAAGACTCCTGAACAGATGTGACACAAGTTCCAATTTACATGAATCTGCTCTTTCTGGAGAATTGTCTTCTTAGCATTCACTCATTTAACACTACTTACTGAGCGCCGGGCTTAAGCACTCAGCATACAGCAATGAGCAAAACAGACTAAGTCTAGAGAATGCACATTCTAGTGAAGGGTTATTACATCTTCCTGATGCTAAGTCCAACTCTCCCATTAACTAAAGATTCTGATAAAGGCTTAGAAAGGATTGGGCAAAAAAGAACAGTTGCCTAATAGTAAGATATTTTCTGCAGAGGCAAATTAATAGAGGTTCTGAGTTGAAGGGAAAACACATTTAAAAATCAAGATGGATATACTTGATACAACTTTTTAGAGATTGCCAAACGTTCCTTTTCTTGCTTAGTGGGTTGTGTTCATTTTTCAGCCTTTTTACTGAAGGGTCTGTCACTGCTACTGCTATATATCTGAAGACAATAAACCACAGTAAGTGAGTTCTGTAAAACATACCATCAGCATCATCTGACTCTTCATCTTCTTCTTCATCTTTAGACTTCCTCTTAGAAGAGGACTGACACCTGAGTACATCCTGCGAAGACAAACGACGGAAGTATTCTCTAGGGAAAAGTTCATTTTCATCCTCTTCCTCCTCTTCTTCATCGATCTCAAACGTGGGTTCTAATCTTGGCATTGGCCTCTCGGAGTCAGAATCTTCAAAAGGTTCATCTAACACTTCAGTGGTCTCAGAAATAGTTTCTGTGACTACACTGCTATTGTGGTGTTTGCGCTTTCGGACTCTCCTCCTTCGGTGGAGAAATGGTTTCTGTTTAATAGAGAAAGCAAGTATTTACAGTTATGAACACTATCTTTTCTATTAATAATACGAAAACAGTTTTAAAACCAAATAGAATTAGCACATATAAAATGAGGATGTTGTTTGCCAAAAAATATTTTGAATATTATTTCAAAATACTATAGTAAGATAATACACTTATTATAAATACAAAGGTATTAGGCAATTGAACACAACTTTGTAAAAGAATAGGCAGCCATCTCCAAATAGCAGACATTATAATTCTCTTAATAGTTCAGTTAAATTTAGCACCCTAGAGAGTTGCCCTGTTTTAATACTGAACTGACCCAGAGGCTAATCCCTTAACTTTTCCAACTTAAGAGCAAAAGAGAAATAAAAACACTTTGTCTTATAGCACTACTGTGAAGGTTTGCAGAACTATCAGTAAAGTTGTATGCCATTTTCATGAACTACTCATAAAAAGCTGTGGAATGTAGAAATATGGGGCTGAAATGTATTTACTCAGTGTTAGTGAAATATTTCAAAAGTAAAATAAATCTGTTACTGAAATTTGGGCACACTGAGCACAACTTTGCACTGGACTGACCAAATAGCTAAAATTATACAACTAATATCACAAAATAAGAGATGATGCCCCAGAGATTATCTAATCCAATCCCTTCATTCTATAGATGTCAGAGAGGGTATAGGACTTGCTTAAGTTCACACATCCAGTCAAAGCATTTATTCATTAACTTCAAAATTACTTTGCATGTGAGCTTACTGCCTGTTCTTTTTCTTTTTTTAACATGATTTGTTTTACTTCATAAATTGGCAATACAAGTGCTAGGATGACAAAGATCTATTCTTCATGATCATGCAATGAACAGCAGTTAGTCAATGTTCAATTTTTCTCTACTTCAAACTTAATAGTCCCAATCGAGAATGTAATTTTCAAATTAGATTAAAAATGGCCCTGGTCCTTGGAGAAAAGGCTGATTCTAGGACAAGGGCATGAAATATACAAGATGAACTTGAAGCATCTTGTAGTGCCAGAAAGGAAATGCTTAAAAACAAACAAAAAGACCCCACAATGACAACAACAGTATATATGTTAAACACAGGAGGCCAGGCGCGGTGGCTCACACCTGTAATCCCAGCACCTTGGAGGCCAAGGCAGGTGGACCGCCCAAGCTCAGGAGTTCAAGACCAGCCTGAGCAACATAGCGAAACCCTGTCTCTATCAAAAGTACAAAAAATTAGCCAGGCGTGATGGAACATGCCTGTAGTCCAAGTTATTCAAGAGGCTGAGGTGGGAGCGTTGCTTGCATCCCAGGAGGTGGAGGTTGCAGTGAGCTGAGATCATGCCGCTGCACTCCAGCCTAGGTGACAGAGTAAGACCCCATCTGGGGAAGGAAAAAAAAAAAAAAAAAAAAAAAGCAGCAGCAGCCCAAGAGGGAAACTAAAAGAAGGAGCTTCTAATGGTCAAAACTGGAACAATCTGAGCAACAAATTTTAAAAAGCAGTAGTATTGGATTATAAAGTGAAGTATCACGTAAATATCTGGGCCAATAATGATATAAATAAATGCTTGGATAAATAAACAGATGAGGGAGAAAGGACAAATCTCCCAAGCAGAAATTCAAATAATTTATGCTGAGCCTCCACTCTGAGGGGGTAGAAATCTTAAGTGTGGCTATGCACAGTGACTTCCTTCCAGTAAAGGGAAAAGAAAAGTAGAAACCTGACAAACAATATCTTAAGCCAGGTCATCAAAGTTAACTTCAATAGGGAAAAATCAAATTGATAATACCCTTATATTTGATACTTGCTTCTTTTTATTTTTACAGACGGAGTCTTGCTATGTCACGCAGGTTGGACTACAGTGGCTATTTACAGGTACAATCATTGTGCACTACAGCCTCCAGCTCAAGTGATCCTCCCGCCTCAGCCTCCCAAGTAGCTAGGATTACAAGAGTGACCACTATGCCCAGCTTCCCTATACATACTGATAGATATATGCCAACAGGTACCCTTTAATTATGTGATGAGAATGGCACTTTACCTCTATGGTCTTCCTCTCAAGAATATATTACCCCATTCTAATATCATGAGGGATCATCTACAAAATACCTGACCAGTCATTCTCAAAACTATGAAGGCCATCGAAACTAAGGAAATTCTGAGAAACTACCACAGCCAAGAGGAACCTAAAGACACATGACTACTAAATGTAATGCGATATGCTGGGTGGGATCCTGGAACAGAAAAAGGACGTTAGGGAAAACTATGGAAATCTGAATAAAGTATGAACTCTAGTTACTGATGTATCTACACTGGTTCAGTAACTGTGATAGATGTACCACACCAACGCAAGGGATTAATAATAGAGGAAACTGGCTGGGGTATGCGAGAACTCTCTGTACTTTCTTTGCATTAATTCTGTAAATGTAAAACTGCTCTGAAGATATTATTCTTAAAACAAAACAAAACAAAACAAAAGATCCTGTCTTGCTTTTTAAGACCCTGTAAGGAAAGGAACGATTGTGCTGCTTTGGCTGGAAGCTGGCTGAGTGGCTCTTCCAGGGAGCAGCCTCGCTTCAGTCTGGCTGCCTCCTGGCAATGCTTAAAATCCACTCCATAGCCTGGGATGTTTCTGGTAAACGGCTTAACAGAATTCATTATCATCATTGTACATTATTTAATAACTAATTGGCTATCATTATGATGGAATATAGTTTAGAAAATATTTTTAAAGCAAGAGAGACCACGTTAAACCACTGGAGGGATGTGTGAGAAGTGGGGAGAGTAGAGAGAAAACAATAGCACCCAAGATGAGCTACTGTACTCTGAGTACCCCAAAATATAGGGCAGCACTATGTTCACTTTCCAATTAATTATGTAATATTTTGGCCTCCTTTTCTAATATAAACACTTCTAATCTGTACATACTTTAAAAATATCTTTTAAAGATATTTTAGGGCTTTAAGCCCCTAAAAGTCATGATTTGAACATCAAACCAGTAAGCTAAAAAAAAGTTTGTTTGCATCCCAGGAGGTGAAGCCCTTAAATAAGCTTATGATTTCTAAGTGAATTCCCATGAATCAAAGAAGTCAAACACACACACACATCTCAAATGTTCACTGGGAAGATCTTGAGCTACAATATACAGAGGCTTAAGGTTTATAAAGCAATGCACTAGGAATTTCTAACTTATACTCTTTCAGAACTGTAAGCTAAAACGAGAAGGTGTAAGATAAACTGGAATTGGAGGAAGAGAAGACCTGGAAAGAAATGCGTTACCTTTCGCTTCAGCGTGGGCTTTGTGAGAATTGGTGGCGAGCTTGACCGAGGGCTTTCCGGCTCCTCCTCCTCCTCGCTGCTCTCACTGAAGCCCCTGAGGACAGCCCTGTCACCCTCACTGTAGCGACGGGGCAGCCTCTCACTTCCTTCTGTTAATCTGCACTTCAGAGCCTCAGGGCTTTTCTTGAGCTGTCCTCGCCAGGGCTCAACCCCCTCACTGAGTCTTCTCTTGGGAAGGTCAGGTTTCCCGTCCTGGCTTGGCTGCTCCTCAGAAGCCACCAGCTGTTCTTCACTTTCAGTGTATTGTTCCTGGGTGGCTTCTGATTTCTCCCCACATTCTCCATATTGTTCCTGAGGAGCTGAAGACGTCTCTTCCAAGAGCAGTTTAGAATCTTTATCACCAAAACGTTCCTGGGTTTTTCTGTTCTTCCTCCCCCAGCGGCCCCTCCGAGATGGCTGGCTATTTGCAGGAAGACTATCATGAGGAAGGACTTGTTTGCTCAAACGTGTAGAACTGACTGGAGCCATAACTTCTGGTTTCTTTTCACTTTCTACTGAATAAGAATCTTGTTCTTTGTTCTCATGAGACACAGACTTTCCCACCTGATTTTAGAAAATAAAACAATGCTGGTTAATTTTTCAGTCTTGTTTGCTTACATTTACCTATTCTGACCTTTTAAGTATTGAGAGAAGAAAAGGAAACTGAGCTTTAAAAAGAAAATGATCAGTTATTTAACATGGATATTTCCTGTTTCAGCACTGCTTTAAATTCTGTATATGCATTATTTATTTAATCTCCCCAACAATCATATGAAGTATTACCACTACAACTCCACTTTACAAATGAGGCATGTGGGGTAGAAAAAAATTTAAGTAATCTGCCCCAGGTCACGCAAGAGCAAGAGAAGATGCTGGGATAGAAAGCCTGGCAGTCTGACTCCAGAGCCTATGTTCTGAATCTTTCTGCAGTACCACCCTCAATAAGCAAAGTGAATACTATTGTTCTTTTAAATGTTAAATGAGATTGTTTAATAAAATTTCTCAGAAATAAAAATTTGTAAACAGGGTGGAGGAGACAGGATCTTGAGACATGGGCAAGAGGAAGGAGGCATTTGAGAAATATGAAAGAAAGTTTATGTAGTTTTTAAATTTACTTTTATTCTGAATAATTTCATTTTGAAAAATTAAACTGCACTAAAGAGAGGCATGGGATTTTTTATGTTTATTAAAGGAGGATACCGGTGTTGAAAGGATGAAGCACTGCTTAAAAAAAAGAGCTATAAAAGTATGCATCACATGAAGAAAAATACTGACAATGACACATGCACTACAGTTCACCAGCAACCCTTTAACGGCTAAAGAGATCTGTGTGTCCACAGGATGTTTTGGTGCCCCATCAGAAAACATACACAAGTTTACAATAGTTACTTAATATTCTATTTAAGGAAAATGTATCTCCATTTCATTTTGTTGTTGGGTTTTTTTTGTAGAGATGGGGTCTCACTATATTTCCCTGGTTGTCCTGAACTCCTAATCTCAAGCAATCCTCCCGCCTGGGCCTCCTAAAGCGCTGAGATTACAGGCATGAAACACCACACCCAACCTCCATTTCATTTTTAAAAACTGTCAGATTTGGATTCAATTCAGATTTCTCAACTACTATCCAGCTTAAAACTGAGCTGCTTCTTGGCACCCTGGTAACAAATATTTTTCTCACAAGTAACACATTATAAGAAATTTGATGGTCTCCTCCTAATTGTCCAAGGCTTAAAAATACTTAAGTAAACCAGGTCCAGTCTTCTTGAAATCTCTACCACTGAAATAAAACTCTTGACATTCTAATGTGAATTTACTTTTCTGTGAAAGATGATCATAATACATTATTATAAATACTCATGAAATCAAAAATATATCTTCTGTCATCAAAAATAGAGACTATTCATGCCCTTACACTGATCTCTAATTCTCTTTCCTGGCACTGTGGCTCTTCGTTTTCTCCTTCCTCAGCCTCCTCTTCTTCCTCCTCTGAGACCACAGAGTTGGACACTATGACTGGAGTCCAGCGCAAACATTCTGGATCTACATCTACAGGTCGCAAATTCAGCTGAAGCTTTGCCATGTGATCCTGGATAAGTTTTTCCCGGCGGATAATCACAAATCTGGAACCAGAGAAAAGTTTATAGCAATCAACAATGTACAAGGTGTACATAAAAATGAATGTGGAGATGAGACCCCTGGTGAAGCATGTAAGATGATAGGTGCTGCAAAGATAGCCTGCCTGGGACGATGGAATGCAGAAATGTGCCACCACATGAGACGGCCAGGAGTGTGAAGCAGGACAAATGCTTCGCTCTCTACCGTGGCCGCGGGCTGTTTTCACTGCCTGCTGTCTCACACGTCCCGCTCCAGAAGTTCTGCTGCTCTTCTGCACTCTCTTTCCTATTCTCCATTTATTTGGCTCAAATGCCTCCTTTCTTTGTGACCTTTTTCTGACCACTTTAGTGAAGGGTGAACTGTCTGTTCTTCCTTTCAATCTATATTTACTTTGTGCCATTTATATGAAAATTTAACATGGGCATTTTATTTAATGACTGTTTCTAGAGTGGTTACTTCTTGTATTGTGAAAGAGCTCCCAATACTAGAAGATGAAAGATTCAGTAGCTTAGGTCCAAAAATTAGGGGTATCAGAAAAACAATTCAGTTTAAAAAGCATATATATAGACTATATATAGACCATATATATAGTCAATCAAATAAAATATCCTAGAAAGGAAAATGATATCTCATTATCACCAAGTATATCATTTATATTAGTTAATGCCCTTTCATCAATAATCTGACTGGCTGATCCAAAAAACTTCAACCTAATTATCTTTCAAAGGTATACAAAAAGATGTGATACTCACTGGTCACTACGGAAGTCCAGCATTCGTAGGTGGTGGAGTGTGGAAGTGATGTCTTGAGGGCAGATTCCAGTCAACTTGCTTAACTTCTTAATGCTGATCTGCTTGTCATTTTGGTGATAAAGGCACTCCAATATTACACTTTTCCAATATGCCATGTAGGAAAGACGACCCAGATCAGATAACGGTTTCTCTGGAGACCCTGCTTGGCCTTCACGCTTTGATAACAAATAACCTAAAGAATCACAAATAACTCAAATCAGAACTAGGTCAGCAACTCTGAAAAACTGGATTCACCAAAATAACAATCCCCTCTTCTACAACCAAGAATAACTCCAAAGGTAAATTCCTTCCAAAAAAAAAAAGAGAGAAACAAATTGCAAAACTACTTCAAAACAAATCTGCAGAAAGAATACATAATTTATATATATTGAAGACTAAGTTAGTATTATTATGTCTACAGTTAATATCAATCACCTTGTTAAAATATTCGAAGTGTTAAAAATCAGGACTGTTAACAGTTTCGTTCAACGTCCTGGGGAAAACAAGCCTTGCATGCTTTATTTGGACCACTAGATGGCAACTGCTGTATCTGAACTGAGAAGTACAAAAGAATGCCTTCATTTTCACATAATCCTATTAAAATTGTAGTTCTGTCAGTGAATTAGATGACAATCTTTCACTTCAACCAAAACTCCTCACAATTACCTATCATTCTAACTCTAGGCAAGCAGGACTGCCAATATAAGTGTGGAACTGTGGACTCTGTCCTCTATAGTGCACAACTCTCAAGAACTGAAAAACAAAGGCCTAACTTCTAAGGAAAAGCAACGAAAATGGAGATGGCAGAGAAAGGTATTTTTACTGTCATTAAAGAAAACATAAAAGCAGTCTAAGAATGTTAATTTGGAAACGTATTACATTAGGAAAAGTAAATACAAACAATACTGTTATTGCACGGACTGTTTGTATACCATACACACACACCCCCAATCACCAAAAGTAAAATATTTTCCCTAACTTTGCAATTTAATGGCATATATAACATGTCTAATCATGAGTCCTATTTCAAAACAATATATTAACATTAAAGGAAGTAATCTGAGTTCCATCCCCTACTGCTCATCTAAAAAGACCAGAAAATGTGTAAAACAACCAGTAGCACAAGCTTCCAATAAAATATGGACAGAAGGACAGTCTAAAGCTAAGAGAAGGCTTAATTAACATCTCAAGACTAGAATCAAAATCCTTTGTTTGAACCATTAGTTCTGCATATATTCATCTAAATATCATTGTATAGCAATATCTGAGGTAAAATATTCCCTCAAATTACACAGATCCCACAATGATCTCTTTAGAACTGTGAGCTATCACTTTTGAACTCAGATTAAACAATTTTCTCTATCATTCACTTCTTCAGATATTTAAAGATGTGTTGCAGATGTTTAACCACTAGGTAGAGCCTAACTAAAAAAAATGCACACATTTTCTCAGATAACTGGATAACAAAAATACGGCAGGTATAGTACTTTTTTTTTTTTTTTTGAGATGGAGTTTTGCTCGTCACCCAGGCTAGAGTGCAGTGGCGTGATCTTGGCTCACTGAAACCTCCACCTCCCGGGTTCAAGCAATTCTTCTGCCTCAGCCTCCCAAGTAGCTGGGATTACAGGCGCCCACCACCACACCCAGCTAATTTTTTGTATTTTTAGTAGAGACGAGGTTTCACCATGTTGGGCAGGCTGGTCTCAAACTCCCGACCTCATGATCTGCCCACTTTGGCCTCCCAAAGTGTTGGGATTACAGGAGTGAGCCACCACACCCGGCCCACAGTACTTCCTTATTAGCTCTAATTGAAGTAGTTATACAATGTTTTTAGTATTATTAGTATTACTGCATGAAACTGAGTTCCATTGTAAATGAACAATAGGAAATTAAAGGTATGTGCTACACATCACACAAAATTTTATTCAATATTAGCTGTTTAAAAATATTTCGTGTCCAAGGCCACGCATGGTGGCTCACGCCTGTAATCCCAGTACTTTGGGAGGCCAAGGCGGGTGGATCACGAGGTCAGGAGATCGAGACCATCCTGGCTAACACGGTAAAACCCCGTCTCTAGTAAAAATACAAAAAAATTAGCCGGGTTGTGGTGGCTGGTGCCTGTAGTCCCAGCTACTCGGGAGGCTGAGGCAGAAGAATAGCCTGAACCCAGGAGGCAGAGCTTGCAGTGAGCCGAGATCACGCCACTGCACTCCAGCCTGGGTGACAGAGCGAGACTCTGTCTCTCAAAAAAAAAAAAAAAAATTCGTGTCCAACCAAAATAAAAGGAACGTGTGGCTTTAGGTTTTATTTATTTCCATTTTTATTTTGAGACAGAGTCTTGCTCTGTGGCCCAGGCTAGGGCCTGCAATGCAGGGGTAGCATTGCTCACTGCAGCTTCAACCTCCTGGGCACTCAAGTGATCCTCTCACCTCTGCTTCCTGAGTAGGTGGAACCCTAGGTACATGCCATCATGCCCACCTAACTTTTTAAATTTTTTGTAGAGACAGGGTCTTGCCATGTTGCCTAAGCTGGTCTTGAACTACTGGGCTCAAGCAATCCTCCCACCCCAGTTTCCCAAAGTGCTGGGATTAGAGGTATGAGCCACAGTGTCCAGCAGTGGCTTTAGGTTTTAAAGAATCATATAGCTATATGACAAAAGATACTAGCAGCCAACAAAGCACCTACAAATCTTTAAATATATATATATACACACACACACACACACACACACACACACACACACACACACACACACAGAGAAGGTCCACTGGAAAAGACCAATGAGAAATTAATATAATCCTTACTGAAATCGATGAGAAACCTGCCATAGCCCTTACGCTGGTATTGAGGAAGAATCATTATACAGGAAACATTGTACTTCTGTTGGCAGTGCTTTTCCTGGTGGAGAAAACACAAGTCAAGTTTGAAAACAGGCTGGTAAAAGTGAATAATAACGTGAATTAAGAAACAAAGACTAATGGCCAAAACCCACAGCCCTGGTCCTTTGGGAATAGCAACGTACATCAACAAACAACTACCCAGCTGGGAGAAGATAGGATAATGTCAAGTCACTGCCATTACCCACAAAGCAACCATCCCAGGAGAGTAAAAATATATAACAAAACAATGCCATCCAACACCATCTGCAACTCAAACACAGTACGCCAATGCCTAAGGATCAGCACCGGAATCTGAGTCCCAAACAATCCGTAAAGCTACAAATGATGAATCAGTGTGCCACTCTAGAAGTGAGAAGACTCATTAATTATGTCAGAGTTTTCTTTCTCTCCTGCTCTGGTGCTCCTCAGAGCAGTCCTATTAGTTGTATCTAACTTTACACAAAATAGTCACTTTTATAATTTTATAAATGAGTGAATATATTTTAAGTCACATCTAACTAATGAAGTAGCCTAAAGAATTCTTATAAATGCTTATAAAAAGCTAGTACTTCCCCTAACTGTTTTATACACTTGGATTTTACCACAGGCTTGCTTAAATAAAAGTATATCTTTTATGTTCTCTGACTAGAAATAAACTTTCTCCCTCTAAGGGAATGGAAGATTAAAAAAGGAGAAAATATCCTTTAACCAAAATGCCTTCTTACTCTTATTTCTATGCCTAAAGTTCAAATAAGGAAGAGAAGATTGAAGCTGAGACAGAACTCAGAGAGCTAATGACTGTTTATTTCAGAAGTTCCATGTTATTACCATGGGAAGAGAAGCCATTTAAAACCTTCCCCGTGAGTATTGCCAGCAGTCCATAATCCTAGGAGAATATAGGTTGTTGAATGTTACTAAGCACCTTCTAGCACCTGGTAAGTTTCCAAATGTTCCTTCTATTCTTTCCAAACAGCTAGATGACACCTAGGAGGTGCTGCATCTTGTTGTGTCCCCGAGTGAGAACCAGCAAAGATTCTTTCAGATTTCTATATGAGTTCAAACAAACTTTAAGCTGACATACTTACCTTAGAAAAGTAGCCAACAAGGTGGCAGCCCTTGACATCATTCTGTGTTAGTACATAAAAAAGAAATGGCTCCACATCGTAATAGAGGGTTTTGTGGTCAAGAAACAACTTTGCCAAAAGACACAGGTTTTGACAATAAATGGTACTCACATTCCCATCAACCTAGAGAAATAAACAGAACAAAACAGTCAGTAGAGGGTCTCTTTAGTTCTAGAATAATATGTATCAGTTAAAAGCATCTCTAGATATCCACAGTCCAGACTAGGAGAAGGTGTCCATGACCAGAACACTTTGGAACCTGGAAGCCATCCTTTGAAATGGCAGTATTATGCTATCTGCTGTTTTAAGACAACCAAATATATAAAACCTCATACCTTCAACATAGCAGGAACAGCCAGATAAGGAAGTGATAATCTGGTTTTAAAAGAGCAATTTTTGCTTTAATAAAAAGATGAATTGTAGCAATCCTTTAGATAGCAAGTTTCGTTTTCAAAGTACTTAACACAACAAAAGATCTAAATACAACCCTTCTAAAATACATTTATTAGGTAAAAGAAGATGTAACTATGTAGTCTAATCTATGCCAGCTGCCTGAAGCAATGCAATCTGACTACCATGATCGGGCTTGAACCCAGATAAAACTACTTAAGGGGGTACTAACTATTGCCACGCAGAAGCACCAAGCGGGTTCCTCAAGCAATCATGTGGTAAATGAGGCTCCAGGTTGGCCAGGCCCAGGAGCACTCTGCTGCTCTTTTGCTCCTGGCAGCCTTGTCTGTGTTCATGGAGTTGCCAGAGCTTTCTATCAAAACGCCAATGGATGCCCACATTAGCTCCCAAGACACTGTCTGCGATACTAACAGAACTCCTCAACAACCCAGGTAGTTTAATATTCTCTTCAAACAGTATATACCACACCTACCCCAGCTTCTCCCAAGGTAAAGAACTCCTCTACTGATCACTTAAAAGAGTCTTAGGGAGGACCAAGAAAAGTGAGAGACTGAGGGGATCCTGACAATCTGAAATTTTACTGTTACAGTAAGTAAACGGCACATAAGCAAGTACTCAATTAATACTTGGCACGAAAACCACAGAACTGAGGATCAAGAGCGCTACTAACAGCAATAGAGAATCACAGAGCAGAGGTCACACATCATCATCATCATCATCATCATCATCAAGATTTACTATTAAACAGATCTCTGTGAGATATTCCTTTTAAATAAGTGATAGAAATCCTTTCATTTAAATGCCATATTTCATAGATTCTAAGATGTACTTTTATCACATCTTAATATATGCAAAATCAACTGGCATTTTATAATCAAATGAAGTTTTAAAAATTATAATTAGTACTTTTTCCATTTTAGTGATACATAAAATAGACAATAGAAAGTTGCACAATAGATGCAATATAGGTGGCCCTACTTATGAAATGGATGAGAGGACAATTACTAAGTATCTACCTTACCTCAAAGACAGAAATATTATTCTTTCTGTAAATCTCATTGGCAGGAGGATGGAACCAACCACATTTCTTCATGTGCTGCTGCAGAATAGTTCTACTTTTCATATATTTTAGACAAAATTCACAAAGATACAATTTGGGCAGCCTGTAAACGATAATTAAACAAAAAAGACAGGGCTTTATATTTTAGAGTACTTCAAACTTCCACAATTATCATCTTTTTGCCTCTCATTACTACCCAGGTAACAGGTTAAAAAAAAAACTGCATATGCAAAAATACTGGACGGTAAAATGACAAAATATATAATTCAAATAAATTACTGTATCTTGTCTCATATTTAAGTACTGAGATGAAAAAATTAATTTAGTTGCTATCAATTTGGATAGTTATGCTTAAAATACTATCCTAGAATTAAAGAAAATAATATTTGCTAAGTAGATTAACACACACAAAAATGTTTGATTTGTGTGAAGACCATAACCATTTTTTCAAGTTCCCATTTTGAAAGCAGCTTTTGAAATATAATTTATCTGAGAACATCTAAAATTCTACTAAAGCTTTTCCCAAGGTATATTTATGGAACACAAATCCTGCAGGTACTAAGGATTTCGTGCTCAAATAAGGGCAAGAGGGCACACGCTTTTTCCCAACTTTCCTGGGGGACTCACAATGTGCATTAATTCTTCCCATATAACCTCACATCTTATTTTTTAAACTGTCATTCAATTCAGCACACTGAAAGTTTCCAAGGAACTTTTGTAGTATACTATTACTAAACATCTATGGTATACAATATTGTTTTTCAAAATCTCTCATGTTAGCCACACCAATACAACTTGTAATTATATTATTAGTACAACCCTTCCAAAATCAAGCACTAAGTGAAACAAATAATGACTGGCACTATAAATTAGAGTCAAGAAGCAGGAGCTAAGAGCATGGAAAGCAGTGTGTTGTTGGCTACTTTGTTTCCACTGCATTCTGCCTCAAGCCCCACTATTCAAGAGGAACCACTAGATAAAGAGGTTTTTCCTTCTTCACCACCACAGCTACAAATCACAGAATGAAATGGCTTGTTATAAACTTCATCATCTAATATGAGCACTAAATGTATTAACTAAGCCTTACAGGTGACCTACAACTGCCAGACCACCTTCCTGAATACCTGGATTCTGAGTAATTTCTTCTTCAAAGGAAGAGGAAGAATGAGTCTCCTTATGTAGATACAACGGGTGGCACCTCCCTCCCTAACTGTTTTACTTACCTCTTACATGTGCTAAATTCTCAGTGAGCAATCTTAACTTGTCACAGCATGAAGATACAGAAGTAACACTATCTGAGTACAGTTTCATTTTGAGAGCTAAATATTACAACTAAATACTTCCTATAATACGAATCAGAGAAACCTAAAAAATTTTGTGCTTTTTAAAGTATTTTTGTAAAAATGATAGAGTAAAAAACAGTGACAGACCATGAAGCTTTCCAAATTATGGTAAAGATAAATGCCAACTTTAAGGGCATCCAATCCAACTGTTAGGTCTCAGCACAGAGACATGAAAATAAAGTACCATTTATGTTAGCTAGATTTAGTCATATTTCATAATGTGTATATTTCAAAACATCATGTTGTACATGATAAATATATACAATTTTATCTGTCAATTAAAAAATCGAAAATATTCAATAAATGCTAATTACTTTTCTGGAAACAGAAGGGAGAGGGGAGAGAGGAAGGGAGGGAGGAAGGGAGGAAAATAAACTACAATTTATTTCCTAAGATCTGTGAGAGAAGGCCAAAAATGTTTAAAGCTCTTACAGTAACCAAATTGCTCAAGAAAACATCAGGAGAAATAAAATCTCTGAGAAAATTACTATCAAGTCTTCTCCAGTAAATGAAGAGTTCATGCCACTTCCTTAGAATGGCAAGATGTATGGCATTTTATTGATGATTAAAAAAAAAAAAACAAAACTTTAGTGAACCTTATTATGTGAAAAATAGTAAACTGAAAACAAGCATTATGATCTACTTTATTCCAATCTAGTTCTCACTGAAAACATTTTAAAAGCTCCTTACTTTATTAGAACCAAGCCCACTGGGATGATACTGCTAATCTAAAGGGAATCATCTAGAAAAAAAACTACTGGAAAACCAAAATATTTCTAGAAATATTATAAACAACTGCTGTTCTCTCACAGAAAAAAAAGATCTATCATATAGAAAGAACATGAGACTACAGGAAATGAAATGTAGTTATAAAGATTATGAATACTCCTAGCCCTAGAGAATCTTGTTGGGGGCTGCTTTTAGTGATCTTCCTGGCAGGACCTAGGTCTCAGCTATCAAACAGGTAGCTGTACGGTGGCTTTGATCAACTGCACATGAAGTGTCACCTCCACACTGGAAGTTGATTCTAAAGTCTGCCACAATGCTGATAACCCAGCCCATGGAATCAGGGCTGTGCTGCAGCTGGGCATGCTTCTCTAACTTCTAGAATGATGCAATTATTATTCTCAGGAATTTCTACAGTACCTTCTGGCTTCTGAACATGGCCCAACATAGTAGCAGTTTGTGCAGTCAACTTGTAGCAAATTTTTAATGTAACAATAAAAATTATACCAAATATTACTTAAATCTAAGATTATGGTACAAGTCAAGTGAGATCAACCTAGATACACATGCTACATGGAGCAGCGTAGGCCCAGTGATTAATGGTTATGGCTATGCAGTAAGAGAGAAGTGAGCTTCAAGTTCTGCCACTTATACACTGTACTGTCTGGGACCAGGTCTGCAAAATGAATACAGTAATATTCATCTCACAGAATTACACCAGAGATGCTTAGTCCAGTACCAAGCTCAATGGATGGTAATTACAGCTGCTATTACTTAACGATTATTATTTGTATTCTTCTTCCATCAATTTTACTCAATAATTTAATAGCCAAAGGCATTAGGGATTCTATTTGGTTTCTTCTTCAGTAACTGGGATGACGAGAATAATCAAACTGGTTCTAGTGACAATCTCATAATCTAAGCATCAAATAAAGTCCAGAGGAGAATCAAAAGGCAGAGGAATCTTCCTAGGCTACTCTATCACCTAGGAATCTACCTCTTTAGGATCTCAAAGCTAAGCTCAAAGCAGCACAGGAGCAGAGGGCATCCAATGATCATAATTTCTTTTGCCTTAAGCCCATCTATGTCATGCTCTTAATGGCAGAGTAGGTTTCGCAATGAACCTACTGATAAACCAAATGAAACAGTATTATTGCTTCATTGTTTTTGATTTTTAAAGACAGGGATACAAGATTACTTAATAGGCAATGCATACACAAATATCTGGATATGAAAGAACATTCCGTAAAGTATAATCCCACTTCCCAAAAGACGTTTTTCTTGTGATCTTTGCATTTTTGTTTGCTCCTATTGCCCTGTTTTTGTACGTTACAGTGTTTGAAACCTTTAATAAGAAAATAATTTATAAGCAGTTTAGCACGAAATAATAAATAGGCATTAACAAAATTAAGAATAGAGGTTTATTATTTGGAAAATGTAAGATCTCCAAACATTTTAGTCACCTCAAGTTTCAAGCTCATTTAAGTAAATATAATTTTTTTAAAAAATGTAACCAAGAGAACTACGAATATAAAGATAGAAAAAAAGTCATAATTACTCAAGAACCTATTAAAAATTACAGGATATTTTCTAATTGAAAACTCAAAGAACCCTATCCAATGGATGAAAAAATATACAGAAAATGTCTAAAACTGCTTAAGGAAGTTGATGAATTTTACAAGTTCCTATCCTGTTTCTGCTTTCTACTGGTTCCTATTATACTTTTTTTGGTTATTTTTTGATGGCATTATTTATTCTTTCACTGATAACTAGTCTCCTCACACCTGTTTCTAATGAAAATCTCATCAGAACAAAAGCTACATTTTCAATAAATCCTTTAAATATCTATCTTAAAAGAAAACAGTTTATGATTCCATTCTCATCATTCTCTTGAACAAAAGTAAATGCTAGCCCTCTATTTCCATTCCTGAATCTATTTCCTCTCCCCACCTTGAGTAGACAAGGGGCCTGTGGTTTCCATCTATCTGTACTATAGTCTCCGGAACAGTTGACAGACATGTGGAAAAGCTTTCTTTTCTAAGTTGAGTGCTCTTGTGATTTGGGCAGCTTGCAAAGAGCTCACTTAAAAAATGATCATAACAACTTATTTTAAACCTGATGAAAAAATTAATTCCTTGGCATATTTATTTTCTTTTCTTTTGAGATGGAGTTTCGCTCCTGTTGCCCAGGCGAGAGTGCAATGGCGCGATCTCAGTTCACTGCAACCTCCGCCTCCCAGGTTCAAGCGATTCTCCTACCTCAGCCTCCTGAGTAGCTGGGATTACAGGCACCCACCACCACGCCTGGCTAATTTTTATATTTTTAGTAGAGACAGGGTTTCGCCATGTTGGCCAGGCTGGTCTTGAACTCCTGACCTCAGGCGATCTGCCTATCTCGGCCTCCCAAAGTGCTGGGATTACAGGCGTGTCCTTGGCGTATTTCTTCTCGGTCATAAAAGATCTTGGCTATTCAGAATTCCTGAGGAATGAGTTAACTTGAACGCTGAGTTCTGTAGGTAGTTGAGGAAGTTCCTGCCTTCCTTTAACATATATACATATACAATACATACATGTATAATATATATGTATAATATGGAAATGCAAATACAATGTAACCTTATCTTAAAGTCACATTAATTGTTGTCAGCTCATGAAACAGTGTGCTTCCTTAAAGATACACCACAGTGTTTGGGGCTAACTGATCCCACAGTAAATGGCCCTCAATTGCTGTGTTTCATGAGCTTGTGTGTTAGTTTCCTGGGGTTTTGCTTTTTCTTCTGTTTTTGTTAGCTGTCACTTTGAGGTCAGTGTCTGAAATGGCATTCTTACCCCTATTTTTCTACTTCGACTGTAGACTAGAGAAGCAAGTTATTATATGGAAAGAAAAAGTAAAAAGATAAATAAGTTTTACTGGATGGCCCTTTTAACAACTATACTGGCCTATTCCTAGTTTCTTGGCAACAACCCATGTTAAGGCACTCAACATATTGTAAGGTACTAAATAAATTTTGCTAATATTTTGGCCAGGCAATGTTACTACATGGGTGAAAACTTACATGATGAGAATATTCTGAACATGTATTTAACCCACAAAGCACCATGATGTATTATTTCTTGTAACACCCTACTAAATGGGAAACTGAGGCATAAGTAGTTTATAGATTAGAGAGCATTAATGTCACTACAATTAACTAGTATTTAATTTTTTGATCTCATTTCATCTTTTAATTTTAACCATAAAGAAAAAATATAATAACTGACATTATTGAGCACTTACCATTTTCTAAGTGATTTACATGTTGTAGCTCATTTAATGTCCTCAATATCCCCACGAAGTAAGTACTATTACTATCTCTGCTTTACAGATGAGGAAACTGAGGCACAGAGCAGTTGGGCAGCTTTTAAGGTTACACAACTTACCAATTTCAGAGCTGAGTCATGAAACCACTTTAGCTCCACCAAGCTGGTGAGTGATCAATGTTTATTAATATATCTGGAAGCCCAAACTATTTATATATAATTTTTACACCAATTGTCCAATTATTTCTGGGAAAACAAACCATTTATTAAGTTTGTCAAATTATAAATATTTATTTACATCAAAGACTAATCAACTGAAACTTTATATTAATTTATATATGAGTTCTTCTCTTTTTCAAAATTCTTAGTGATAGGAGTGAAGACAAATTTCTCTTAAAAAAAAAATAAAAAAGCATTCCCCTTTTATTGTGACCATGCATTCGGGTTTCTCATTTTAAACATCAGCGTCTGAGAGGTTACAGAAGAGAACATCTAAAGCAAACTGGGATGAAGTGGCTGCCAAAGCCGCTGCTATTATGGACATTTAAAAGCCCCCAGTTTCCTCAAATGTAAAGGATAAGGTGGACTCAAACATCTTCAAGATCCCTTCCAGTTCCAGACTTCTATGGATCTCAAAACAGAAGGTCAAGGGTCTCTCAAAACATACCTTGAGTATTCTTGAGGATATGGGGAGGAGTACCAGGTGTGAATTTCATACTTCCCAAACTCAATGACAGAGGGACAGCGGACTTGTGGATCAGGGGGACCAGTCACTCCAACTTTCTGTGCAGTCAAGAAATACATTCAAAAGTTAGCTAAATTAGACACACTGAGATAACAAAGAAAGTTCTGAATCTAAATGTTGTCTTCTCAGGACTCCAAAGGAGTAAAACAAAAACAAAAGCCAGAACAAGCTAACATATTTTGAAATAAGTTATATTATTCCTTAAACAGAGCACCCAGATGAAAAATAAAAATGCTAATAAATCTCTTAGAACCAAATGCATTGGGTGTTGCTGCATTTCTACATTTAATAACAGTAAAAATATTTTCCTCAATTAAACTCACTCTTAATGACTTAATATTAAAGAGAAACTGCTGATACTTGGTGATATAAGATAAAGAATAATTTACAAGTGAGGGAGGGGGACACTGCATATTTGCTGAAGTCCTACCACACTGCCTCCGCTGACAACAATGGAGATGCCCTACTGAATATGTAAGCACACAAAGGATGATTTTTTAGTTTGGGAAAGTAGATATTTAAGAGAAATACAAAAAGAATCTGACAAAACAAGTATCAAGAGAGTCTTCATTTCATACTATGCCTAAAATTCCCTTCATTAGTAGCTCTGCATAGATTTAACCAAAGAAAGACACTCTGTTATATACAGACCTTCTCTTTTTTCTGCCTTCTCTTTACAATGAAAACAATCTCTATACCCCTCATCCCTGCAATAGTCTGAACTACATTATCTAAACAGAGAATAATTTTTAAAGCCTTTATGACTTCCCTGACTTTCCAGATCAGAAATTCAAACATAAGTACGTAGCTCAAGAAAATAAAGGCTGTTAAGGGTCTTAACATGTTAACTCAAGGGCAACATGACTTGCTCTGCACCCAGTCTAGCAACAGATGCATATACACACTCATGTCCATGTGTGTGAGTGCAGATATATCATGGATGCTCTACAAATACTAACTGACAAGAAAAAGACAAAAGAGTTTAGCCTAACCAAAAACAAGCATTAATAACTCTTCCCCAAAAGGATAACTGAAATTATCCTTCAATTTTATGCTTTAAAGACCACTAAGAGACTAGTAAAAATCCCTTGTTGGAGCATGCAGACACACATACATATTTTATAACAAAACTAAAAGAAATTTTTATTCATTGGTTTTATATAAATCCGTTTAAAGAAGCCTCTTCACCATAACTCATTAGAGACCTTCTGGTCTTTCTAACCATTCTCTTTTATAAAAGGCCAAGGGACTTATCTCAGGTTTCATACTGGAATGTAGCCAAATGAAACCTCAAGCTCTTCCTTAGACACCTCAAAACAAAAGACAAAGATCTGTTTGTGGGATGAATTGTGTTATAACACCACCAAGTACTGGGGCTCCTCCAAATACAAAACCAAAAACAATGAAGAATACATAATACAGGGTTAAAATAAGATTTCTTTCATTTCTCAAAACCCAAACAGAACTTTGTAAAAAGATTTTTTAAAGGCTGTTTTTAAACTACATTCTAGAATCAACTACTCTAACTCATAAAGTACTATCTTTTCATCTATCTTCACAACTCAAAGTAATAACAACAGTATAGGAAACTTTCAAAATAACTAAATACCAGAAACCAGATCTAACTTCCTGAGGCAAGGATCAGATAGAAAGCCCAAAAGCTGAAGTCATGCACCTGCTGCGGCACTGTCTGTTGTTTGAGGGTCTTCCCATCAGCTGCCCGCTGCTCTTCTAGGCGGATGCCCGATGTGAAAGTGGATATCCAGTTCCAGTACAGCTGTTTGCACATCACCACAACTGCGCACGTCTGTCCAGAATGGGACCTGTGGTAGGTTCCCCTCTGCCCACACCCGCCTTTAACCTTTGCACCGTGAAACGTTCCTGCACATGCGCTCATGTGTGAGCCCGCCTCCACTCCCAGCTCCCCTGAGCAAGCCTCCACAGCAAGGGTGTTTCCTTTTACGAAGATTTAGAAATCAGCAAGGCTCTCTACACAGGGAGGAAGAAATGGCTACACAGAAACCACTCATTCCAGTCCTAGCCAAAATCAAACTGTCATATCTGAACTACAAGGTTACCTTTGCTAGGTCTTTTTATTTTAACATTTCAACCAAAGTACGTTTTCGCTAAACATGTGACTTTCCAAAGCAGCAGGTGTCTAATATAATCAAGGGCACAAAATATATTTAAATGTTTAACTCAAATTCTGCCACTTCATGTCCTCCTAATTTAAATATGCCAAATTATTTAAAAGAAGACGTATGTTCCAGGCTAGAATTGACCTTTTAATCTAAGATAACTAACAGGGGGTAGCAAGGGGGTGGATTAAATACACTAATAATTGGGCTAAACCAAAAGAAAACTTTATGCCTACTGCTAGATAATAAAGCTTTTATTACCACCAGTTTATATGAAAAGAGTATTACTCTTCTACAAAAACTTAAGCTTCAATTAAATGACTCATCTAATTCCAGTTTGTAACATAAAAAAGGCCATTCTTGCAGTATCCCCAACTCTGGATCTGGTAGGGACACCAAAATTGTGTAAATAATTTAACAATTTCTGTAAACACAGAGCTGCTGCCTTCCCCCATCTGTCCACTGGAGCGCTCTCACTTGCCCTTCCCTCTCCATTCCCCAAGGGGGTGCAATGTTTTGAGGAGAGAGGGAGGTACCCCTTTATTATCAGTGTGAGGCTGGGAATGTGGGGAGAAGAGATGGCTTTCTGGCATTTGAACATTTTCCCACAGAAACACTACAGTAAGTAATTCCATTCATTAGGGATTAAAAGTTACATGATGAAAGAGGTATGAAAGAATGAATTCACATGCTCCACAACAGAGAGAGCATGAATTTAAGGACTAGAGAAAATCATGTTCGTGGAGCACCTATTGTGCTAGACTCTGACCTGAGCCTTATGTCGTTACCTCCTTTGGTCCCCACAATCCATCCTTCAAAGTAGAAAACAATATACCCACTCTGCAGATGAAAAAATAAGCCTCAGATAAGCCTCAGGTTAAGAGGCAAAAGCACCGGGCAGGAACAGCGAGTGAAGCATAAAGACAGAAAAGAATGACATGGGTTGAGATGTGACGGAAGTAACGACAGCCCTCAACTAATTCCTCCCTAAATTCCCAAAGTTTATGGGTAAGTTTTTAAAAACGGGAACTTGGTTTTCCAAAGAAATGAAGCTACAAGTCCACAAACTTTTAACCCAAAACCCTTGGACTGGAGTAGAATGTGTTTTGGAATTCTGAATTTTTCTGATTTTAGAAAAGTATTAGTACATATATGTGTATAGTACATGCATGTGTATAGCCCTAGTAGGATTTGGAGCAGCACTCCATAATCAGACACACTAAAATTTCTTTAGCAAAGCATATGAATATTCACATTAACTGGCATAAGTAAGGAATACAAATAGTCTCACATCAGCTCAGATCATGTTTTTGTCAGTAACTCAGTTCAGGTCAAGTGGGACTTTATTGCAAAATGAGTTAGAAAAGGCCGGGCGTGGTGGCTCACGCCTGTAATCCCAGCACTCTGGGAGGCTGAGGTGGGCGGATCACGAGGTCAGGAGATCGAGACCATCCTGGCTAACAAGGTGAAACCCCATCTCTACTAAAAATACAAAAAATTAGCTGAGGAGCTTGGTGGCGGGCACCTGTAGTCCCAGCTACTCAGAGGCTGAGGCAGGAGAATGGGGTGAACCCAGGAGGCAGAGCTTGCAATGAGCCCAGATCGCGCCACTGCACTCCAGCCTGGGTGACAGAGCCAGACTGTCTCGAAAAAAAAAAAAAAAAAAAAAGTTGGAAAAGTTTCTTTCCATTCTCCAAAGAAGATATACAGATGGCCAATAAGCTCATGAAAAGATGCTCAACATCACTAATAATTAGGAAAATGTAAATCAAACC
The DNA here is from genome assembly GCF_000001405.40 of Homo sapiens. NCBI lineage: Eukaryota > Metazoa > Chordata > Mammalia > Primates > Hominidae > Homo > Homo sapiens. The sequence continues at coordinate 41,959,287 of NC_000008.11, forward strand.
ACAATCAGATACTACTTCACACCCATTAGGATGGTTATTATTTTTAAATGCAAAACACCAGAAAATAACAGATGTTGGTGAAGATGTGGAAAAATCAGAACCCTTGTCCCATTGCTGGCGGGAATACAAAATGGCACAGCTGCTGTGGAAAACAGTATGATGGTTCCTCAAAAAAGTAAACAGAATTACCACATAATCTAGCAATTCCACTGCTGATTATAGACCCCACAGAACTGAAAGCAGTTCTTTGTATATGGGTATCTATTTGCATACTCATGTTCATAGCAGCACTATTTACAACCCAAGTATCCACTGACAGATGAATGGATAAACCAAATGTGGTACATACGTACAATGGAATATTCTCCAGCCTTAAAAAGGAAGGCAATGGTTGGGCGCTGGTGGCTCACGCCTGTAATCCCAGCACTCTGGGAGGCCAAGGTGGGCAGATCATGAGGTCAAGAGATTGAGACCATCCTGGCCAACGTGGTGAAACCCCGTCTCTACTAAAAATACAATAATTAGCTGGGTGTATGGCACATGCCTGTAGTCCCAGCTACTCGGGAGGCTGAGGCAGAAGAAACACTTGAACCCGGGAGGCAGAGGTTGCAGTGAGCCAAGATCGCGCAACTGCACTCCAGCCTGGGCAACAGTGCAAGACTCTGTCTTTAAAGAAAAAAAAAAAAAATACAAGGAAGGCAATTCTGACACAGGCTAAAATACATATGAACCTTGGGGACATTATGCTAAGTGAAACAGCCAGACACAAAAGGACAAATATTGTATAATTCTACTTATGGTACCTAGAGTAGACAAATTAATAAAGGCAGAAGACAGAATGATGCTTACCAGGGGTGGGGGTAGGGGTGGGGGGTTGGGAGTTGTTTAATGGGTACAGAGTTCCAGTTTTGCAAGATAAAAAAGTTCTGGAAATAGATGATGGTGATGATTGCACAACAAGGTGAATGTCTTTAATGCCACTGAATTGTACACTTAAAAATGGTCTGGTTAGGCCGGGCGCAGTGGCTCATGCCTGTAATCCCAGCACTTTGGGAGGCCAAGGCCGGCGGATCACGATCGAGACCATCCTGGCTAGCAAGGTGAAACCCCGTCTCTACTAAAAATACAAAGAATGGCGAGAACCCGGGAGGCGGAGCTTGCAGTGAGCCAAGATGACGCCGCTGTACTCCAGCCTGGGTGACAGAGTAAGACTCCGTCTCAAAAAAAAAAAAAAAAAAAAGTCTGGTTAAAATAACTTTTACATTATGTATATTTTACCACAATTATTTTTTTTCAAATTTTCAGGACTCCTTAAATTTCAGGATTCTGGATATTGTGACCTATCTTTCCCTTTTCCTAAGCCTTTTTGCTCTACACTCAGACTTCTCTTTATCCATCTCCTTTGCTAATTCTTTTACCATTAAATATTGACAAAATCTAGAATTCTGTCCTCGGCCATCTTACCTTTTCCATCCGGAGGACCCATAATCCAGTGCTTCCATCAGCTTTCCACTCTCCCCACACCCTCCTTTCTCTCTACGCAGCTTAGATTCTAAGGTCTTTTTCCCTGTAATTCCACCCTTTGCATAGACCTTTAACTCTCTAGTTTCTCTTCTAATTTCACAACAAAATCCTAACCCCTGTTAAATTCAACTCTTCACATAATCGAAGTTATTACCTTAATGTGAATATGGGTGGAGAAAAACAGAGAATCATGCTACCCAGTCTCACATTATACACCTACCCACAAACCTCAAGCAGGTCCTGATGCTTCCTACTCCATTCACTCTCCCGTTCTGAAAGACAACTGCACCCTTTCTCCTCTGCTCAAGCCTCCAACACTGCTTACTCCACCTTCACTTTCAGCCAATGCTTTTGCTTCCTACTGCACTAAACTGGACAAAATCAAAAGAAAACTTCTGCAATTTTTCCCACCCACATCTGTCTGCCTCCACCTTTGTGCCACACATCCTGCCTTTCACCAATACTATGGCTAAAGATTGAGCTCCTAAGCCCACGGCTTCCGTTTGTGCATGAGATAACATCTTCCTGCTCCCTAGCCAAAGAACATCACCCAGCAGTTCCCCTCCTATCTTCTGCATCATCAGCTTTCCCTCTACCAGAGCATTCCATCAGCATACAAACAGCTGTTATTCATTCCATATTTTAAAAAGGGGGAGAGGGGTGTGTGGGCATGGTGGCTCACCCCTGTAATCCTAACACTTTGGGAGGCCAAGGTGGGCGGGTCACAAGGTCAAGAGATCGAGACCATCCTGGCCAACATGGTGAAACCCTGTCCCTACTAAAAATAGAAAAATTAGTTGGGAGTGGTGGCGCACACCTGTAGTACCAGCTACTCGGGAGGCTGAGGCAGGAGAATCCCTTGAACCCGGGACGTGGCGGTTGCAATGAGCCGAGATGGTGCCACTGCACTCCAGCCTGGTGACAGAGCGAGACTCCATCTCAAAAAAAAAAAAAAAAAAAAAAGTATCTTCTTTAGCCCTCACAGCTCTATCCAACTCTCCCTTTCTCTGCTCCTAATTACTGTAAAAAACCTCAAAACAATGGCCACATATTACTACTATAACCAATTTCTCCTTCCATTCTTTCTTGAAACCACTCCAATTATCTCTTCACCCTCCCCTGTCCCCATCATGGAAACAGTTTCTCAAGATTACTTCCTTGTTGCTAAGCTGGACAGTCAATTTTCAGTTCTCTTCTTACTTGGCCTATTTGCAGAATTTAAAAACTGATCCTTCCTTCTTACAACACATTCTTCACTTAGCTTCTAAGGAACTACACCTTCATGTTTTTTTTCCTACTTCACTGGCCATTCCTTCTCAGTTTCTCCAATCTCTAAAAGTTGGAATAACCTAGACTCAAAGTTCTTCTCTTCTCCCTTGGTGATCTCATCTAGTCTCATTTTTCAAAAAAACAACCTACTTGCTGGTGAGTCCTGAATTGAAAATTTCAGCCCAGACCTGTTCTTTGAACTCCAGAGACACATATCCCACTATCTACTTGATATCCCCTCTCACATCAGGTTTAACACATCCAAAATCAAACTCCTAAATCTTTTCCCCAAATGTGCTCTTCCTATTTCCCCATCTCAGTAGATGGCAACTCCGTCTTCCAACTGTGTTCTGGCATCGTCTCGGACTCCCTGCTTTCACAATGCATCAACATATCCCAATGGGTCTACCTTCAAAACATACTCAGAATTCCAATTCCACCACTACCACCATGATCCAAACACCATGTCTCTTACTTCAATAATTTCAAGAGTTTCCCAAAGTTCTCCCTGCTTGTATACTGCCCCCCGCCCCCTCAATCTACACAGGAGCCAGAGAAATCCTGTTAAAACCAAAGTCATTCTTCTGCTCAAAACCCTCCCAGGGTTCCCATCTCATTCAGAGTAAAAGTCAAAGTCCTTACAATGGCCAAGAAGACCCTACAAAAGCCAGCCTTCCATTACCCTTCTGTCCTTGTCATCTGCTATTTTGAGCCTTATGTATTTGGCTCTAGTCACACTGGCCTCCTTGTACTTCCTTGATCATGCCAAGCACAAATTGTGACTCGGGTCTTTGCATTTCCTGTTCCTATGCCTGGAATGCTATTCCCCCGTTACCTACATGTTTCATCCCCTCACCTCCTTCAAGTTTTTGCTAAATGTCAGAGAGACAGTCCCCACCTGACCAATTTAATACTGCATACATTAATCCTCTCCCTCTGAATTCTCCCTCTTCCTCCCCTGCTTTTTCTCCATAACACTACCACATGGCATACCATTTATTTTAACCCATTCCAACCCAAACTAAACTGTAAGCTCCCAAGAGGAAGACATTTTTTATTTAATGTTTTGTTCACTGCTAAATCTCTAGTGCTTGGAACATGGTAGCCAGTATTTAGTAATATTTATTATTAGATAAATATTATCTTTGATAAAAATTTTAAACAATCACATGTGCTGGTAACACAGCAAATCTCCCACCCAAGGTCTCCTGTATATACATGTACACAACCATCTACCAAAGTTCTCCACTTTAGATTTCACACAATCCCACAACTGTGTAAGCATGGTCTCTTCTTCCATCTAAATAAGCTTCTTTTCCTATATTCCTACATGTAATACCATCATCTACTCCAAATAGAACACTAGAAGACCTACTTGGTTCTGCCCTCTCCTTCAATCCTAACTCCCAATCCAACAGCAGTCTTTTCCATTCTATCTTAAGTCTTTCTCAAAACGATTATCTATCTCTGTCTCCTATCTATCTCTTCTACCTTCATTTAGGCCCCAGTCACTTTTCATTTTGACTACTGTAATCATCTGACTGGTCCCTTGCTCAGGTGTTCCTCAATCCATTGCTGACAATATCACCAGACTTGAGTTTCTAAAATACAAATATGATGTCATCCACTTTTTAGAAATTCTTTAGCAGTTCCTCAAGAGCTATTTAGCTACTACTTAACTACTTTAAAGAGCTACTTTACCTGCAAGATTAAGTACAAACTCCTTAATATGAAACACAAAATCTTCATGATCTAGTACCCCTCCAATATCATCTCTTGTTTGAACTCCAACCAACTGCACACAGCTCCGAGAATACACGATTTCTCACACCCAAACTTGCTACTAGAAATGCCTTCTCACTCTTCTCCAATAGTAAACTTACTCATCCCTTCAGCACCCTACACAAATGTCACCTCCTCTACAAAGACTTAAAATTTTAGTTAACCACAATAACTAAAAATAGAACAATAACATCCCTAGATGTCTTCCTGTTCATTCTCACTGCAATTTATGCATATCTCCACAGTAATACTATATCATAAATTAAGCAGTTAAGGCCATGGAGTCAGAATACCAGGGTTCAAATATTGACTCTGAAACTTAACAATTTATAACTCTAGGTAAAACAATCCTTCTAATGTTTCCATTTCTTCATTTGTAAGATGAGGCCAAGTAATTAATAATAAAGTTGTATTAAATGAAACAAATTAATATATAATGCTGAATATAGTATTTTACATATAATAAGAGGGTATCTATTACTAACCACATGGCTTTAATTACTTGTTTATTCAATAGTCCCCCTTATCCACCCACTGGGAATACACCTTTCCAAAACCTACAGTGAATACCTGAAAACTGCAGATAGTATTAAATGTTATACAAGTTGAGTATCCCTAATCTGAAAATCTGAAACCTGAAATGCTCCAAAATCTGAAACGTTTTGAGCACTAATGATACTCAAACGAAATGCTCGTAAGAACACTGCAGATTTTGAATTCAGGATGCTCGACGGCTAAGCATATGATGCAAATATTCCAAAATCTGAAAAAAAAAAAAAAAAAAAATCAAAATCCAAAACACTTCTGGTCCCAAGCATTTTGGATAAGGGATAGTCAACCTGTATATACTATGTTTTTTCCTATTCATCCATACCCATGATATTTAATTTATAAATTAGGCACAGTAAGAGATTAACAACAATAACTAAAAACAGAACAATTAAAACGATGTACTGTAATAACAGTTACGTGAATGTGGTCTCTCTCAAAATATCCTATTGCATGGTATGCACCCTTCTGATGATGATGAGGAGGAGGAGACGATGATAATAAAATTCAGACCTTGGCAAGCCAAGGGTAACTGAAACCATGGAAAGCAAAACCACAGATAAAAGGGGGATTACTGTAAATACAGGAGATAGGGTGATTATTGGCCCATCAGATCAACAAATATTTGAGGACCTACTACATGCAAGTCACACTGTGGAGATGATATAGAAAACACAGTATCTGCCCATAAAGGTGTTGTAAGACAGGCAGTCCTTGTTTTTGATGGCACTGTGTTAATGGAAACAGGTACACATCAGAATTGTGTCCGTGCTTCTGAGGTGACAGATTTGACCTTAGTTCTGATATGCATGGGTTTTTTGTATGTTGTAATAAAACTTTATTTACGAACGCTAACATTTTTCACATAATTTTCACATGTCCATAAATATTATTCTTTTTATTTTTGTCCAACTGTTTAAAAATATTAAAACCATCCTCAGCTTGCAGGTCATACAAAACAGGCTGTGGATGGGACTGGGCCACAGGCCATATTTTGCCAACCCTAACACAGGTGAAGCAGTTTCTAAGCTGTATCTATGCCCTCAAAAATGACTTTCTGCATTACCTTTATGAGTCTTTTTATTATTCAAAACATCCTCTTATCTAGCCAAGATGAACTTTCCCAACTGGCTTCAAACCACTTTTTTTATTACAGCGTCAGAGAACCTGGAAGTCATCTTTGATCATCTCCTGTTCCTTCAATCTACTTTAGTTTGATAAGCATGGGTTTCAGTTAACATTGCACCATGCAAAGTGAGGAATAGCTGGAGTTTAGTTTGAGATAAGACAGGGTGGAACATCTGTTGGGCAATGGTAATACACTGAATTACTAGTATTAAGCTGCATTTTGGAGCATTTTGAAAGCTAGTAACAAGATGTCAGTTTCGGCATGACGGGATTTTAAGGTACCCCCATGACATCTTTTTGCTGTTAAGTGATGTCTCCTTGATGCTGCTGAAAGTAGGAATGGTAGGTGGGGCGATGTTTACTGTGTTAAGGCATTTACCCATTAAATATAAGTCACATATTAAAGGCCGCATAGATGTATTTTTAGTTCATTGGATAATTTAGCACAACTTATTAAAATAGTAGTTAAGAGCCTGGGAACTAGAAAAGGCTAGCACAGTTCAAATCCTATCTCGGCTGAATCACCTTAGTTGGGCAAGTCACTATCAGATTTGTTGAAAAGCTTAAACGAGTTGATATTTGCACAGAACTTACAGCACTATGCCATTCATGCAGTGAGTGCCAAATAAATGTGAGCTTCTGCTTGCTATCTCAGTGGCAGGTTCTTGGAATACACAGATAATACGTCTTTGCCCTCCAGCTGGAATTATTTATAGTAGTCTCCCCTTATCCCCAGCTTTGCTTTTCGAGGTTCTAGTTACCTGTCGTCAGCCTCGGTGCAAATTTTATCATCTCACACCGTCAGAAGAGTTAGTACAGTACAATAGTACAATAAGAGATTTAGAGAGAGACAGACTACATTCATGTAACACAATACAGTACATACAGGGTTCAGTACAGTCCACGGTTTCAGGCATCTACTGGGGATCTTGGAGCGTATCACTGGTGGATACGCGGGGACTCCTGTATAGTAGTCATTGCTTCCTCAAAGCTGAAGTTAATGTTGTTTACTCCATCTGATAAGCCCTAGTTCTCTCCATCTACCTAAATCCTCATCATTCCTTAGGACTGCTGCTTCTGTGATCATCTCAGGTTGCGCCAATTCTCACACATCTTAGTATACTGTGAACATCTGAGACAAGTCTGAATCATTTAATACAGCAATGCACTATGTTTCATTGGTACTCTAAGCTATTGTCTGCTGTGTATCTTCCTATGCACCTTTACCTGCCTGCACTTAGCACATGCCTAATGATTTTGCTACCCCCATGACATCCCGTATACAGAATAATGCAGGATGTTATTGTGATTAAGGGTACAGAATTAGAAGTCACATGGCCTAAGTTTTAATTTCGGCTCCACTAACATAAAAACTTACAGGAAGTCACTGAACTAATAGTGTTGGTTTCCTCATATGTAAAATGGGGTAACACCTCTACATCATGGGGTTAATAAAGTTGTTGAAACTAGCTTACTGTATTTTTAATAATGATTTAACTCTTCACGCAAAGAAATTTTAATAACCCGCACAGATTTCAAAAATGCTCTGTAACTTTCCAGAACCATACAAAAACCAAAGGAATCCTTCAGAATCAGAAAGCATTAAAATCTGTATGAAAATACAATGTGCTCTTTGATATTTTATGTAAAAATCATTCTATATATTTCAAGAAGGTGGTCATGCTCCACTGGAATGAACTGAATACAAACGCGTCTTTCTTTTTTTAAAAAAAAAAATTTATTTATTTATTTATTTATTTATTTATTTTTATTATACTTTAAGTTTTAGGGTACATGTGCACAATGTGCAGGTTAGTTACATATGTATACATGTGACATGCTGGTGCGCTGCACCCACTAACTCGTCATCTAGCATTAGGTATATCTCCCAATGCTATCCCTCCTCCCTCCCCCCACCCCACAACAGTCCTCAGAGTGTGATGTTCCCCTTCCTGTGTCCATGTGTTCTCACTGTTCAATTCCCACCTATGAGTGAGAATATGCAGTGTTTGGTTTTTTGTTCTTGCGATAGTTTACTGAGAATGATGATTTCCAATTTCATCCATGTCCCTACAAAGGACATGAACTCATCATTTTTTATGGCTACATAGTATTCCATGGTGTATATGTGCCGCATTTTCTTAACCCGGTCTATCATTGTTGGACATTTGGGTTGGTTCCAAGTCTTTGCTATTGTGAATAGTGCCACAATAAACATACGTGTGCATGTGACAGAGATATAGATCAATGGAACAGAACAGAGCCCTCAGAAATAACGTCGCATATCTACAACTATCTGATCTTTGACAAACCTGAGAAAAACAAGCAATGGGGAAAGGATTCCCTATTTAATAAATGGTGCTGGGAAAACTGGCTACCCATATGTAGAAAGCTGAAACTGGATCCCTTCCTTACACCTTATACAAAAATCAATTCAAGATGGATTAAAGACTTAAACGTTAGACCTAAAACCATAAAAACCCTAGAAGAAAACCTAGGCATTACCATTCAGGACATAGGCATGGGCAAGGACTTCATGTCTAAAACACCAAAAGCAACGGCAACAAAAGCCAAAATTGACAAATGGGATCTAATTAAACTAAAGAGCTTCTGCACAGCAAAAGAAACTACCATCAGAGTGAACAGGCAACCCACAAAATGGGACAAAATTTTTGCAACCTACTCTTCTGACAAAGGGCTAATATACAGAATCTACAATGAACTCAAACAAATTTACAAGAAAAAAACAAACAACCCCATGAAAAAGTGGGCAAAGGACATGAACAGACACTTCTCAAAAGAAGACATTTATGCAGCCAAAAAACACATGAAAAAATGCTCACCATCACTGGCCATCAGAGAAATGCAAATCAAAACCACAGTGAGATATCATCTCACACCAGTTAGAATGGCAATCATTAAAAAGTCAGGAAACAACAGGTGCTGGAGAGGATGTGGAGAAATAGGAACACTTTTACACTGTTGGTGGGACTGTAAACTAGTTCAACCACTGTGGAAGTCAGTGTGGCGATTCCTCAGGGATCTAGAGCTAGAAATACCATTTGACCCAGCCATCCCATTACTGGGTATATACCCAAAGGACTATAAATCATGCTGCTATAAAGACACATGCACACAAATGCTTCTTTCTACTGACAGAGTCTTTTAAGAAAAATAGTTTCTCCAAGCTCGTAAGATCATAGTTGAAATAAAATTCTAGAACAAAAACCTATACTACTAATTTTTTTATGCTTCCACTTTTGTATTCAGAGGTGGCTCTTTTTCATGGAAGTGTATGTTGTATAGCTAATGATGGAACACAGTACTAGGCAAACTACATCCATACTTACCCTACTGCCTGCAATAATTTTTTAAAAAAATTAAAACCAATAAGTGGCTGACTCCTTTTGAAAAAAATCTTGCTAAATATTTCAATTATCTTTGACTTAGATAATGTTCCATGCAAAGTTTGATTATTCAAGATAGTCCCTTCCAGACTATAAGCTCTAAGAGAACAGAAACTATGTCCTTCTGATAGCCCCTCCCCGTACCATAGTTTCTAGAACATAGCAGGCACTCAATAAACAATGTGTTATTAGTTGGATGGATTCTAATATTAATTCCTTTATCATGTCTTTTGCTGATGCTGCTGTAAGACTACCAAAGACACTGTAATAAAATCTACCTGCAAAATTTTTGAAACACAGGTTCAAGCATCATCTAAGCTATATCTATGCTCTCAAAAATGACTTTCTGCACTATATTTATGAATCCTTTCATTATTCAAAATGTCCTCTTATCTAGTCAACATGAACTTTCCCAAGTGGCTTCAAACCACTTTCTTTATTAAATTAAGTCAGAGAACCTGGAAGTCATCTTTGATCATCTCTTGCTTCCTCAAGCTACACATAAAACTCATCACTAAGTTCTGCTGATTCCAACTCCAAAATATATCTAAATCCATCCACTTCTCTCCCATTTCTACCACCACCCCTCTAGTCCTAGCTAACATCTTCTCTCATCCTGATCACCGGAAAAGCCTGCAAAGTGGTTTCCCAGCTTCCACTCTTGCTTAATTCTAAACCACTCTTTATGTAGTAGCCAAGAAAAACCATTTTTTAATGAAACAGATCTTGCTGTTTCCTTGCTAAAAACCATTCAATGTCTTCCCACTGCAATTATGATAAAAACCCCAATTCTAACTTCTGGCCTCAGTCTATTTCCCCAGCTTCACCTTATGCAACTCTTCTGTTCACTGTATTTGAGTTACACTGAACTTCAGTTCCTTAAGTTTATCAACCTCTTTCACACCCTTAGACGTTTACATAGGCAATCCACTTGTCTCTGAAATGTTCTTCTCTAGCTCTTTACTCTGCTGACTTTTGAATACTCTTTTGGAACTATGTATAAATTGTTACTTCTTCAAAAGTCTTCCCTTCTCATAAACACTCCAACCCCAACCCTCAGCAAGGTAGCCCAGCCCGTCAGAACCCCTCACTGCATTCTCATTTCCTTCCGACTATCAGTTTGTAAGTACAGTTTTATTTTTATGAGTGTTTATTATCTGTCTGTTTGTGAAACTAAAAGCTTCATGAAGGCAGAGTCTGTGTCTTTTTGTTTGCCCTATAGTTCTGGTACCAAGGCAGGTGCATGATGCTAAATGAATAAGCCTCATGGAGAAATAGCACCATCATCAGAATTTCAGTGCACTGCCAACAAAAATAAGCATGAACTAGACTTCCAAGATCTAGCTGTTTATTTCCTTGGTGCCAATACACACACAGACAATGCTGAGTTTAATCAAATGCTGGAAAGAAACATAGGATTAGCCCGATTACTGTCAATAAGCATTTACACTGTCTCCCCGAGCCTCAGCAGGGCTCAGCAACCCGTTTAACTCTCTTTGGTCATCCTTCTTGCACCTTTCTATTATTTCAACTCCTGCCCCATTTCTCCCAGAAGAAAATTTCATTCAATATCCATTCATTAAACAAATATTTACTGAGCCTTTACTATATTCCAAGTACTCAGTAGATAGCAGTGACCAAAAAGAAAGGCCTCGTTCTCACTTTTACACTGTTGGTGGGACTGCAAACTAGTTCAAGAATCATGGAAGACAGTGTGGCGAATCCGCAAGGATCTAGAACTAGAAATACCATTTGACCCAGTCATCCCATTACTGGGTGTATACCCAAAGGATTATAAATCATGCTGCTATAAAGACACATGCACATGTATGTTTATTGCGGCACTATTCACAATAGCAAAGACTTGGAACCAACCCAAATGTCCAGAAATGATAGACTGGATTAAGAAAATGTGGCACATATACACCAGGGAATACTATGCAGCCATAAAAAAGGATGAGTTTATGTTCTTTGTAGGGACATGGATGAAGCTGGAAATCATCATTCTCAGCAAATTATTGTAAGGACAAAAAAACCAAACACCGCATGTTCTCACTCATAGGTGGGAACTGAACAATGAGAACACATGGACACAGGAAGGGGAACATCACACACCGGGGCCTGTTGTGGGGTGGGAGGAGGGGGGAGGGATAGCATTAGGAGATATATCTAATGTAAATGACGAGTTAATGGGTGCAGCACACCAACATGGCACATGTATACATATACGTAACAAACCTGCACGTTGTGCACATGTACCCTAAAACTTAAGGTATAATTTAAAAAAAAAAAAAAAAAGAAAGGCCTCGTTCTCAAGGCACTTACATTCTAGAAATAAAAAATTTAAATTCAAGAGGTGGTAGGTACTATGCAGAAAAAGCAGGCAGGTCAGGGGATAGAGTGACACAATGGGCTGTAAGCTATTTTCGTGTGGATATGAGCAAGACCTAAATGGAATGGGCAGTGAACCTACTAAATCATCGACTCTAGAGGAAGGGCCATCGAGGCAAGGTGCAGCGACTGCAAAGGCCCAAGGCAGGCATGCTTGGTGTGTCTGAGGAAGAGGAGGCGGCTGTGGCTGGAGTAGCCTGAGAGCAAAAAGAGCAGCCAAAGAGGGAGGCAGGCACAAAATCATATACAGCCTTGGAGATGAGAGAACAGACTCTTTTTTTTTTTTTTTAATTCTAAAGAAGACTGTAAGACATGAAAGGTTTTCTAAGCAAGGAAGTGGTATAATCCAACCTACGTTCAAAAATAATTACCCTGGCCGCTGTATGAAGAAAATAGACTAGAGAGTGGGGTGGTGGCAAAAGCAGAAGCAAGTTTAGTCTGGAGGCAATTATAGCAGCCTAAGCCAGAGATGACAGTGGGTTGGCAGTAGCAAATACAGACATATTCTGAAGGCAGAACCATTAGGATTTGCTGATGGACTGAATGTGAAGTATGACAGAGAAAAAAAAAATCAAGATGACATCTCTGTGGGCCTAAGCAAGTACAGGATAGAGCTACCATTTACTCTTGTTCACCACTAAAAGCCAGAATCTATGGCTACAACAGTAAGAGCCTAGAACATCTTGCTGTGGCCAGAAGTAAATAAAAATGATGATGATGTGTTAAAAGGACAGAGGAGCTTCTAGAAAGGAGTTCCCCTCTGCCTAAATTTGGAACAATTTAAGCATCAAAATAAATACTAATAGCAATGGATTATAACCATAAAATAATCTATGAGTTTAAACAAAATGAATAAACAAATAGGAAGAAGAAAAAGCTTCTCCTTACAATAGAATGCCAATTAATAAATGGCAAAGAAATGATAGAATTAGAAAATAATGTTTGGCCACCAACAAAGTAAATGATTCAGGCAAAAATCATCTCTGGATGCTAAATGTGGTAGATAAAAGTTTGATGAAAAACAGGTTATCTGCATTTCTGTCTCAAAGTATGTCCCCCCAAGATACTTAATTATAGGTAGAAAGCAATGTTAGAGAAGAAACATGGATACCACCTAAACCAGGTGGTCACTGTTAGCAGCACTTGTGATGAGAACTTGGATATTACATGCCTTCTGATGTGACACACTGAGGAGGACACAGCACACCTGTGGAATTTTCTAATCATGAAAAATAAAACAAGCTCAAAGTGATGACATTCTATAAATGACCTGTGCACTTCAAAACTGTCAAGGTCATGAAAGATAAAGACTGAGGAACTGTTCCCAATTGGAAGGAGACTAGAGAGACGTGACAACTAAATTAGATAATAGTACTTAATTTGTGTTAAATTCCTGATTTGATGATTGGACCATGGTCATGTATGAGAACATTTCTGTTTTTAGGAAATACACACAAAAAATTAGGAGTAAAGGGATATTAACACATTATGTCTGCAACTTACTCGGGAGGAGAAAAAAAAATTCTTTCAGTCAGGAAGAACATAACTACTGCCTCCTTTCAGTTCCCACTGAAGTCCATGTAGATTTCTACTAGAGTACCTATAATAACTCACTAGCATGAAAGGAAACAAGCTTTGAGGGCAACCTGCCCAAAGGAGAAGTTAGTAAATGACAGATCAAGACTTGAACCCAGATCCACCTGAATCAAAGCCAATATTTTGTTAAATCATAATACAGCAGAATGCTGAGTAAATGCGTGCTGAGTATTTGTACTGCTGTTTTATTTTTCCAAAAGTACTCACATAATGACCGACATCAACAGTCTATTCACCACCACTGGGTCTCTTAATATGAAGAGTTTTCCCTAGAACCCTCGGCATCAGCCTTAGAATTTTTTTTTTTTTTTGAGATGGAGTCTCACTCTGTTGCCCAGGCTGGAGTGGTGTGGCACGATCTCGGCTCACTGCAACCTCCACCTCCCGGATTCAAGTGATTCTTCTGCCTCAGCCTCCCGAGTAGCTGGGACCACAGGCGTGTGCCACCGGCTAATTTTTGTATTTTTAGTAGAGACGGGGTTTCACCATGCTGGCCAGGCTGGTCTCGAATTCCTGACCTCAAGTGATCCACCCGCCTCGGCCTCCCAATGTGCTGGGATTACAGGGGTGAGCCACCGTGCCCAGCCTAGAAATTCTTCTTTTCAAGATAAAAGAGAACTTGGCTTACATGGTACATTTGTTGGTGGCAAAGAAGGAAAAGACAAAAAATAAATGAACATAATCTGGAAGAGCCTTTATGATCTAGCCCCTGCACTTTTCCAACCTCACCTCCTGCCATTCTCCACACCCTATATTCTTTATCCTGAGCCATTTTAATTCCCACAATTAAGCATGTTTTCCCCTATCTTCAAGTCTATTCCACCTTCACTTCTGTTCCTTCTGATTATATAAGAACCAACTCCCTACATATCCCTTTAAGGGATATGTACAACTCCTACATATCCTTTAAGGCCCCTCAATGAATCCTCCTCTGACCTCCCCAGGCAGAAGTAGAAGCTGGCTTCCCTATTCTCCCAAAACATCAAGTATTCTATAATTGAACTTTTCATATTAATGACATTACTTATTCACAAATCTCTCCTATAGTTCAGGGAAAGAATTCAGTCATTCACTGGCATCTCCAGCATGTGGCACATAGACTCTGTCTATATATTTACGATCTTGCCATGTGTCACAAAGAATTGCAATTTTTTTTTTTTTGGAAGACAGGGTCTCACTCTGTCACCCAGGCTGGAGTACAGTGGCATGATCTCAGGTCACTGCAACCTCCATTTCCCCAGCTCAAGCAATTCTCCTGCCTCAGCCTCCTAAATAGCTGTGACTACAGGTGTGCACCAACATACCTGGCTAATTTTTCTATTTTTTTTTTGAGATGGGGTTTTGCCATTTTGCCCCAGCTGGTCTCAAACTCCCAGACTCAAGCAATCCACCCACCTTGGCAAAGTGCTAGGATTACAGGCATGAAATACTTCTTGAATTAATAAATATAGGTGTTTTATCACTCATGAGAAGCTTGTTTTTTGTTTGTTTTTGGTCAAATCCCAAATTCTTCTTCATACAGTAAGACAAAAAATAAACCAAGCTTATTTAATATTGATAGTCAAAGCCATGTGCTTATCTGCAAAACCAAAGCAGTTATCATGGGTTTGAAAGGAATATTATAAACAGCAGAACTACATATACACACAAACCACAACTATTCTGAGATTAGGCAAACTGCTGTTACTGCTTAACCCACAATGTAATTAATCTGCTGTTTCTCAGCCATGAACAAGTTGCTTGATTGTCTAACCTGAATATCCAACTTTACCTGCAGTGCTTGTTCTTGGATATCACGAAATAATTCCATATCTTTCTCAGTCATGATTTCCTGGCTCCCAAAAAGTCGCTCCTCATTTTCTTGTTTGCCATCCCAGCCATCCTGATTGTCTACATATAAAAAAAGAGCTCACATGTTAACTGTCCCCAGATTAATACATGAACTAGAAAAAATTTCAGGTCTTTATTTCAATTTGAAGAACTTAATATATAACGAAGAATATAGCATTAAACTGACTCTTAGAAGAATGCTACTCAATAAATAATATTTATGTATTAAATCTGCCTTATAGTGGAAATCCTGAATTGTCTTAAAGCTTCCTAAAAATATTATATAACTAAATTTAAACTTCATTAAAGATTACATTTTAATACACAGAAAGGCAGACAGAAAAATGATATAAGGAATATAAATTTCATTTTGAAATAGTATAAATTTGACACTTTTAGTATAGGTTTAATGCATCAACGTTCAAAAAAACCTCTTGAGTAGCTACCTTAACTGATGTCAGCAGTACTAACTCCCATCACATTCTGGGTGCCCTTTTAAAGTTAAAGCACAAACTTTAAAACACTGTCCTTTTAAAGCACAAACTCTATTTACCCAGATGATAATCATCTGGGTAAATATGAAAACGTATGATAATTATCTACTAAATGATGGAACTTCCTCAAGTTGGCAAAAAACTAGTGAAGAGAGTATTTGGGACTTATGAAGATCATTATCCTTTGCATTTGAAGATGACACTGCTGTTGGGCTCATTTGCTCTCTTTATAAGTATGGCTGAAAAGACCAATTGGTGACAGTTCTCAAGTCAACTGCACATATGGGCCATCTGTTATTAACTTAACACAAGAAGAAAAAAGTCAAGGACTCACTGTTGACAACATTCTCAAACTGGAAGAAAAAAGTACAATCTAAAGGTACTATGTGACTTTAATGCCCCCTAGTGCATGATGCATGCACCTCTCTAATACAGCATTCGGTACTTAAACTTTATAATTCATAAAGAAAATGACAGAGCCTATTAAAGCAAACGCTCACACCACTGTCAAAAATTCAATATTGGTTCTCCATATACTTGATACACTTGCTCTAACAATTTCTATTTCAAAAGCTTTCTAGTAGATTCTTCTAATAAACCGTCTCCAGTACAAATGGTTAATTCAAAAATGTCTTTCATTAGGATTTGCTCTGAGATTCTTTCCTAGTTTAATCTAAACGGATTGCATATTTTCTTAGATAAACATGCTCAGATCAGGAACTTATCTACAGGTTGATAAAGACATGAAGAGTCTTGAATGCTTAAAGAGTAATTAGTTGATCATCACTATGGTAAAAGACCAATCAATAAAGCATACAAAGGGGACTCTGACAATTACAAGGACTTTCTCTCCTGCACTGGACAATCAACCACGAATGAGAGCAGTGAATACACTCTCCCTCACCAAGGAGACATTCAGGGAGGAAACCAAGGTCAGGGAATTCTCTTGTAGTAGATGAGACACTACACCTCTGGCCCTTGTGGTCCAAAAGAGTTCATTCTCATTCTACTTTCTTCAAGCCCTTTCTACTTCCTTCACAGGGTTAGTATCTCTAAATTCAAGGCTCAGCAATAAGACTATTTTAAGCTTTAATTTATTGGACAGTTAATCAAATTCTTCTCCTCTGACTTGAATGATTTGCCACATTATTAAGTCCTCTCCACAGATGTTTTCTACTTTGAAAATTAGGGAACTTAGCCTGATACATAAGCAGCCTGGAGCTGTGGTTCTGTCTCTCCCTTTTTAAGTGCAATCCATGACTTACAACTATATTTGTCAAGATCTGAAGTAGAAAAGTCAATGACCTCATCACATCTGCAAATATTTTGGTCTTTTTTTTATGCTTAGATCAACAGCATTTCACCCAGTTCTATTCTTTCCAGTTTCCTTCCTGGAATAAGCAGGCATCATAACATTCACCATATGATTTCTTTAGTAATTTGTGAAATGTAAAGTAATCCTCAAGGTTACACCCCAAGTTTCTCTAGGCAGATTCTTTGTGGTTCTACAAAAAAGCAGCTTCCTTTTGCCTAAGAGTTCCTACTGTCCCATTCTGCAACTTTATTTCCATCCTCTAAATTCCTGCCACAGTTATCACCTCAGTATCATCTACATGTTTTTTCAATGTGTTCTTATATTCTATAACCAATTGTTAATAATCAAATATAAATCCATTATAGATAATTAGTGTTATCCCGAATAATACATGTACAGAATACTATTTGTTTCTAAGTCTGTTCTAAACTCTTACCTGTGGGCCAATCTGAAGTGCTTGATTTCCTGTTGCCCCTCTTTCTGATTCGATATTGCTCAGAGTAGTCCACCACTTCCCCCCGAGCTTTCCGCCCATCAGGGGAAGGGGTAAAAAATTTGGTAAGGCCATCAATGAGCCCTTTGGTTTTCTTGTTGAACTTCAAGGAGACATTGCTATCTCTGCAGAAGTCCAAGCCATCTATCCGCTCTAAATATCCTTCTTCTGATGATGATGATGCTGATTGGCTGGAAAGAGTGATTTTTCGTTTCCTACCCCTTCCAGGGCCAGTTCGAACTTTGCTGAAGGGACCTTTTGATCTAAACAATTAAACAGGGGAAAGGGTAAGTATTAAAAAAGATACTTGTAAGGTTCCTTTTTAATACATAACATATAATTAGTAAGTAACCTACAGCTTTATTAAAATCTATATTATTAAGAATATTCTGCAAACTATAAATAGTACTCTGTGAATGAAAATTAATATTATTATTAGAAACATCTATTGCCAGGAAGCCTACTTATAGTGCAAAGAATGACAGGCCAGGAGTCAGAAGACTTGTTCTAGTCATAATTCTCTCTTACTAGCTGTACGACTTGGACAAATCACATTTTTTCTAAACATATGTCAGTGCCTTCATCTGTAAAATGAGAACTGGACTAAGAACAACTAAGATCCTTCCAGGTATAAAGTTCTACTACACTGTGATCTCTGCACCAACTGAAAGTTATACTTTTATCTCTAAAACACAAGGATGGGTTATTCTTCGAAGGCCAGGAATCAAAAGATCATTTTATAGGAAAATCAAAGCTTGATTTAAGATTTTGAATATAGACTACAATATTGGTTCTGTACATTTCAGGCTGCTAATGCCCATTCATTTCAGTTATATCACCTTCAAGATAGTCTTACGTGTAAAAAAAGTAAGTAAAACTTTTGATAATAAAGGGAGGTTGACAAGCCTGAAGACGTTTACATATCATCAAAGGTGAGTTACTACAGACATTTTTAAAAAGACAAAACTAGCTACTGAATCTTGCCCCACCTCCTCCAGACATAGCCCAGCTTTCTAGTCCACAATTTCTGATTTCTGCTAATAGATGAAAACATTCAAATTATTTTACATCCAAAGAACACAAAAATGGGACTTAGCCATCACCTCAATAGGAAGAACCTATCCAGTGATTTGTACACCTAATAGATATTAACAACTGAGACAAGATCAGGAGAGTGACATGTGAAATGTCACAGTAACAACTTTTTCTTTCCTGTTTTTATATAAGAGAAGCAACATAAAGCAATGGTTAAGAGTCAGACTTTGGTGCCAGACTACTCGGATTTTCATCCCAGTTCAACATTTACTATGCCTTAGTTTCTTCCTTTGAAAAATGAAAGTAACAGCAGCAGCTATATTTCACTGGGTTGTTGGCAGAATTAAACAATTCAATGCATATAAAGCACTTAGAATAGTGTCTGGCACTTATTAAGGGCTGAATAAGTGTTAGCCATTATTATTATATAAAAGTGCCAGATATGACAATGGAATTTTTTTCATAGAGAAAACAAGTGAATCCTACACTATAGAGAAGACCCTATCCTTTTCTCCCCTCACCTTGCCACAAGTACAACTTACACCGTGTTTTGTTTCTTTAACCTGTTTTTTGGACGTCCTATTGGATTAGTATAGCGCCGTTTTATCTGTGCTGCCTTCTTTTGTAGAAGTTTTCGTCCTTTTTTCCTAGGTCGACATATTTGACATATCCACATGCCTATAAAAAAATAAAATTCCACATAGAAGTGTGACAGACATAAATACACTGAAAGGTTTCAGATAGTCTTAAGTCAGGATCTTAACTTTTTCAGGTAAAAGACTGTCATTAGAAAATCTGATGAATACCCCCTCCAATCCAAAATAAACATTAAAACATATACACACAAAATTCTACAAATAATTGGAAGAGACTCACATACACCTTCAAGCCTGCACTGGAAGTCCACTGACTGCACTTGAAGTCCACTGAGGCTGAGGCGGGTGGATCACCTGAGGTCAGGAGTTTAAGACCAGCCTGGCCAACATGGTGAAACCCTGTCTCTACTAAAAATACAAAAATTAGCTGGGCATGGTGGTACGTGCCTGTAGTCCCAGCTACTCGGGAGGCTAAGGCAGGAGAATCGTTTGAACCCAGGAGGCGGAGGTTGCAGTGAGCCGAGATTGCACCACTGCATTCCAGCCTGGGCGACAGAGTGAGACTCCGTCTCAAAAAAAAAGTTTCCTGCCTAAAGCTGCTATATAATCTCTTTTGTAGAAGTTAAACACACAAGAAAGGAGTCCTAAGGAAATGTTTCTTGACTGGGCACAGTGGCTCATGCCTGTAATCCCATCACTTTGGGGGGCTGAGGTGGGCGGATTACCTGAGGTCAGGAGTTTGAGACAAGCCTGGCCAACATGGTGAAACTGCATCTCTACAAAAAACATTAGCTGCAAGCCAGGCATGGTGGCTCACGCCTGTAATCCCAACACTTTGGGAGGCCAAGGTGGGCTCCAGCCTGGGCAACAGAGTGAGATTCCAACTCCAAAAAAAAAACCTTTCTTAGGACTCTTAGAAGGCCCCTTGCTCAGACTTCACATAAATGGAAAAAGTGGGTATTTATTCTTTAGTATTTATAAATTGAAGACGTTTCAAAAAGTAACAATCAGTAAGTGAATTCAGGCTGGGCGCGGTGGCTCATGCCTGTAATCCCAGCACTTTGGGAGGCCGAGGCGAACAGATCACTTGAGGCCAGGAGTTCAAGACGAGCCTGGCCAACATGGCAAAACCCCATCTCTACTAAAAATACAAAAATTAGCCAGGTGTCGTGGTACGCCTGTAGTCCCAGCTACATGGGAGGCTGAGGCAGAGAATCGCTTTGAACCTGATAGGTGGAGGCTGCAGTGAGCCAAGATCCTGGGCGACAGAGTGAGACTCCATGGGTGAGGGGGTGGAATAAGTGAATTCAAGTAAAAACCTAAAGTGTTAACATGACTACAAAGTACGGTTAAGTCATTTTCTATCAACAGGAAATTTTTTTCCAAACAAATATTATGAAATATCCTATAGGCATTTTACTTAAGAAGCCTATAAATTATAAAATCAGAGTTAAAATGGAATTTGTGATAGGACAAAAAGAGGGGTCTGGCTGAAGTTTTTTTTAAAGAACCTATAAGCATATGAATATGGAAGTCCAACCATGAGGCAACTATGCCCAAACTAAATACCTCTCAATGAACAGGAATCAAAAGAAAAGAGTAACATTAAGCTGCGCCCTTACAATCTGGACACTTATTTGTTCAGAATGTATTTCATTAAAACAACAACAACAACAACAAAAAACCTTTTTATTTCATAAAGTATTTCATAAAAAGGTTTTTTTTTTAAGTTTTGAATAAACCATATCTCTATAGCTCTAGGGCCCTCAAAAGTGCTAAGCAGTGATATAATCAACACGACCTAATACTATTTTATTTCCTCCTTTCAATAAAGAGATATTTCAAGATATATTTAAGGCAAGTATTTTATCTTCTAGCTAGAGACTGGCAAATATGTATAAATGAACCACTTCACCATTGATGGATGCCTAGATATTGAAAATAACAATAAATCCGTATCATGTAAGAATGTTAAGATGCCCACTCAGAAAGACTATCCCCCCACCTTTTAAGGTGACAGTTCTCTTCCTACTTATACAACCTCAAAAAGAAAGATCCAATTATTATTTCATTTAACAAAGTAGATAAAATGTGCTTTCACTAACATCCTCCTTTATATTCCCAGTTTTATTTCAGAAAGTATTTCTCACCTTTTGGCATACGGGTGAGTGGCGGATCACAACACTCCATGTGAAAACCTCGGTCACATGAATCACAAAAGAGCATGTTATCCTATTAGAAAAAAGAAAGGACAGTTTTGCTTAACCTTATGAAGCAGAAACATGTTACGATCATGACTGCATAAAACCTAGAAAGCTTCAGGGATCTTAAAAAAAGAGATAAGCCAGGCGCAATGGCTCACGCCTGTAATCCCAACACTCTGGGAGGTCGAGGCGGGTGGATCATGAGGTCAGGAGTTCGAGACTAGCCTGACCAACATGGTGAAACCCTGTCCCTACTAAAAATACAAAAATTAGACGGGCATGGTGGCATGTGCCTGTAATCCCAGCTACTCAGAAGGCTGAGGCAGGAGAACTGCTTGAACCAGAGAGGCAGAGGTTGCAGTGAGCCAAGATCGTGCCACTGCACTCCAGCCTGGGCGACAGAGTGAGACTCCTT